>NC_000002.12:45947928-46250958 GCF_000001405.40 Homo sapiens
GAAGTTAGAGAACTACGTATATGTGAAGTCCGCAGTGTTGTTTTTGTACAGTAATAAGACTGACCTGCCACCCCATCCTAGACCATGTTCAGGCATTGCTCACCTACGTGAATGTCTTATATCTAAGTGGTAGGCACTGGCTGATAACTGGAGAACAATTTGTGAATTGCATCTGTTTCAAAGTTGTACTGTGCAGAACAATCACTTATTAGTGTTCATGTTACATCTTCAAATTCAATGCACTGGGGTTAAGTCTCCTTGCTATACCCATAACGTGGCACATGCAAAATAAAACAAATGCTCATTGGCACATAGACATACAGAGCCTTTAAAAACATTGGAAATATTTCCAATATAGATGAAAAAGCAAGAATGATTTAGTGACAACCTAATAAACCATAGTTAGCAAATATAAAAATTTTGTATTCGGGCTGCGTGCAGTGGCTCATGCCTGTAATCCTAGTACTTGGGGAGGCCAAGGTGGGATGATCGCTTGAGGGCAGGAGTTCAAGAGCAGCCTGGGCAACACACTGAGACCCTGTCTCTAAAAAATATTTAAAAATTAGCTGGCATGGTGGTGTATGCCTGTAGTCCCAGCTACTCAAGAGGCTGAGGTGGGAGGATTGCTTGAGCCCAGGAGCTCGAGGCTGCAATGAGCTATGCCAGCAGCACTGCACTCTAGCCTGGGTGACAGAGTGAGACCTTGTCTCTTAAAAAAATTTTTTTTTCACTTGCTTTCTTGACGAAATAAAACATCAGAGTCAGTTCAAGTCTCCTTGTTGGGGGATTCCTGCTCTTTCTGTCTGCCCAGAGATAACCCCTGGGCTGAAGTTGGTGTTTAGCTCATTCATATGTGAACACTTAAAAAAATATATACAAGACTGCCAATATATGTTTGTTTTGTGAATTTTACTTTATATAAATGGTATACTGTACACATTGTTTTGTAACTTGCTTTTTAAATGGAACATAATTTTATAGATTTATCTGTGATATAGATCTGGTTCATTCATTTTAATTCTCTATGCTATTCCTCGAATGACAATACAGTATCACAGTTTTTACCCATTCATTTGTTAGCAGACATTTAAGTTGTTTTCAGTTTTTTATGACCACAAACAGTGTTCTAGTGAACATCGTTGCATGTGTCTCCTTGGGTATAAGTGTGCAAATCTCTCTAAGATATATACATGTATACTGAGGAAGGACCTGCTGGGTTGTAGAATATGCACATCCTCAGCTTAGCTGACTATTGTGTGATTGCTTATCAACATGGTTACATTAGCTCACATCCCCACCGGCAGTATGCAAGAGTTGCTTTACATCCTTACTAACCCTTTAATGTCAGATTTTAATTTTTGTCAACTAATAAATACGATGTGGCATCCCACTGTTTTAATTTGTATTGCCCTGATTACCTTTAAAATATTCTTTTAGGACTATTGGCCGATGAATTGTTCATTTATTTTGCTTGTTTTTTTTTTTTTTTTGATTGTTGTTTTTTTTTTTTCCTTGAGGGTAGGAGTTTTTAATATACATTGAACTAAATCTGAGTCTGCTACATGTTGCAAATGTCTTTTCTCGGTATCTTTTTCTTGTCATTATTTATGGTGTCTTCTGTGCAGAAGTCTTACATTTTAATGATCATAGTTGGTGTTTGCTTTTTGCTTTCTGTTTAATAAATCTTCCCCTATCTAAATGACACAAATGCTTTCCTGTTTATTTTTTAAATAAAAGTTTTTATGTTTTGCTTTTTGCACTGGGTCTAACAGTTTTTTCTCCCCCAGTTTGACAACCATGGACCTAGGATCATATTTATCGGTCCATGTTTTCCCTCTTGAACCTCCTGTTTCTCATCTCTGTTCTATCCCTTTGGTCTGTCCCGCTGATACACCATGTTTTAATTGCTTTGACTGTGAAATTTTGATATTTGATAGCGAAGCCTTCATTCTTTGTTGTTTTTTTTTTTAAAGAAAACTCAGTCCAAATATTCTTTATTCTTATCAAATTTTTTGTTGCTTTTTTGGCCATTTTTCTTCTGTGAATTTTAGGATTAGCTTTTCAATTTCTGTGAGAAACCTAGTAGGATTTAAGTTGAAAATGCATTAATTTTTGAATTACTGATGAGAATGGTTATTACATCTATTCAAGTTTTTAATTTCTTTTTAAGTATTATGAAGCAGAACACTTGCCTAAAATGAATGCTTAGAAAATATGTCTCTAATTGGCATCCTGGGAACATAACAAAATAGTTTTCTGCAAAAATGAAATTTTGACCAAAGGCTGAAGCCGTCTTCAGTGAAGTTGTTTTTACCTTTACTGAAAATCAATATATTTACCAAAAATGAATGCTTAGTTTTAACACTAGGAGTAAAAACAGATCACTGCTTTATACACCAGACCATTTATTACCCCATCATGGGACATCAGCCAATCTCTGGTCTTTAGGAGAATGCATTTTATTCCCACTTCTTCTTATGAAAAGCTTTAAATGAAATTTTCTGGCAGAATTTCAGTTACACTGAGTTAATTTATTTCTGCTTCTCACATTCTAATTTTGAGGATGGCAGATAAAGATGTCACAGCACATTTGCATGAGGAACTCTGGCTGGATGAGGAGAAAATAACTTCAAGGTCATTACCAGGGTTTATGCTCGACTGTGCCCCAGTTTCCCCTGGGATTACAAGATGCCTGGTTTGATGATGCCCAGGCCAAGTGTCTAATAAGCCATGGAGTGAAAAAGGTTACTTCAAGCACGCAGAGGGCAAAGCGAGAGATGGATATCAAGGGGCGGGGTGCAGATCCACCCTTGTGTCTGCCAAGTGTCTGTTGTTCACACTTCCGTTGGCTCAAGGTGAGAAGTGCTTGGGGACAGCAACAGCAGCTGGTGGACAAGAGGGAGTACTGGTGTTCCTAGAGGACCAACTTTCCTAGAGGACCTCTCAGAACTGGCTCCTCTAATTAAGTCCTGGAACTATCAGCCTCATTTCTTTGACTTATCTCTGCCCACTTGGTGGCTCCCGATCTGAGATCATGTTCACTTGGCCACCAAGACAAAAGCTCCAAATAGTGTCCTTGTACATCCCCAGTCATGACTGTGAATTGCACTACAATCCTGCCCACAGCTTAATGCTCGGTGCCCAAACCATCACTGTAAAGCCAGTGTTCAAACACTATCGTGTTATCCGGTGCTGCTCTGGCTGCAAAAGATTTCCTGGGGAGTTGATTAAAGTTACAGATTTTCAAGCCTCACCCAGTGGAATTGGGGAGTGGCTCTGGAGTTTATGGCTTCACTAGCTTCCCAGGTGATTCTGGTAAGTAGCCCAGATTGGGAACCACTGCTTTAGACAACTTTAACCTAAGGCTCTAAGGAGGAACCCAGTCCTCTGGGAAACAGCTTCATACAGACTGTCGAGGAAGTCGTGTTTCCAGTCAGTCATGCCAGGTAGGTCCCTCTGTCTTGCAAGTCTTTGGGCTTTCATAATTCCTCCCTAACTCTGACTTCCTCACTGAGACTAGGCAGTATGTATGTGTCCATGGCCCCCACTCCTGAGTCAAGGCTTCTCTGGGCCCAGAAAGACAGCCCTTTTGGCTTGGGGCCACACTTAGATGTTAACCACAAGATACGTGCTCTGCTTCCTCTAGGTTTAAAGGTGCCGCTCTCCCTAGGACCAATGCAGCATCTCACAAAATGAGGGCCCCAGCTGAGCCAATGCAACTCTGTGCTGGAGGCAAATGTAGCAAAGGCTGAGCACTTTTGTACACAACCACATACAATGAGTCTGGTTCTTCCACACCTCATCCTCTGAGTTTGTGCCAAGCTGGATCAAAGCACGAGTGAGTGGTTTAAGACTGTAAAATGTGACAAACTCAGTTGATCCAGACTCTCAGACTCTTTTGTTTTGTTTTGTTTTGTTTTTTGAGACGGAGTCTTGCTCTGTCGCCCAGGCTGGAGCACAGGGGCGCCATCTTGGCTCACTGCAAACTCTGCCTCCTGGGTTCAAGCTATTCTCATGCCTCAGCCTCCTGAGTAGCTGGGATTACAGGCATGTGCCACCACATCCAGCTAACTTTTGCATTTTTAATAGAGACGGAGTTTCATCATGTTGGCCAGGCTGGTCTTCAACTCCTGGCGTCAAGTGATCTACCCGCCTCGGCCTCCCAAAGTGCTGGGATCACAGGCATGAGCCACTGTGCCCAGTTGATTCAGACTCTTAAAAGAGCCTGACTCCTAGAATGTTAGACCTATCACCTAGTCTGATTTTTCCATCACATAGATAAACAACTGAAGCCCAGAGAAGGAAAGGGACTCACCCAACTAGGTGGTGGTCGGCAAAAGAGCCCAGGCCCCAAAGTTATAATGATATACACATTTCATTACACCATGCTGCCCCTGGGCCTCGCAAGCGTACATAAGTCATCACTATGCTGGGCTGTTCTTGTTCTCTCTCTCTCATGGGCTTAACACACAGAAGCACCCTGAATTTTAAACCAATAAAACACCCCTCCTTTTGCTGGAAGTATACATTCTAAAGGAACATGGACTACACGCAGAATTTATTATAAAATACTTCAGGCTCCCTTGTTAACTAATGGTTCAAATTAAAGGAACATAAAGCAACCCCTATTTTACGTTGAAATTGCTATGTTAAAAGTTTAGATTTACCAAACAGTTGAATTAAGATGTAATTATTAGCATTTCCAAAAAATGTAGTCGCTCTTCAAAAGCACTCACCACAGGATTCCCTTATATAGCACTTAATGTACTTAATGTACTGTACATTTAAAATTGGTTTTGATTGATGGGAGGGCCATTGACATGCAGCTTTCCAGGAACACAACTTTTTATAGAAAAAGTAGGAACACTGAATGTGCTTTGTTTAGGCTATTATGTGCCATGTCACATTAAAAGTCTATTAGACAACCAGTGTCTCTTTTCAACGAGCTTATAAATTAACAGCACGAAACACAGCAGCCAAATAAAACTATAGATCACAGTATGAGGATTTGTCTTAAGCGGTAGGCTGAGTTCACCCTGACATCTCATTTTATGGACAGGGAGGTCAAGCCCGTTGCCTTTCTTGACATTACTGAGTAGTGTTTGAGATAATGAAATGCTTAAATAATAGTAATTCTGAAATAACTCTAGATCTGTTTTCAAGTTTTAGCATTTGCCCCGGATTACCTGGGAGGTGAACACAGTTCTGAACCCCCTTCCCCATGGCCAGGTGGTCCAGGCAAATGCATCTGTAATGCCCCAGTACTTTTGATGGAACATACCTAGAGGATCTCAGAACCAGAAGGAACTTGAAAAACATGAACCATCCCATGTAATTTTGTCTTGGGGAAGATGAGGCCAAGGCAAGAGAAATGACCTACCCACGGGTCACATATTTGGTTGTGACATATGTCAGAGCCAAGACGATTCTCCATTACTGGACTCCCTGCCCAGGGCACTTTTCATACGCTTTTCAATTTGGATAGAACATCCTCCTTGCTCTCTCTCTTCCTCCCTTCCCTCTCCCTGAACAGCCAGCTACCGCTCCCTTTCCCCTCCTCTGGAACACCTCTCCTGGAATACCCAACCGTGGGCTGTGCCCTAAACTAAAAAATGACATTGAACCCAAAACACTCATTCAGTGTCACTGCTGAGTCAGAAAGTCACCGGCTTGATCAGTGCGGTTGTCCCTCGATGCCTCTCCTACTTTTTAATTGCGCCCCCATCCACTCTTGCTGTCACTGCTTTAAACACTGGCTGCACATTAGAATCCCCTTGTGAGCTTTAAGAAAAGTACCAGTGCCTGGGCTCCCCCCGAAGAGATTGTGATTCAGTTGTCTGTGGTGGGCCACAGGCGCTGGCTTTCTCAGCACTCTCCAGGTGAGTTTAACCTGCAGGCAGAGTTGAGAGCCCGTGTTGTGCAATATTAGTCCTAATTATTTTCGTGTACCTCCTGGACCTAAATTACCAGTTGATGTAGGCAAAGCACAGAGGAAGTCAAATTTTCACAGAAGTGAATGGATTCACAAAAGCTGTCTATTTTCCTAAGACAACATAAGCTGCCCTTCCCTACTGCAATCTTATCTAGTGCCAGTGCCTTTGCCTATTACAAAATTTAAAAAGACTTTCAAATGTCATTTTCTATAAATCTACTGGCCAGTTCTTGGAATAAAACAAATCTCCTTGGTCCTGCTCCCACTTTGAAGGTGGCCTTAGGTGCGCAGGGACTTTGTGTGGCCCTAGTGAATCTTGGCAAGGAAAACAGTTCTCAAAATTGTTCACAAACGTGTGCCTGTGTATTACTGAAATAAGTCTGTATACCCAAGCCAAATGACAGCTAATGGCTTCCTTATCACTAAATATTGGAGTCAAAAGAATTTAGAGGCCAGGTAGAAAATTTCTGAAGAGCAGACAATTTTCTTGTGATCAAATTGTAAGTTCCTTATCAATATTGCATCATCCATTAACCCTTTATTGTAAAATAAGCAAAGAACATGTAAGGAAATGTGATATGAGACTCTGAATAGGATGACATCAGCCCAGCATGAGGGTCTTGCATCACTGTTCTGCAGGATTAAAAGACTAATTAAATTGGCCTATCTAATTTAAACATAAGCATGCATGAAAATAGGAAACATTCATAGAGGGTACATATTAACTCAAGATGCTTGGCCAGACTTCTACAAGAGAAAAGTAATGTATAGAATTTGTTTGATTAGTGTTTAAACAAAGGGGGAGAACCTCATTTCAATGTGCTATCATGAAAGGAATCTTATACAAGGAAACAATTACTGTCAAGAAATGCAAGTACTTATTGCATGCTCTTGTAGGCCCTTTAGGGATTGTTAAACTGTTTAGAACCGAGGATAGCTTTTATTTTGTGAAAAGACATTTTAATCATGTATGCAAGAAAAAACACAGTGATTGTGAGCTGTTAAGTGGATGAATTACAGTGTGTTTGGTACCCCATTGCTTCTCCTACCTACTATTGTCAATACTTTAGTATTTCATTTAATTAATAATGATTAGAACTAGGCAATGGGGGTATGGGGTGAGGTTGGGAAGAAGCATGCAAAATAAATCTTAAGGGCTACTTTTCCTAAAGTAACTAGCAATCTAGCTGAGGAAACAATATGAACACTCCATCACGCACTCCATCAAGTACTCCATCAAGTATATAATTAAATGTTTAATGGATGAATATCCAATTCAATAGTAAAGACTCCAAGTACTATGGTAGTTCAAAGAAGAAAAAGATCCCTGTGGACTGCCCTGATATCGAAAGGTTTCATGGAGGAATTAGATCTCAAAGGATAGGAAGGATTTAGATGACGAGAGGGCAGAAAGTCCTGGGAAGGAGAACTGGTATAATGAGAAGTTTGGAGGGAGGAATGAGCTTGGCCTCTGAGAGGGTTTGCCAGGAGACTGACCTGGTTGGTGTGATAAAAACATGGGAGGAAGAATGAAAGGCCCGTAGCATAAAAGTAGAACCAGACAGTGCAGGGGACCTTGTTAATACCTGATGCCCCAGCTTTCTCTGAACTCTTATGTTTATAGTCTCTTCTGCTCAGCTGAATTCCTAGTTATAGGCTATTTACATGCTCCAGGCATGCTGGGCTGGTGGTACTAACCTGTAGTCCCAGCTACTTCAGAGTTTGAGGCAGAAGGATCGCTTGAGCCCTGGAGTTTGAGGCCAGCCTGGGCAACATAGTGAGATGCTCATCTCAAAAACAAACCCCCACATGGATAAATAAATGCTTTAGGCAGATGTTCATTCTAAATTGCGCTCAGGGTTATTTTTTGTATCTTTAGTAGCTCCTGACACAGGGTTGCAGGTATAGTAGGTGTGCCCTAGTTTTTCCCTCTATTTAAAAAAAAAACAAAGTGTCATTTACATACAGTAAACTTCACCTTTTAGCATATAGTTATTTGAGTTTTGACAATTACATACAGTCGTATAACCATTATCGCAATAAAAATATAGAATAGTTCCATCACCTCCCAAATTCTCCCGTTATCTTTCCCCTTTCATAGTCAAGCCCTTTGCTCACCCTCAGCCCCGGGTAACCGCTGCGGTCTTTTCAGTGCCTATAACTGCTTTTTCCAGAATGTTGTTTAAATGGAATCGTACAGTATATGTGTAGCCTTTTGAGTTTGGCTTTTTTCATTTAGCATGGTGCATTTGAGATTTATTTATGTCATTGCTTGTGTCTGTAATTCATTCATTTTTGTTGCAGAATAGAACTCCGCACTTTATAGCTACACACCAATTTGTTTGGTTGTCCTTTTCTCAATTGAGAGATGTTTGGATTGCGTCTAGTTTTTGGTGCTTATAAATAAAGCTGCTATAGATATTTTCATACAGGTTTTTATGTAAACATAACTTTTTATTTCATTTGAATAAATATCTGGAAGTAAGATTGCTTGATTATGTATGGTAAGTGTGTGTTTTATTTTATAAGAACCTGCAGGCTGGATGCAGTGGGTCACGCCTATAATCCCAGCAGTTTGGGAGGTCAAGGTGGGTGGATCACCTGAGGTCAGGAGTTCAAGACCAGCCTGACCAATAATGGTGAAACCCTGTCTCTACTAAGAAAAAAAAAAAAAATTAGCCAGGTGTGGTGGCATGCACCTGTAGTCCCAGCTACTCAGGAAGCTAAGACAGGAGAATTGCTTGAACCCGGGAGGCGGAGGTTGCAGTGAGCCAAGGTCGCACCACTACACTCCAGCCTGGGCAACAGAGCGAGACTCGGTCTCACACAAAGAAAAAAAAGAACCTGCAAACTCTTTTCCAAAGTGACAGGACCATTTTGTATTCTGACCAGCAATGCATGAAAGACACAATGCTGAAATTGCATGTTCACCAGCACTTCATATTTTCAGGTTTTATTTTATTATTTTTTAACATTAGCATTCTAATAGATATATAGTGGTATTTCACTGTCGTTTTAATTTGCCTTTTTCTAAAACTAATGTTGAGCATCTTTTCATGTGTTTAATTAGCATATATCTTTTTTGATAAGGTGTTGTTCACATTTTTAGCTCATTTTTTATTTGACTGTTTGCTTAATAATTATTGAGTTCTGAGAGTTCTTTACATATTCTACATGTGTTTTACCAGATGTGTGATTTGCAAATATTTTTTCCCATTTTGATACTTGTCTTTTCATTCTCTTAACATCTTGCAAACAGCAGAGGTTATTAATTTTGACAAAGTCAAATTTGTCAATCTTTTATGAATTATGCTTTTAATGTCATAGCTAATCTTCACCCAAACCCAACGTCACAAAGATTTTTTGTGTTTTCCTCCACTGTTTTATAGTTTAGGTTTTACGTTTTTGTCCATGATCTATGTTGAGTTCATTTTTGTAGAAGATATGGGTCTATGCTTATTTTTTATGCATGGACATTCAATTGTCCAAGCACCACTTGTTGAAAGACTGCCATTTCTCCATTCACTTGCCTTTGCACCTTTTTTGAAAATCAATTGTATGCACATATGTGGATTAATTTCTGGACTCTATTCTGTTGATCTATTTGCCTATGTGTTTGTTTTTTGTTGTAATGATAGGAATGATGGTCTTTCCAGCTTTCTACATCTTAATCAGTGTTCTAATTACTTGTGAATAAGTAAGTTGATCACTCTTAGGCAATTCAGATAGGATAGATAATGAGGTCTAGATAGTTCTTAAATGTGGCAGCCAGGCATGGTGGCTCATGCCTGGAATTTGGAAGCACTTTCGGAGGCCAAGGTGGAAAGATTGCTTGAGGCCAGGAGTTTGAGACCAGCCTGGGCAATATAGCAAGACCCCACCTCTGTAAATAAAGACCCAGACAGGCAGGGCATGGTGGCACACTCCTGTAGCCCCGCATACTTGGGAGGTTGAGGTGGAATGATAGTCTGAGTCCAGAGGTTCAAGGCTGCAGTGAGCTGTGATTATGCCACTGCACTAGATCCAGCCTAGGCAACAGAGCGAGACTGTGTCTCTATTTTTTTTTTTTTTTTTAATGTAGTCCTGGTCACATCATCCCTAAACTTGTTAGAAGTGGTTCTCAACCCCTTCCCAGAGCTGGCCTGCTGAATGAGCAGTTCTAGAAGTGAAGTCCAGCAGTGTATGTTTGAGCATGCCTTCTGGCTAATTCTGATGCATGCTGAAGTTTCAGATTCACTGTTATTTTAAGCAGAGAGAACCTCAGAATTTAGTTCATTTAGAAGAAAATGGTGATGGAGTTATATTAATAAACCTAATCTATTAGGCCCGCAAAAAAAAAAAAAAAAAAAAAAAGAAAAAGAAAATTGGGCCAGGCATGGTGGCTCACGCCTGTAATCCCAGCACTTTGGGAGGCCAAGGTGGGCAGATCACGAGGTCAGGGGTTCGAGACCAGCCTGGCTAACATGGTGAAACTCTGTCTCTACTAAAAATACAAAAAATTAGCCAGGCGTGGTGGCGGGCGCCTGTAGTCCCAGCTATTTGGGAGGTTGAGGCAGGAGAATGGCATGAAACCGGGAGGCAGAGCTTGCAGTGAGCTGAGATCGCACCACTGCACTCCAGCCTGGCTGACAGAGGGAGACTCTGTCTCAAAAAAAAAAAAAAAAGAAAGAAAATCAAAACTCATAGAAACAACTCCCTTTCACACTACAATCCACCTGCCAGGGAGCACCCCCTTGAGATGTCCTGGCCTCTCACACACCCCCTATGCTCCCTGCCATATATATTGTGGTGAGAGAGGGAGTTGTCTCTATGAGTTTTAATTTTCTATGAGTTTTAGCTTCTTCTGTGTGTTAATTCAGGTTTGTCAAGGGATTGTGGTTATTGTCTGAAAGACAGAAACACCATTTTTCCCTTCCTCTGGCCTTTAAAACATATATATATATATATATATATATATTTTTTTTTTTTTTTTTTTTTTTTTTTTTTTTTTTTTTTAATAGAATCCTTTAGCCATCACATTCCAACAGGAAATGTGTTTTGCCCCTAAGGAGCAGGAGGCAATTTCTGATCTCTAGAAAGGTCTTCAGGCTAGCTATTAACATCAGAAAGAGCCACGTCAGGGGTCTAACAGGTGCACATTTCAGGCTGACAGGTTAAGAGTCAACCTGAAGTTCTGGTTAATGACTAATTAAGTTGCGGGTAGTTCTTAGCTAGAAATCAACTGGAGTTCTCATGAGCTGAAAATAGGGAGAATAATATCTTTTTAGCTTTTAAAATGCACCGTGCTTCCTCAGGGCAAGAGGAAGGTGGTTGTCGTGGTCTTGCCTGTTTGACAGTAGATGCAGGAAGACCTCTACTTCCAAGGAATTATTTGTGCCAGACTGCTAGCCAGAGAGGCCAGGGCATCTCTAGAATGAAGGAGTAACGCCTTTTTGAACACTGCAATGTTTTTCTCAGGCAGGTGGTTTGGAAGAACAAAATATATAATGTCATGTCTTCATTTTAGTTCTCCTGCCTTAAACACATACATGCACACAGATGCATGAGAGTTGAACCTTTTACTTCAGATTTTCCATAATAAGTTTGATCTGGGCCTTTGCTGACTGCTGTGTTTGGAGAAAGAAGATCATGTTTATTTAAAAAACAGAAGCATTAATTTCAATCTTTGTGGCCTCAGTATTGAGGAGGGGACTGACCTGGAGAGAGAATAGACTTTTTCTTCATGGCTAGGTGTTCCTGCTGGGCACAGGATGGCTCAGATCAGATTTAGGGAACACTTTGATCTGAAACTTTCTTCCTTGCTTTTCTCAAGCAGATACAAACTTTTTGTTCCCAGAGGTTAATGCCTGTGTGATGATTATATTTGCTCCGGAATCATCTAACTTACCCTCTTACCTTTCAAAATTCTGCATGAAACAGCCAGGGTCCACACAAATGAGCTAAAGTGGGGCCTCTGGTCTTCTCTCTGTCACCTCCTTATGTTCCCTGGCATGTGTGTTGTGGTGTGAGAGGGAGTTGTCTCTATGAGTTTTAATTTTCCGGGTTTTATTTGTTTGTTTGTTTGTTTACTAGCAGTCTGGTTTCAAAAAAACTTTCAGAACTTCTTGTCAGACCCCATATACATTTAAAAGAAATTGGCCTCTCCTCTTCCTATCTGCTAATCATTTTTCACATCGTTTTTTCATTTACAGCATTTGGGAAGGAAAGTTCACTTAAAAAATCTTTAGACCACCTGTTAGAGAAATACAAACAGAATGCTTGTTTTCTGGGATAAAGGGGGGAAAACCTCCATTTCATATTTTTTAATGTGTGTGGTATGGTGGAAAAGACATGAACTTTGGAACCGGTCTGGCCTTGGGACCAAATCGAACTCCACCACTTAATAACTATGTACACCTAGATGAGTCACTTGGATTTTCTTAGTGCCGGTTTCCTCATTGTGTGGTGGAGGTAGTGATACTAATCGTGTAGAATCCTTTCGAGAAATAGAGAAAATATGTTTTAATCACCTGCTATACCATAAATCAGTGTTCCCCAACCTTTTGGTACCAGGGACTGGTTTCATGGAAGACAGTTTTTCCACTGATGGGCAGGGAGTGGTGTGGGGGGCAGAAGGGGAAGGGCATTAGATTCTCATAAGAAGCCCCCAACCTAGATCCCTCACGTGTGCAGTTTACAATAGGGTTCCCGCTCCTATGAGAATCTAATGCTGCTGCTGGTCTGACAGGAGGTGGAGCTCAGGCAATAATGCTTGCCCACCCACCAATCACCTCCTGCTGTGCAGCCAGGTTCCTAACAGGCCACAGACCAGTACTGTGGTCCCCTGGGGATTGGGGGCCCCTGCTGTAAATGGTGCCTATTATTTCTAACATCCCGTTTTCAGTGGATTTTATCTTTTGCTTTAGAGATGCCAAGCACCCATCAGCCTTTGACTGAAAAATTCCCCAAATTTAGCTCCTGCCTCACTCTCCTTGCAGTTCCTACAATCCTTTCTGCCCCCCAGTTTTCCTACCTGCCCAGCACAACCTCTCCAAAAAGGATCTGAGATTCACCTATGTTGAACTTATAATGGCCCTCGCAGAGGCTTTCTGTTTCAACAGGGTTGAAAGCCTGGCACTAAGGAGTAAAGCAAACACAGAGGGGCTGGAAGCAAGAGGGATCACTTTATTTTTTAGAATACCAGGACTTTAGCGTCTCTGAATTCCCAGCTCTCAGGAGCTAAGTCAGCCTTACTCACTTATACACAGGCCCTGGTTTCCATGTGATAGTGATTCTAATATAAGCTGACCTATCATAGCATTGATCCTTCCTCTGCTTCTCTCCATAGGCAGGAGTGTGTAACACCAAGTACAGTAGTCACAATACCTACCTCCTTTCCCCCCCCGATTTGGTTGAGCAGTGAACAAGTCTCAGAGTTAAAAACATTTTTCCTTGCAATGTTTACCCTGACTTTCTCCTGCTTTACCTATTACCTCTTGAATGAAGTATCTACTGCTATATAACAAGTTATCTCAAATTCAGCAGCTGAAGATAGTAATCAAGATTTATTGTGTCATTCATTTTCCGTGAGTCGGTTTCTGTAACCCCATAGCCTTTAGGGCTGCAATGCCTATGGCACTAAAAGTCTTGTTATTTGTTTGAGGGGGGAATGTCCCATTTCACTTGGCACATTTCACACCCTTTCCATGTTCACCAAGTAGCACCTGGGGACAGGCAGAGACCCCATTTAGACTTTCAGTTCAGGAGCAGCTTTAGCTGAGGAGCCAGGCTTGTTAGCATTTCAGAGGTGTAGCAGCCTGCCTTGGCCAGGGCAGTGCTACTCCATTGCCAGGATTCTTTTTTTTTTTTCTTTGAGACGGAGTTTCACTTTTGTTGTCCGGGCTGGAGTGCAATGGTGTGATCTTGGCTCACTGCAACCTCTGCCTCCCGGGTTCAAGCGATTCTCCTGCCTGAGCTTCCTGAGTAGCTGGGATTACAGGCATGTGCCGCGAAGCCCAGCTAATTTTGTATTTTTAGTAGAGACGGGGTTTCTCCATGTTGGTCAGGCTGGTCTCGAAATCCCGACCTCAGGTGATCCACCTGCCTCGGCCTGGCAAAGTGCTGGGATTACAGGCGTGAACCACCGCGCCCGGCTGCCAGGGATTCTTAAGACTGTGGTAGACCTCAACCCCAGCCTCGCCTTTGCTACCTGTTCCCAGGTACTGCTTAAACCAAAACCTACTGAAAAGGCAAGTGGGTGACTAGCGTATGCAGGGCTTAGATTTTTGGATTAGGAAAGTGACACTTTCTTTAAGTAAAGACACAACTCTTGGGCTTTCCTGAGGTCAGCAAGGTGTAGGATGGAAGGTGAATTTTAGGAAAGAAGTTGGGTAATGTAGAACCATTCCTACTTTCCCCCCAGGGCCCTAAAGAATGTATACCTATAAGAAATCTGGCTGAGATTTAAGGCAGGGCCTGTGGCCAGTAATATTTACCTTCTAGACAAAGATAACTCACTCATTTGAGGAATTTGGTCGCTACTTTTACTTCATTAGCACCAAGGACTGAGCTAACTGGATCTCCCTTAAGCATCTGTGGCCTCAGAATTTTTTCTCAGGTTCATTAAACTGAAAACGCCCACCACCCCCCTTCCTTTTTTGTTCCCCTCTTGGCAGTTTTCATTTTCTCCAAATGGAAGTTTATAGATATGCAGCTCAGCATTTAGCTGATGTTTCTCTTGGTTGCAGAGCTATTAGAAATAGACTTTTTTCCTCACACAGTGACTATTCTTTTCCCAACATTCTCATATCACTATAGAAGACAGCTCCGGGGGAGAGAGGAGTTGCCAAGCCTTAAGGCCCGAATAACTGGGAATCTGGCAAATTTCCTGGACTATGATGTCCCCTGGCCTGGGAGAAGTGCCAGCAGCGGGGGTGTCAGGGAGAGGCACTGTGCTGTGTGCATGTGCGTGTCAGAGCTCCTGAGCCCTGAAGGAGCATGAGTTCGATTCTGGGATGCTTTCAGTTATTAAAAGCATTATTGCTTTTGACCTTCTCATCCCTCTCTCCATGTGCAGAGTTTTGGTCAGTCTCAGTGGAACATAAAAACTGGTAAGAAAAAGTTTAATTGAAGCAGGTTTTTGAAGCCAAAGGAAAAGATATAAGTTCCACAAGAGCTGTGGCCATTATAGCTGTTTCTGTGGAAAGACTTGGGGCTTGTTCACCTATATGAAGCTTCCTAAGGGACGTCTATCTCCCAGTGCCCTGCCGTGGGGACTAGATGGGCCTGGGTCGATAGAAGGGAGGATGGAAGGAAGGCAAGCTCGTTTCCTGATCAGTAGGAACCAAAAAACCAGGGAGAGTAGATTGTGTTATGTAAAATGAGTCCCTCTGCTTTCTGGGAACATGTGGGGTTCATTTAGGTAATTACCAGCTCAGACTGGGTGGCATAATAATCATCTTTACTTGTTTTTATTTATTTATTTTTTTAGACCGAGTCTTGCTCTATTGCCCAACATGGAGTGTGGTGGCGTGATCTCGGCTCACTGCAACCTCTGCCTCCCTGGTTCAAGCAACTCTCCTGCCTCAGCCTCCCGAGTAGCTGGGATTACAGGTGTGCGCCACCACGCCCGGCTAATTTTTGTGTTTTTACTAGAGACAGGGTTTCGCCATGTTGGCCAGGCTGGTCTAGAACTCCTGACCTCAGGTGATCCGCCCACCTTGGCCTTCCGAAGTACTGAGATTACAGGCATGAGCTACCGCGCCCGGCCATCTTTACCTCTTTTATCCTCTGTCTTTCTCCATTTCCTTTGCCTTACCATTCTTTCATTGCCTTTTATCTCCATTTTATCTTCAGATTCCCTGAAATTCTTCCTTCCCAGGTCATCTAATCAGAATACCCACCTGGTCAGCATTCTGGGCGCCCTGCCGGGACTCCAGATCTCTTGGGAAAGACCATTATTTTTCTTTTTAATTCTGACTTTAAAATTAGCAAGTGCTCAAAACTGCCTTAGTAAAGAAGGAGTTTGAGGAACTAAAAAGTTGGCTCACTGCGGTAGTCTGGGAAATTGTGCAGGCACGTACCTTTGAGAAGCTCTGTGGAGCCCAAGGTGAGGTAGCTGGGAGCCTTGTGACGTCGAAGGGTGTGATCTTGAGTTCACTTTGCTTTAGTCTCATGAATGTGGCCTGCCACTGACTGGGTGATGTGGAATGGCTGCTACGAACAGCACTGGAAGGGTGTGGGTTTTTCAATAAATAACCCCATAGCCTTTAGGGTTGCAGTGCCTATGGCATTAAAAGGCTTGTTATTTGTTCGAGGGAGGAATGTCCCACTCTACTCGGCACATTCACACCCTTTCCATGTTCACCAACCAGCACCTGGGGACAGGCAGAGACCCTACTAAGACTTTTAATCCTGCTGTCCACAGGCCCGTTTTAATACAGCATTTTAGAAGCATGAGCAGTGGCCAGAACCTGGCCTCATGGAACGTGAGCTCCATTGTGCTCAGGTGCCCGAGAATGCAGCAATTGCTCAGTTTCCTGTGATTCATCTCAGATCATCACTGGCACCAACAGGGATTCTGGTCCCACCCTTGGCTGGTGCCCCACTTGGCAGATTTCCCAGGCTGGGAGCACTCTTTGAGCTTTCAGCAGGTCTGCCTGGAGGCTTTTTGCTCTGTGGTTTCCTCCTGGAAGTAGTAATTTTTACTGGGTACCAGAAGCATGCAGTAAAGTTCCACCATGACTGTAATATGTAACTGTGAATGGATGGAGGAGGGAATGAACGAATGGGCGAATGAATGAATGAATGAATATAGACTAGAGGCTAGCAGGCTTCCTGCTTAAGTGAAATCACTGCTCCTCGGTGCTTCTTTGTGTTCAACACAGTGTGCTTGGCATCAGAAACCATGGGGCAGTGAGATTGGGGTTTGGCATCTTCTTTTCTCACATTATCTGTCAATCACCATGTTTTGACTCAGTTTACTCTAATGCTGCTGTGCCTACCGTATCAAAGTCTGAGATTTTCACTTTTTTTTTCCTATGTAGTGAACACTAGCTGCAGTTTTGTTTTCATACCTGGACAGAGCATAAATCCTGCCATGAACACAGCAAAGATCATTCAGAAAGTGAAGAGGAAGGAGAAACAACGGTTCATGTTAAACTTGAGATGCTAATCTTGAAATGCCACCCGTTCTCTTCTGATTAGATTACATGCAGAATAAAACATGCAGGCAATCTCAAACCTCTCCTCTCAGACGTTTCTGATTCTTATTGTGTGCCTCTCTGGGAAGATACAGATAGCATCGAATAATCTCTCTGAGGGAATTAGTTGCTGTTTCCTCTTTCCTGTTTTGAACAAATTTTCTTTAATGCATTGTGTGAGTACACATGTAGAACATATTCTTTGACATCACATAAATATTTACACAATATTTAAAACTCACTGTCATGAAGTATTTATTTCACTTGCAAACATTATCATCTATTGTTCTATGGAAAATTACAAAATAAAAGGCACGGCTGCTTTGATTTTTAGTACCTGGTTTTGTTTGTTTTGTTTTCTTTCCATTGACCTTGCATATTTACCAGTGAATTTATAAAGTCAAAACAGAGCATTATTGAAAGGGAAAATTAAGTAGACTCCCCAGAGATTGAGAGGTAAAGTTTGCACCCTAGCTTCTGTGAGGAGCACCTCCCAGTCATAATCACTGTACTCTGGACTATCATGGCAATTTCTTGCTTTGTTAGCAGAGACCTGTCTATTAAGGACCAAATCCAGAATATCTGAGAACAAAATTGAGGGAGTAGCCATGGGTTATCCCTTTGTGCCTAGAACATTGCCTGGAATCCAGTGTCCACATGATAAACATTTTTAGGATGAATAGCTTATTATATACCCTTGCAGAAATTTTCCATCCACAGTCTTGCTTATATGCGTTTGAGTGTATTCTTTTTTTCTCATTTTATACAAATAAATACACACTATCGACATGTTTCTTAGTTTTCTTTTTCTGCTTAGTTTCTTGGTGGGCTTAGCATAGCTGCTTTGTTAAACCGCTGCATTACGTTCCATTATGTGGGTGTGCCATGACTTAATCAGTCCCCCTCAGCTTTCTTTTCTAAGTATCTAGGTGAGAGCAAGGGCAGATGTGTGGGGAGGTGGGTGATCAGCAGCTGACAGGAAACTTCTACACACACAGTTGGGTACAAGTGGGACTAGGCTATTTTGCCATCCTTGGGAGGCGTGGATGGCTGGGCCAGGGTGGGAAATCCCAAACTGACATTTACTGTTGGCTGCATGGCCTTTCACAAGACAGTTATTTAACCTCTTTGTGCCAAAAGTAATGCCTTGTGATATTAGAGGAAGTATGTAAGATGCTTACATATTGCATGAATATGTAATGTTGATACTTCATAGATGTGTAACATGACCGCAGGTGCCTGTGATGCTCCCACAAACGTGTGCGTGAGATACTATCTCGCACGTGTGTGATGCTCTGTCACACATGTGAGGTACTACCTTGCACGCATGCGGGATACTGTCGTGTGTGTCAGATAGTAGTACCTCATACACTTAAGGTGCTTGGAATCATGCTCAGCATCTGGCAGGGGTCCCATAAATGCTAGCTGACATCTTTCAGCTTTTGAATAGGCAGGGTTTGACAGTTATTTAGACCAAAATACCAGGATAGTTGAATTGTTTTCTTTGTGTTGTAAAATTACCTTGAAGACTATAATCACTCTTTACCTGGATTCCAAGATAAGCCTCCTGATGAGCTGACCCCCACCCCAACCCCAGGGTTTTCCTCAATCTAGTCCCATTTCTGCTTTTTTCTAGAGTTAAGTCAGTGTTCCTTGCCCAGCCCAGTCTTTCTGACAGTTTTCCCGGTCCTAAAGCCTTGTGGGATGGGGTGTGGGGAAGATAAGGCAGGCGCTCCCTCTTACAGTGGCAAGTAGGTAACATCTGGGGGTAGCTGAACCCCAGCAGGTTGGGGGCCACAAGGGAGCATCGGAGCAGGTTCTGCAGGGTCAGGGATGAGGCTGTCGCTCTTCCTCAGTGAGGCATTGTTGGCTCCAGGGAGATAGAGAGATGCAGGGTTTCTGGAAGTCAGTATTGGATTACTAAAGCCACAGCTTTGGTGGATACAGCCTGTTTTTGGAAAGATAAAAGAGAAAGAACCTGAACCATGGCTGTATATGTCTGATCTCCTCAGGGCCAGGGGTGTGCTGGTGGTAAATGTTTAACAACAACCTCCCCAAGAAAGTCCTGATTTGTAGCATTTGTTGATTTTCCTGTAAATACCCCCATGGTGGCCATTTCACGCTACTATGTGTAGTCCTCAGATGTGGAGCGGTATGTACTACAGGATCCAGAGCTGGCTTCAAACCCCACTGCCATGGTCATAGGAGGAGAAAACCCTCCCTTCAGCATGTGCTAGATGGCAGGTGAAATTCAACAATCACCATCTGAACCCATCACATTTTTGGCAGTATTTTTTCTGTCACTTCTGGTCCTTACACTATCAATTTTGGGGGCCATCCTGGAGTGTCCCCTGGGGTGAAGGAGGTCCTGGAGGCCTACCTACCACCCCACAGTAGACCAGCAGAGGGAGAGAAGGGCAAACAGGGGCCAGGCTTCCACCACCCTTGCGAAGCCTGGTATGCTTAGGAAGAAGAACTTCACTTGGGCCTTTATCAACCATTATAGTCAAGGTCAGGACTATGGTGCAAGCAGAATTTAGGACTGCCCCAAGTCTCAGGAATCAAATAATATTGTAATGTAGTAGTTTAGAAAATCAGATTAATGAAGGAAATAACAAAATTTGAAGTAAAGATACAGTCAGGATGACTCATTTTTTTTCTTTTTTTCTTTTTGCCTCAGAATCCAACATGGGTCTGTGCTGCTCCTCTCAGCTTGAGGTTTGGGTTGAGCCATGGAATTGCCCCTCTCCTGATAGATAAGATAGGAAAACAGTGGCTCAGAGATATTAAATGACTTGTTCAAGGATATGAGGCAGGTTTTGGGAAAGGACAAAATTTGTCCAGTCTGCTAATACCTCATTCAACCATACTGGCAGAAAGGGGAGGTCAAAAGAGAGAGCTCAGAGAAAAGAAAGAAGACCCCACAGCACACCTGCCTGGGGAAAGATCCCTGTGTGCCCTGAACACAAAGGGTAGGGGACTGTCCTGCAGTGAGGAATGACAGTGGTGCCCCAAGATCATGCATGTTGGCAAGTCTGGCCCAGGCAAGGTTGACCCTTGTTCTTGGCTCCATATACTCTGGAAGGCATTGCTGGCATCCAGGCATACGTCTGTGTGTGTTAGAAATTCACTGTTAGCGATTCACAACTGCAAAGATATGGAATCAATCTAAGTGCTCATCAGTCAATGAGTGGATAAAGAAAATATTACACACACACACACACACACCATGGAATACTACTCCGCCATAATAAAGTATGAAATAATGTCTTATGTAGCAACTTGGATGGACTTGGAGGACATTATTCCATTATTCTAAGTGAAGTAACTCAGGAATTGAAAACCAAAGACTGCATGTTCTCACTTAAAAGCAGGAGCTAAGCTAAGGGTATGCAAAGGCATACAAAGTGGTATAATGGACATTGGAGACTCAGAAGGAGAAGGATGGGAGGGAGGTGATGATGAAAAACTACCTATTGGGGTACAATGTACACAACTCAGGTGACAGGTACACTAAAATCTTAGACTTCGCTACCATGTCATTCATCTGTGCAACCAAAAACCATTTGTATCGCAAAGCTATTGAAATAAAAAAGTTTTTTTAGAAAAAGAAATTATCTGCTGAATATTCCTAAACTGAAAGGCAATCTAAGAACACTGAGGTTGTGGGTGCCCCTGACCCCACATGAGGAGGGCGTTCAGTTTTTCCAGCTTGCTTTTTGTGTGGGAGGAGACGTGGTGGGTAAGAGAAAGGACAGTGGAGCAGTGAAAACTTCAATGACCAGACTGGCCAGAAAATGTGGTCTAGGGTTTGGTGCCAGGGGCCATCTCTCCCTGAGTCCCTGAGTGTTCCTGTGGTGCAGACTGAGAAGTCTCACCCCCAAAGAAAACGGGCCAGGTGAAGTTAGGTAAACAGAAGAAGAACTGCACGGTACAGACCCCATTTTTGCTCCTCTTGTCACCTGCCTACAGCCTGTGAGAGATTATCCCGTGCATTGGGGCTGTAAAATATTCATTGATATAAAACCTTCTGGAGTTTGAAGTTCATAGCCTAATTGAATCAAGGAGAAACCATCCCTGGAATGTTGTTGGAGGTTGGGGTTACTGTGAATCTTGAAGCTGCTTCAGAGGACGTCTCTGCTTCGCCTTATTTATGCCTTTGTGAATTCTTGTTACATCCCCACAGCCAAGTTCTCCATTTCCATAGAGAGTTTCCCAAAAGTTATCCAGCTTTGTCTTGGCCTTTCCTTGACTCAAGTTCACCCCTTCTGCAGTGAGGCAGATGCAGGCATAAAACAACGGACCTCCAAAGAGCCAAATGGGTCCTCTGGGAGGTCAGCCAACCTTGATGTTGCCTCAGAGGTCACGGCAAATGAACTGTCATGCTGGCTGAGCACGGCTGAGTGCATCCAGTGCCAGCAGCGAGCATCTTTTGGAGCGGTTCAGAGGTGAACGGGCATGGATCCGGCAACTCTGGTGTGCAGCGGGCCCAGCGTTTACTCAGTCCAGAAGCACAGGCAGCTGGGAAGCCGGTGGTTTCCCTCTTCTCTCCCCTTCTCCACGGCAAGCTGCAGTTCCCTCACCTCCTGTTTGTGCCAAGCAACCCCCCACTCCTGCAGCATGAGGGAGCACCTCATTACCTAATACTTTTTAGGCAAGTGAAAGCTTTAAAAAGTCACTAAAGAGCATTAGAGAACACTTTTTCAAATGTCAGCCTATATAATCCCATCATCCTAGTGGAGCGCCGTTCTTACGTTATCTTCAGCCTGCAAATTTGCTTGACATTGGGGTGTATTATTGTTCATTCTTTTTTCACAATATTACAACACATTTCTCCAGGTTTCTGTGGTCTTTCTTCACCCTCTTAAAGTTGCTGTCGTTGTAATGTGATTCATCAGACCATTGGCCTAATAGTAGACAGTCAAGTCATTTCTGTTTGTTGGCTAATATAGATATGCAAAGGGAAACATCTATAAGGATATAGCTTTTAGTTTGTTTAATTATTGACTTAGAGTTAATTCCTAAGGAGTTGCCGAATCAAAGGATGTGAATCTCTTTGTGGCCTTCCCTGTGCAGTCTCTGTGTCTTGTGATACTGCTTTCTGAAAACATGTCAACTGGCATTGCCTGTAGCAGTGAATGAATGTCAGTTTCATAGTAGACTTGCCAATAATGGATAATAATTTTAAAACAAATTGGTTACTTTTTTAGGTATTAAATGGTATGTCAGTGTATGCCAAAACTGTTTTGCTTTGCATTTCAAAATTCCTGATTATAGTCAGTATCTTATGAAAATTTTATGTTTGTGTCCTTTAAGCTATTATCTATGGGGATCTTGATATATATATTTCAATTTGTTGATACATAGCCCTTTGTGCTGGTCTTGCCATTTAATCAGAAACTAATTGGGAGGAAACAATCAGAGAAATTCAGATTGTGAAGCATTCAATGTGACAACATCCTGGATGCTACATAAATGTATCATTAAAAAAGATACATTTATGTATCTAGAACAGTAAAGGAGACTGTTCTAGACTAAGATTAAGAAGATATGGCAACCCCATGAGCTCTGGGTAGCTCCTGGGTGAAAATCAGAAACTACAAAGGAAACTTGGGAAACAATTGGGGAAATTCAAATATGAACTCTATATTAGATAATGTCATATCAGTGTTAAATTTCTTGACTCTGTTATTGTGATTATGTAGCTGAATGTCTTTGTTCTTAGGAGATAAAGACTGAAGTATTTAAGAGTGAAGTGTCACTACGTCTATAACCTTCAAATAGTTCAGCAAAACTATATATGTATATATCATACATATTATATATACTATACTATATTATGGATCAATATATAATATATAAATTATACATACTATATATACATACACATATACATACATTTATGTATCTGTTATTTTATACATCAGACACACGCATATTACCTCTACTATGAGAGTTGCATTTTATTTATTTTTTTTGTGATAATGCTTAACATAAGATGTACGCTTTCAGCAAATTAAGTATACAATGCAGTGTGTTAACTATAGGCACAAAATTGCATGATAGATCTCTAGGACTTACTCATCTTGCATAACTGGAACTTGGTGCCCTTTTACTAGTATCTCCCTGATTCCTCCTTTCTCCCAGCCCCTGGCCACCACCATTCTGCTCTCTTGCTTCTATGAGTTCAACCACGTTAGATTCCTCATATAAGTGGTATCATGTAGTATTTGTCCTGCCATTGGCTTGTTTCACTTAGCCAATATCCTCCCATGCATGTTACCCCAAATGGCAGGATTTCCTTCTTTTCTGTGTCTGAGTAACATTCGATTGCATGAATACACCATATTTTCTTCTTTTTTTCGTTTTTTAGAAATTGTAACAAAGCATTTTATTTACGTCAAGGTAGAAAGCTATGCTAAGGACATAGAAATCTGCTTCAGCTTTCCTTTAGCCTCACACTTCATAAAAGTATCAAGTGGTTCTCTCTGGCTTTTACTTAGTCATCTGTGTAACCAGGGTTGAAGACAGTAGAACACTGAGTCTTAGTGTAAGTGTAAGAGATTGAGAAGACAATCTCTTTTGAATTATGGTTTTTCAATGTTTGTTGTATCATCTTTTTAAAAAGAGCAATAGAGATTCTTTTTAGAAAATACAAAGAAGCACAAGGAGAAAAGTAAAAATCACCTGTAATTCCACCAGTGTCAACGAATGACCAATGTTAATGTTTTCTAAGTAGTTGGAACATACCTTTCCGCCTTGTGTTTTCTTTTGTGTGTATGTGATGAATACACCATATATTTTTTTAACCATTCATCCATAGATGGACATTTAGGTTGCTTCCATGTCTTGGCTATTGTGAATGACGCTGCAGTGAATGTGGGAGTGCAGATGCATGAGGACTCTTCAGGGTCCTTACTTTCATTCCTTTGGATGTGTAGAAGTGAAATTGCTGAATCAAATGGTAGTTCTATTTTTCGTTTCTTAAGAAACCTCGATACTGTTTCCTATAGTGGCTGTACAATTTTACATTCCCATGAACAGTGAACAAGCGTTCGCTCTTCTCCACATCCTCGCTAAAACTTATCATTCTTTTTTTTTATCATAGCCATCTTAACAGGTATGAAGTGCCATCTCATTGTAGCTTCAATTTGTATTTCCCTGATGATTAGTGATGTAGAACATCTTATTAAATACCTGTATACCTGTTGGCCATTTGTATGTCTTTAGAGAAAAGTCTACTCGGTTCTTTTGCCTGTTTTTAAATTGGATTATTTGGTTTTGCCATTGAATTGTGGGAGTTTCTTATGTATTTTGGATATTAACCCTTTCTCAAATATACAGTTTGCAAATGATTTTTTTCCATTCTTCAGGTTGCCTTTTTATTCTGTCGATTGTTTCCTTTGCTGTGCAGAAGCTTTTTAGTTTGATGTAGTCCAACTTGTTTATTTTTGCTTTTGTTGCCTTTTTGGTGTCATATCTAAGAAATCATTGCCAAGACCAATGTCAAGAAAGTTTTCCCCTATGTTTTCTTCTAGGAGCTTTATGGTTTCAGTGTTTACATTTAAGTATTCAATCCACGTTTAGTTGATTTTTGTGTATGGTAAAAGGTAAGGATCCAGTTTCATTCTTTTGCATTGGATGTACAGTTTTCCCAACATCATTTATTGAAGAGAATATCCTTTTTCCATTGTATATTCTTGGCACTCTTGTTGAAGATCAGTTGACTCTTCTTGGCTTGGAAGAATTAATGTTTGTTAAAATGCCCATAAAAGAATTAATGTTTTGTTAAAAGGAACTGCAACTTTAATATGGTTCCTATCAAATTCTCAAAGGCATTTTTCAATAAAGACAGAAAAAACAATCCTAAAAGTCATATGGAACCATGAAAGACTGAACAGCCAAAGCAATTCTGAGTTAAAAGAACAAAGATGGAAGCATCACATTTCCTGATTTCAAAATATATTACAAAAATTCAGCAATTAAAACAGTGTGGTACTGGCATAAAAACAGACATATAGACGAGTGGAACAAAATAGAGAGCCCAGAATTAAGTTAATACATATGTGGGATCTACATTTTGGAAGAGACCTTTCATAGCGGAGGGAAATGCTGAAGGGATCCGTTTCTGGTGGTGGACTCCAGGCCCCAGTAGGGAGGTTCTTGGGGACTGAGGGACCTAGTAGCTCCCCTTTTCACATTGTATAGGCCACTTTCTTCTCCACCTGTGGGTGACAGTGCTGAGGATACTCTGGCCTGACCCGTGGCTTTCCTGCCCAGAGGAATGTGGAATTGGGGTGTTTTCAGCAGCCACAGGCTCCAACCCCTTTCTCCTGTCACCTGCTTTGTAGCTTTGCACACAAGCCTCACTTGAAGCATGAAGTTTACCCATGTTCTTTCCCTCCTGTGACCTTCTGTTTTTCCATATCTGACATCAAATCTGACTTAAAAGGCAGTGCAGATGCTCCTTTGGGGCAATAGTAATAGAAACCTTGGAGGAAGTTGAACTTAGAACTCTGACTTACAGGAGTTATCCTTGGCTGTCTGCCTAGCCTGTGCCTGAGACTCCCCCTCCACACCCCTGCCAACTTTAAACAGCTTCCCTCCAGGTATCAGGGCACCCCGCTGAGACAGCTTTGAAATGAATAGAGTCAAATTAATTGGTTGCCATATTGCCCTATTGGATTGATGTCAACACAGTTTAGAACGATTGGTTTCATTGCTCGTCATTTCTGTAAAAAGTTGGGAAATAAGACTCTTAGGAAGGACTGTAACCACCGTCATAACAGTGTTCCTTTGAGAAAATTAGATTGGACCCATCACCATTTTAACTGAAAATAGTTTCCCAGGATGAAAACAACTAGTCAATTTGAGAGATTTGTAAATCAAATTGCATCTTAAATGCATTAGGAGACGGGCTTACTGTTCAAATGTATTCCGTGGTGAATCCTGTGAAAGGAGTTAAGGGTGCTCTTTTACGAAAATAACCTGCATCCTGTGTCCTATGATGCCCAGGATGATGTTTCTGGATTGGATTTTTGTAGGTAAGTTTGTAGCAAGTAAGGGCTACTGAATAGATTTGGTTTTTGGTTGTCATATTTTTGTTCTTGCTTATGAAAATAGTAGAACATTCTACACATTGTGAAAGTATGAAGCGAAACAAAAACTTGCCTATGATGGCAGCACCGAATGGTGATTGCCATACTTCTGCAGCTGTGTGTGTTGCTGTCTCTATACTAGAACAGACCTGGGTCCTCCCGTGAGAATTTGGTCAGCAGGTCAAGACCCCTAGGTTGGAGCAGGGTAGGAGGTGGTGAGCTTTCTGTACCCAGAAGGTCGGTGATGCCAGAGACTTTTTGAAACAATAAGCACCAATTGAAACCCAGGTGGGCTAGGGGTCAAGAAGCAAGGGGATCCACAAGCAGACCTCCACCCGGGTCATCTGAGCCTGTGTTGAAGATGCAGTCTGGGAACGCTGAGGGCAGATTTCCAATAAACAGCTGCCTGTTTGCTCAGAGGCTGCTGCGTCCTTGGAAGCACACGCTGCGCATTTGGTCCTGTTCTCACCTTTTACCTCCTTCAATTTTACCTTCCCTCTACCCTACCCTCCAATAACAAGATGCCCTTGGATTAATCTGTTGTTCAGGTCATACATATGACCTCCACTTCAGGGAACCTTACATTCAGAGAGGTCCAGGAGGGATCAATGCTTCTTCCCCTGAAGACTGGCCCTGTTATGGTGAGATGTCAGGCACTCGCTGATGCCTGGAGATATTTGGGGGCACAGAGCCTTCCAGTGCATTTTAAGCTGACCTGTGCAGGGGACCTTCTAGGAGACCTTCTAGAAGGTGTCAGAAACCTAGGAAGAAGCCCAAAGCCTGCCCACTGTGTTCTTGGGGAAGCCACAGGCAGCTGGACTCTTTGGTGATGAAAGCCACTCAGATGAGAGCTTGGGGACTTTCTGTAAGGAGTGCAGGCCGTCCTTCAGAGCAGCGTGTGGGTGGAGGAACAATGGCCTCTTTCTCACTCTCTGGGTTAGAATCTGGGCTTCCCCACTGAGTAGCTGTGTTAACAGGAGTAGGTTACTTAAACTCTATTCTTCGCTTTGCATACCTGTAAAATGGGGCTAATAGCAGTACCCTTCAAGTGGAGTTGTTTCGAGGGTTCATTGAGATGTATTGTATCACTAAGATATAACACACTTAGCATAGCACTTGCCAGAGCGTAAGCCCACGATAAACATTTATCATGGTCATCCTTGTCTTAATCAGCTCAGACTGCAATAACAAAATACCAAAGACTGGGTGTCTTAACCAACAGACATTCACTTCTCACAGTTTTGGAAGGTGGACATCCAAGATCAGGGAGCCAGTATGGGTGGGATCTGCTGAGGGCCCTCTTCCTTGCTCACATGACAGAGAGCTCACTCACTCAGGTCTCTTCCTCCTCTTATAAGGACACTAATCCCATCATGGAGGCTCAACCCTCACGACCTCATCTAAACCTAATTACCTCCCAAAGGTCCCATCTCCAAATAGCATCACTTTGGGGGTTAAGACTTTAATGTATTAATTTTGAGGGGGCAAAAATATGTAGCCCATAACAATTATCTTTATTATTTTTGTGATCATCTGTGAGTCCCCTTGCAAGGCATTCTCAGTTGGTGGGGCAGTCTCAGAACTGGAGGGAAGGAAGGTATTGGGAAGATCTTTTTGACTCCAGTGGGATCTTTACAGCCCATGGTGGTGGTCTTGAGCCTTCGAGAAACTACTTTCACTGTGTCATATTTCCCTCTCCTTTTGACCTCTGGGAAAATGCTCTTGGTTGGCTTAGTCTAGGTAAGAGGAAGAAGGAAGAAGTCAGATTTATTAGGCAGCTACTTCTTGAGCCAGGAAGCTTAGGGTGTGGAGATTCATCTCATTGCGTCCTCTAAGCCACCCCCTGTGGCTGGCACTGCCATTGCCATTTACAAAGGGAGATGCGCTCAGATGCTCAGGGGGAGGAAACACCACCTATCCAAGGTCACACTGCTCAGGAGTTGCAGTAAGATGCGAACCTTGAGCCTTTTGACCCCCAAGCCCTTGAAACCAGCTGTAGCCTGTGTGGGGAGGAAAGGGCAGCCAGCCCTGGAGCAGAATTTGGATTGGATGGAATCTGAGGATATAGCAGGAATAGGCACACTCTGGGCCTTTCCACCCTACATGTGCTCGCTCACTCCAGCTGCTCAGTGGGACTCCTCAGACCCCCGAGTCCCTCCACACACAAAGGCTACCTCTCACCCACCCCAGCTCCACTCCCCCAGGGATGGAGTAGCTCTCCAGAGGGAGCTCATTTTGAAGGTGCACTAACCCAGACTCCGTTTTCTTCCCTGCTCTTGTCCTTCCCCAGCCCCTAAAGACAATGAAGAGCGTGTGTTCAGGGAACGCATGCGGCCGAGGAAGCGGCAGGGGGCCGTCAGGCGCAGGGTCCATCAGGTCAACGGCCACAAGTTCATGGCCACCTATCTTCGGCAGCCCACCTACTGCTCCCATTGCAGAGACTTCATCTGGTAAGCCTTTCT
This sequence comes from Homo sapiens, assembly GCF_000001405.40. NCBI lineage: Eukaryota > Metazoa > Chordata > Mammalia > Primates > Hominidae > Homo > Homo sapiens. Next base: position 45,976,601 of record NC_000002.12, read on the forward strand.
CTTGGGAACCTCTAATTACAACATCTCTGTTACAAGATGTCGGGGATGGGGTAGGGGAGACTATGCACCTCATTTAAAGAATGCTGGTGTGCCTCGTTTCTTCCTTATCTGAATGCAGGGGACTATTATGGAAGGCTAAGTGTGTGTTTGGTACATAGGGGGAAATACATGGAAAGAAGCGATGGTTTCTGGCAACTTTATACCTAGAATTTTATGAAAAGAGTTAAGATTTTAGTAACCAACAAGGATATTGTGACTGTGTGTGTGTGTGTGTGTGTGTGTGTGTGTGTGTGTGTGTGTGTGTGTCTTGTTTTGAGACAGAGTCTAGCTCTGTTGCCCAGGCTGGAGTGCAGTGGCATGATCTCCACTCAATGCAACCTCTGTCTCCCAGGTTCAAGTGATTCTCATGCCTCAGCCTCCCACATAGCTGGGATTACAGGAGCACACGACCACGCCTGGCTAATTTTTGTATTTTTAGTAGAGGTAGGGTTTCGCCATGTTGGCCAGGCTGATCTAGAACTCCTGGCCTCAAGTGATCCACCCACCTCTGCCCCCCAAAGTGCTGGGATTATAGATGTGAGCCATTGTACCCAGCTGATTGTGTGTTTTTAAAAAGAATACTTATCTTTTACAGACACACCTCAGGGTGAGGATTCCACTGAATAATAATCCACTGAAAAATAATTCACTGAATTATTTACAAGTGAAATTATCTGATGCCTAGGATTTGTTAGAAAATCAGGAAGGAGGCCAGGCACAAGTGCGGTGGCTGATGTCTATAATCCCAGCACTTTGGGAGGCCGAGGCACGCAGATTGCTTGAGGTCAGGAGTTTGAAACCAGCCTGGTCAACATGGTGAAACCCTGTGTCTACTAAAAATACAAAAATTAGCTGGCCATGGTGGTGTGCGCCTGTAATCCCAGCTACTTGGGAGGCTGAAACATGAGAATCACTTTAACCCTGGAGGTGGAGGCTGCAGTGAGCCGAGATCGCTATACTATACTCCAACCTGGGTGTGACAGAGTGAGACTCTGTCTTAAAAAAAAAAAAAAATCTGGAAGGAGGAGAGGGGCTGAGATAAAGATGATCGAAGGCCAGCCCCATTCCACTAACAATACCCAGGCTCAGAAATGAAAATGAGACTGGCCTGATGTCCTCTAGCTAGGAAGTGTCAGAAGTATGATTCTACCCCTAGTAGTCTGACTTTTAATGCTGATACTTTTCCTGACATCCCACCAGCCTTTCTAGCAAGCTGTCTGAGCTCTTTGAAGCTGATGTAGAGGTTGCCTTCATGAACCCTTGGATCCAACTGGGGAGAGCGAGTGAGGCCAGGATGCAGTATGAACCCAGCCAGGGACATCTGCACTGGGCTCTGAGGACCCCTTGGATTCCAGGTGTCCAGTAGTCACTTGTCTTATCCTCATGATGTCACAAAGCCAGTCATCCAGGTTGGCGTAGACATCTGAGATGATATAGCTCAGAGCAAGCCCAGCCCAACTGAGGCAGAAATAATGCCCCATTCCAGCCACAGATACTTCCAATTACCAGGGCAGACCCAGCTGTCTGACCTTCACTTGCTACATTTGGTCATGAACTGAGTGGTCGGTCTTACAGATCCAGGTCTCCTCTAAGTCCATGGGCAAAGGCCACTGAGCTCTAGGTTCCCTGGGGTGGAGCCTGAATAGCTTCTGGTTCCCACTGGGCTGGGAACTTCAGGGAGCTCCCTGACCATCTGTAGTTAGTACACTAAGGACAGGGGTAAGGCCGGGTTTGTGTGATAGTTCTGTGTCCATGCTGACTTTCTGTCTTGCCCTGGGAACACCACTCTGGCCATGGAAGGAACCTCTAATGTTGGCCTTCACCTAGACAACCTCTTGAACCTCTAGTTCGGGGCACAGACTGGCTTAGAACCATTGGTGGTCTTTGGACTGCCCAGGGAAATATACCTGCCAGCTGCAGCCCTCTTCCACAGTTAGAGGGCCCACAGAGCGTGTCCTGGTGCTGGGAGAAGAGGAATGTCCATTCTATCCACAAGGAAAGGTATGCTTCACTGCTCAATGCCTACCAGGAGCAAGCAGGGTCGTTTGTGGCTTTCCAGAACATTGCTGACCACACAGGAATGGCTCTCTGTATAGGAAATCAAGCTCTGATGCTGACCAAACCTTGCACCTCCCCAAGCACTGGGACTGCCCTCTGTGGGCTTCTGGAAGGAGACATTTAAGGCACCTTGCAAGTGAGAGAGAAATTACAATATTCTGCATACTTCATGTACTTGGTGCTATGTGGGTGGTGGCCCAAATTGGGTGGTTTTTCTGTTTGTTTTTTGACCTGGTAAGATTTCACTTTTTTTAAAAAAATGTTATTCTTCTTTTCAGGGGTGTCATAGGAAAGCAGGGATACCAGTGTCAAGGTAAGAGGCATTTATGAATTAAATCTTCAGAGGCCCGTGGTTAGATCCAGATCACTGGCACCCATAGGAGGCAGGTGCTCAGTCTGATGACATTTGGAGGCTCTCCACAGCTTGCATGCTTTCTTTGTTCCCACTTGACCATTACTTCTGCATATATGGGAATATATATGGGAGGCATTTGCAGGTGCCACCTGTCTCCAGGCGTCCTTGTGATCTCAGCAGGTCCCCAATCCACCCGGCCTTTGTGTCTCAACTGGAGCAGGTGGCACTTTCATCTTTCTGAATGAGACATTCTGCTTCAGTTGGAGGCTCTTTGAAAGTCCCACTTTGTCCTGAACTGGGTCTGTGTATTCTGCCAGATCCCTCCCTGTCTCCCTCCCTGAAGAAGCTTCCTCGCCTGCTCGTTGTACTTGGTATCACTGAAAGGTCCTTGTCTAATCCCTTTTTTTGGTCTTGGCTGTGTGATCATTAGCTCTTAAAAATGTAAAGCTCACTTGAAGGTATTGAAGATTATTCCTTTCCAGTTAATTGACTACAAATGCAAGTTTAAGTTGTACAAAATTGGAGGGTGGAAATGTGGCATGGTCATGCGGTGGTTTTGCTGAGGTTAGAGCAGGGAGGTTTTCCTGTCTCCTCGCCAAGCACTGTTGGGTCTCACCCATGGGGTAGTGTCTGGTGGAAGTTGCTGTTCCTTGGGGTAACACGCACACAGTTACTTACCTTTTCAGCCACCTACTGCCCACATTGCTCCATGACACTAACAACACAGATATAGGCCACTTGTGGAAGTATTAAAGTCGATGGGAATTTTGAAGTTTGGTATGTCAGGACACAACCAGATAAAAAAGCCTCAGAACCTCTGCACCGCCTGCTGCAGTTCCCCCTATCACGTCAGCCACCCTGCATGGTCCCGAGTGGGGTGCGAGGCCACTACAACACCTTTAATAGGCAGTGCTCCATGGGAGGGCTGGAAGGAAGTTTTTCCTTGACCTTGGCGTATTGAAGTGAGAAAATTGATCAGTACTCCCTCAACTGGAGAAAACTGCTAATGTCCTTTGAATATAAATGTTACCTTGCTCTCTGGAGCATTTAGGAAACTGATGGCTCTGATAGGACAGTGTTTTGAAATAGCTGTATAAAAGACTTTAGGGAGGGTATTAAATTAAGGCTCAGTGGCAGAAGGGGCCTGGCTCCCCTTGTCACTCCACCAAGCCCTGAATAGATCCTGGGAGGGACACTCCCTTTCCTGAGTGTCATTCAGCCTTCCTGTCTTTGCTATTTGCAGTCTGCACCTGCGTGGTCCACAAGCGGTGCCACGAGCTCATAATCACAAAGTGTGCTGGGTTAAAGAAGCAGGAGACCCCCGACCAGGTAAGTGTTGGTGACACGGAAATTCTGGGCTTCTTCACCGCCAGCCCCTCCCTTCACTGCCTCTTCTGTGGTTCCCAAGAAAACCTTCTCTGCCTGAGACCCTGTCATTTCATTGTGTTGATAAAAAAACAAAGGGAGCTGTCCACGGTCTTCTGGCATGAGACACCATCCGCAGGATGAGCACAGGTCCAAGTCAGTTCTATCCCCTTGGATGTTATGCCAAGTGCAGTGTGATCCCAGCACTGAAGCCCACAAGAAAAATATGAATTCTTTTATTGCATCATCTCATCAGAACTAAAATGGCTAACCAATGTGTCACTAGCTCCTCACAGGTAATAAACAGTAATAGAAACACAAGCAGGAACCTTGTCTAATGAGCTAGCTGATGGGGGAGTGGTGTGGAATGAGCAAGCCCAAGGAATACTTAGGAGGCGGCAACAACCACGGGAATAAAAAGAGTCAACATTCACTGGGCACTTACCGTGCCCTGATTGAAGCACTTTAACATATATTATTTAATCACATAAAAACCTTCATGAGGTAGATGTTATTATCTTCATTTTACAACAGAATAGAAGCACAGAGAGTGAAATTAACCTGCCCAAAATCACACAGCTAAGAGCCACTTTCAAACCCAGGCAGTTTGTTCTAAAGCCTGAGCCCTTGACCACTGCACTACGTTGTCTCTTAATCTTAGAAACTAGCATCAGATTGCCTAGTTTGGTAGAGGTAAGGAAGCAGGAAAATGCAACAATGAAGCTAGGTTCACCTAACTGAGCAATTACGAGAATGATAGTCCCACTGATAGATTAAAAAACCTTTTTGAGGAAGATGACAGTTGTGAATATGGATGTAGGTATTATCAGAACACTTGATTTCAAGAGCATGCTCTTAATTCTGGGGGAAATAAATTCTGTGTAGTCATAGGCTATTAGAATCGCGGGTTAGAGAGAAAGGCCTTGGGTAGGTTTATAATCAGCTGGTCTACAATTTGACTTCCAAGAGGACTGACTTATAGAGACTTCTACCTGCTTCTTAATAATTGAGTCAAATAGCATCCTGGCATCTAAGGCATTTCCCATCTTCTCTCTCCTTCTGCTTTCATACTGTCTCTGGAAAGCAACAAAGGACAAGGCTTAGACTGAGCCTTCTGTGTCTGTGAAGGTTAGTCTGAGCCCAGAGCACCAACATTGTTTGCAGGGGCTCTCTTGTGGTTAAGACTGCAAGCCAGCACCTGCACCTCCCGACTCCTGGTCTAGGATCATGACCCCAGTACATCACTGTTGCTTTCACGAGGAAATGAAAGAAAGAGATGGCTTGCTTGCTGTCTGCCTTATTTCCTTCCTATGGACATTCCATTGAACATTTACTGGGTATGTCCTGTATGACAGGCGTTATGCTGTGTCCCATGGAAACAAAGAGGAGTACACTAGTCCCTCCCTCAAGGATCTCAGTCTCATCACCTGCAGGTCTCTGCCTCTGCAGGACTCTAAAGCTCTTCTGCACTTTTTTGGAGGGAAAGGTCCGATAAGAGTCCATGCCATGCAGGTTAAAGGGTTGAGATTTGAAATGTTCAGAACCCAGCTTGATCTGTGACCCAGTTCTTCTGACTGTCTTTCCTGGCATATTGAGCAGTGAGAAGAAGTCTCCAGTGAAGTGTGTTCCCAAACTTGACATGTATCACCAAGGGACAAATTGCCAGGGACTGAGAGAGGGAGGCTCTGGGTTTCTTAGCTTGGTGGAGTTGACTCCCAGTCCTGGCTCTCCCCGCCACCACCTTGTGCTTCCAGAGGCCAGTCTCCCTTAGTGTCAGTGTATCTGCCCCTCAGGGTGATGGGCTTGCCCTCTGCCGGGTTACTGAACTGCTGGGGACCAAACTTTGAGTTCGTTCTTTTGTGCAACCACCTTTAATGTGATGCCTGTGCATACACACATCATACACACATACACACCAGAAACACATGTAGCCCTAAACACCATGCTTTCAATGCCCTCCTTCCTATTAAAAGGTGCTCTGGTGATGGACTTCTTGGGTGTCCTGCACCGTGAACACTCGGCCGGTCCCCCCCATCTCATGTCTGTGTGTCTTAGCATGCGGTGGACTCACACCCTGCCTGCACTTCCAGGTGTGGTAACCAAACAATGTTCCATCTCCACTGGTGTCACATTTTTTTTTCTTTAATCTCACAATTCTTTCTGCCATTGTCTTCCTCTCCATGTTCTCTCTGTGACTCTCACTCACCCCATTGTATCTGTGTCCTCCTCAGCAAGCGCACATGTGACATGTCCCCCTGCACACATGCCGTCTTTGTGTTGGTCTCTTGGTCAGTCTGATGCTGTGGCATGCTCTTGTGTGGACTCCTTCATCCTCCTCCCTCTGTTCTCTGATACCTTAGAGTTTTTAGTGGTCCCAACTGAGGGTCACGTAGCTCTTTCCACCCCCACACTGGATTTCTTGGTCACCTGGGACAACGTCCCCACTTTTTCGCCTTAGTCTGTCATTCATACCCCTATGAGGTGATTCCTGAGAGACCAAGACTCTATTCTCAGTATAGGTCCACCATGCCTTCAGGGTATGTGTAGGAATAGAGTGGGCACAGTGATCTCGTACTTCCTTAGCAGTGAGGGAGACCATGGCAGAGTCAACATGTCTACATTCACAAACAGGCACACCTAAGCTAGGCATCTAAGAATGGGTGAGTATAGTTGTTTTCAGTAGAGCTGACATTCTTGTTCCCAGGCAAGACCTCAAGTGGTAGACCATCCATTTCAGTAGGGATCAGTGAAATCTTGGTCCAATGGAAGGATCAGCCATTCCTTGGAACTGGGTGCTAGGGAACTTGTCTTCATGCTTGCGTTCAAGTCGAGCTCCCTTTCCAGCTCTCATTTCACCCCTCATTAGTCCCCCACGGGGGCCTGTTACTTATCAGTCAGCCAGGGAGCTGAGGCCCAGCTTTGCCGCATGCCAGCCACTTCCTAATCCCCGGGGTAGCAAGAGTGATCTCCCCAGCCCATGGATGTCCTGGGTGATGGTCTCCTGCCGATACTGAGAGGGGCTGGGGGTGCAGCTGCTCCACTAAAGACATAGATGGAGGGTAGCGCTGTGGAGGGGCAGAGATGACTCAGAAAGGTAGCCCAGCAGACCCTTGCTTCCATGAAATGTGTTATGCTTCTAGCCTCTTCCACCCCTGAGGTCTCATTGACCCTGCCATCCTGTGACACTGGGTGGGACAGGGTATGATAGTGCTGTGCCTTCATTTCCTCATCTGTGAAGTTGCGGTAACCATGGACTGCCCTGTAGGGTGGTGGTGAGGTTTAACTGAGATAATGGTGCCTGGTGTGTGGTCAGGGCTGAGACCTTAGCATTCTTAGTGCTCACCATTCTGTATTAGCCATCTTCCTCCTAATTGTTGTCCGTTCTGACTGATCCACAGTTTCCACAACATTGTGCAGAGTTTACACGCTGCTGCACAGAATCCCGTGTCCACCATTGAGCTTCCTAGAGACTTTTTGCCTAGGTGGGGCTTCCAGGCACACAGCAGTATTGAAGGTACAATTTTTTTTTTTTTTTTTTGAGACAGAGTCTTGCTCTGTCACCCAGGCTAGGGTGCAGTGGGATGATCTTGGCTCACTGCAACCTCTGCCTCCCGGATTCAAGCAATTCTCCTGCCTCAGCCTTCCGAGTAGCTGGGATTACAGGCTCGCACCACCATGCCCGGCTAATTTTTGTGTTTTTAGTAGAGACAGGGTTTCACCATGTTGGCCAGGCTGGTCTCGAACTCCTGACCTCAGGTGGTCCGCCTACCTCAGCCTCCCAAAATGCTGGGATTACAGATATGATCCACTGCACCCGGCCTGAGGTACACATTGAGGACACTGTACTATGATTGCTTAAAGTCCTGAAGTCCTGGAGAGGACCATGTTGGGGAGTAGGCCTGGCCTTGCACAGTCAAATGGAGTAGCCAACAGTGAGTTAAGAGCATCAGGAGCCAAGGCCAGGGCAGGATGGAAGCTCTTTTCACCTCAGGGCAGCTTTTAGAGCCAAGCTAGGGCCTGCCACCTACAATGACACAAGCTCTCTTGGAAAAAGTTCTTTGAGAGTTCCGTTGACAAGTCTTCTGGGGAACTGAGGAGCTCGGTGGTGAACCTGTATCTTGCCATCCCTGCAGGTGGGCTCCCAGCGGTTCAGCGTCAACATGCCCCACAAGTTCGGTATCCACAACTACAAGGTCCCTACCTTCTGCGATCACTGTGGGTCCCTGCTCTGGGGACTCTTGCGGCAGGGTTTGCAGTGTAAAGGTAAGTTGCTCCCTGCCCTGCCCTCAGCCCCTGCATGTCCCCTTCCTTGCTGCCTGCCCCCATCCCTGCTTTATAAAAAACCCTTGTCTGATTCCAGATTTGGCCAAGAACTGAGTGCAAGCCTTTGTTAATCCTGCATTAGTAACTCTGTGCATTTGGTAGGCAGACTCTGGGCAGAGACCATCCAGGACTGGGTGGAGGGAAACACCGAGGAAGGAGGAGGGCGGACTCCACGCCTTAAGATCACTCACAATCTGGGGAGACAAAATGAGTCTACAAAAGCATAATAATTTCAGGAAAGATACATTAGAGCAGAAGAAAAGTAATATTTTTGGAGTTAGGCCATGAAGGAAGTGAGAGGTGTGAATTGAGGCTTTTCTTGCATGGTCCATGGCTCAGTGCTTACTCTTTGAAAGAGCCATGCCAGAACCTTGTCACATAAGGTAGCTTGCTGACTCGTCACCAGCTTGGGACATAGGGGATATTATTCCCATGGCCCTGGTGAGGAAACGGAGGCTCAGAGACTAAGCAACTTGCTCACATCACACAATTTATTAGCAGAAGTAGGATTTGAACCTTGACTCTCGCGTCCTCAGTTCCTTCCTGTTTCCTGCCGTGCCACCCGCAAACAGCGCACTCAGATGATGATGCTAAGTGGCACGGGGAGTAGCATATAACACAGGGAGGTGGAAATGTATTCTGGTGGCCTGAGAAGTGTGTCCAGTTTTATAAGCCGGTCCAGCCTGCTTGCACGGTTGGGCAACCGTGAACTACTAGGCAGGGATATTGCATGGACAATATTTTAAAATAGTGTTTTACTGTTTGTGTGGAATGTATTATTCATAAATTCCCATTGTAGAAAAATTAGAAGAATATAAGTAAAGTATAAGAAAATAAACCTAGGACATAACAAATTGGTCATTGAAGGGATCCCAATGAGAAACTATGAGAATTGGAAATAAGATCAGGGCTGCAGTGGGAATGAAGAGGAGAATGACTTTAATATATCAAGGAGGAATGATTTATTGGATGTAGTGACCAGAAGCAGCTGGGAGGGCAGTGATAGCATTCACTGAGATGGGGATACAAGAGGGAGGATAAGGTTGGAGGTAGAAATGGAGCCTGAGCTGGGGACACCTTAACTCGAGGTGCCCGTGGCAAATTGACACGAAGCTGTCCACCTGTTGGACATTCTCACTGACAGTTGGGGAATAGGTCTAGACTGAGCATTTAGATGTGGGTTTTGTCAGGATCTAAGCAATTAAAGCTATAAAGTCAATGTCATTCTCCAGGGTAAGTACATTGAGTATGAAGAGAAAAAAGTCAAAGATAACACCATGAGGGTGGGTACCAACATCCAAGGGTGGGCCTGCCAAGGCAATGAGAGGGAAGCACTCACAGGTAGGAGGAAAAGTAGCAAAGAATGGCACCATGGAAGCCAAAAGAGTAGATAATTTTTAACAGTTTTATAAAGAAGTGGTGCCAAATGCTTTCCAACAGGTTATTTAAGATAAGACACGAAACATGGGGTTGGATTTAACAACAAGGAGGTCACTAGGAACCTCAGCAGGAGCTGTCTTAGTGGGACAGTGGGATGGAGCCCAAGTGCTGTAGGCTAAAGTGCTAATAGAGGGAGATGTTTTTTCAGAATGTTTTAGTCAGGAAAAAGACAGTGGCAAAGGAGAGATGGATGAGGCAGAAGGGAGAGGGGACTGACTGTTGATACAGCAGGGAAGGGGAGGCGAGCGGGGATGGGCCTTGGGGAGAATGATGGACACCGCCTTCCCCAGATGGAGGGCAAGCCTGGCTACCAGGCCTGGGTGCAGATGCATCTCGGGTGTCAGGGATAGAAATCCAGGAGGAGGTGAGTGGACAAAGTCATCATTTAAGTTTTGAATCTGTTGAGGGCATTGCAAGGAGATTCCCCTTATTTTCTGAAAGAGGAAGTCTTTTTTGAAGTAGGAGGGAGAAGTGGGGGTGTGAGAGGCACGAGGAGGGTGGTGAGGGCTGGAAATAGCAATTGTGGGGACAGAACACAATCCAGCCACTGGACATGAGGAGGTGCTGACTGTGGACATGCCCAGCATCCTGTGAGCTTCCCGGCACCCCTGGAGGTGGGGGCGGAGCCATTCCACTTCCCCGTTGGAGTATTCTTTCTAGTGTGTGACCCTGAACAAAATGGGGCCTGCCTGGAATCCTGTAGGTGAGGTGAAGAGAGCAGAAGAGGAAGAAGGGAGGGGAGCAGGAGTCTCGAGTGTCTAGCAGAGGAGTGATGTGCTTTTGGAAAGATTAGTGTGGTTGCCGGGAAGCAGGGCCTGCTTTGGAGGGAACCCTGATGAGCTGATGTCTGTTTTTTTTTTTGTAAATATATTAATTATTGATCTATCTAGTGAACCTAAATGAAGATACTATCATCATAAATATTGATATTTTAAGAAAGCAGCCCAGACACCCAGACATCACTGTGAGGGCTGTGGGTCCCCAATGACCCTGGAAGAAGGAGGGGCAGGGACAGTGTATTCAGCTCTTGTTGGGCAGGAAATGCTCTTGCCCCTGCTCAAGGAAAGAAGGGGCAGAATTAGGATGCCTGGAGCAAGGGTATCTGTCCATGGGAGCCCAGGAACCCGGAGGGAATCAGGCCGCATGAGGGCTAGAAGACGAAGGCTGAGACCTGAAGCTCCCCAGCCAAAGTGTGCAGACTTTTACTCTTCTGTGGCTCTGATGTTATTACTTGGCCTTTTTTTCCCCTTGCTGCTGTTCTGTGACCCTCTCCTTCTCCCTCTCCCTCTCTCTTTGTCTTCCTCTCTCTTTAATTAAGAAACCTTATTTTTTTAAGAGCATTTTTAGGTTCACAGCAAAATTGAGCAGAAAGTACAGAGAGTCCCTGTATTATGTGCCCCCCAACACACATGGCCTCCCCCCACCAGCATCCCCACCACAGCAGCACACGTGCACAGCCACGGAACCTGCACAGCACATCATTATCACTCACAGTCTGTGGTTTACCTTGGGATCCACTCATGGTGTTGAGCATTCTGTGGATTTGGACAAATGGACAGTGCTCGTTATCTACCATGATAGTATCATACAGATTAGCTGGATGGCCCTGGAAAATTGCCTGCTTCCACTTATCTCTTTAGATCCTTTCTCCTCCTTAAGGCTTCTTGGCCCTGTAGACTCCTTACCCTGTGGAGAGGGGTCATGGCCAGAAGAGGCCAGCATGGGCCCAAGGCAGGGGCTGCTTGTGCCCAGGTCTAAGCCTGGTTCTGCTACTATGATTACTAAGAAAAAGAAATCAAGACTTAGTGACCTGCAAGCATCCCCGAGCAAGTCCCTATGAAGCTGGCTCTTGCACCCATGCAGCCTGGCCCTGTTCCTGGCTTTGGCAGGTGCCCTATGCCACCCTTTGCTGCTTAGGAAGACTCAGCCAGGCTTTCTGTCTTGCTGGACCATGCTAGCAGGGCCTGCTAGGCTGGAGCTCTGGTCCCCTGGTCCTGGCTGGAGATCATCTATTTGGCCTGCTGCCCTATGGCTTCAGCTTTTTTGCCATTCCCGTTCCCATTCCTGGAAATAGATTACAGTATTTTCAGCAAAACAGGTTTCTTCAGAGCTTGGGTCTACGAGGAGGGATCCATGAGACTGTCCTGGTCACTCTTTCTCCAGTCTAAAACTGTCTGAGCCACACAGGTTCAAGCATTGTGTGTGTACCCTTCTGGGGACTGTCCCTTTGTCAGCCAGGTAGAGGGAGCATAATTATGTCTGCTTTTATGACAAGGAAATGGAAATCTGGAAAGAGTGGGTGCATGCAGGGCATACAACCAGGAACTGTGGGGCAACCAGCCCTTGTCCTTTGCAGCCCACAGCCACAGAGGGGCCAGACCCTTGCAGGATGCTCACACGATCATTGGGTAACTGAGATCCTTAACCGAGGGCAGAAAAATGCTGGCACAAAGTGAGCAGGCAAAATAGTTCATTTCTTTCTTTCATTTTGTGACTCAAGTGCCTGCTGCGTCTGAGTCTCTCCAGACTCATTCGTGGGTCTGTCCGAGCCCCTCAACCACTATTAAACAGTCCAGAAATCAGCTTCCCAGGTTCCAGGAGCAGCATCGCTAGTCTCGGGCATTTGTAGCCTTTTCATTCTGCACTTTGTTGGAACAGTGCTGCCTTCTCCAATCTCAGGTTCACTGGCACCATGGGCCTCTCTGGGGCCCTTTTCCACCTGTTTTATTTTCCCATTGACACATGGAGTCAGTGGCCCCTGGAGGCAGAGACACCCAATACCCTTTGATTGCAGTTTCCTTCTCTAGAGAAGATCCAGTTCTCACCTGCCCCCGTCCCATCCCCCACACTCATGTCTCAGCACAGCTGCTCTGAAGTCATCGGGCACCAAGGGGCAACTTCACAGGAAAGCCAGACCTCCTGACGGAGCCTGCAGTTGGGCCTGCGGGGGCCTGTGGAAGCGGAAGCCCTGCTTTTTCTCATCCCCATCTGGGGTGAATGCTCTGCACCTGCTGTCCTCCAGGACAGGGGACGAGGCACAGGGAGGAAGGTGTACTCCACGAAGACCTGGCCTGGAGATTCCTAAAGAATCTTCTTCCTCGCTCCTGCCTCTCTCTGACACACATCTTAATAACTGCTCTGATCTGCGGCTGTTTTCAGGGGCCAAGGGGACAGGGTGTCCCCTCCTCTCCAGTAAGTAGTAAACAGGAGTGGTGGCCTGAAGAGATCACAGGCTAGGATTTGGAGGAGCTGTCCTGGTTTGGGTACTGCCTAGCTGGGAGGTTGCAAGCAGGTCACCCTGGCTTAGTGCCCTTGGCTTTTAACCCCAACTGCCCTCTTCCCTTCTGAGGACAGTAATAAAAAATAAAAATGGAGTGATCTTAGCCACATACCTTGGGGTGGCTGTGCAGAGCCATAAAGATGAAAGAAAGGCCTGCCTGTCTCCCTCCTTCCTTCCTTTCCTTGTTTAAAAAAAAAAAAAAGTATTTTGGATACTTAAAAACACTAAAAACATGCAGAATAATTTTTAATTTTCAACATTTCTGAAAATGTCAGTCCTTTACTATTTTTAACAGCTAGGTCCCTTGTCGTAACTTCAACTTTTATTTTTAGAATTATAAAGAGCACAATACATAAATACATTCTCACTGTTCTTACTGTCAAAGATCCAAGCAAGACTGAAGTTAGATATATATTAAAAATATTAAAGGCTTTCTTTATATTCTCTTTCCACTTTCATCCTCAGACTTCTAAAAATGTGCTATGGGTCCTCTTACTTCTAAAAATGTCCTCTTTTTGTGTGCCTTTGCTGCACGGATACTCACACACACTGCGTTAGAGTCTATTGCTACATAACAAATGACCCCAGGACATAGTGGTGTAAAACAACCAATACTTATTTTCTCAGAGTTTCCGCTGGTCAGAAATCTGGATGGAGCTTAGCTGGGTGCATCTGACTCTCATGAGGTTTCAGTCAAGCTGAGAGCTGGGGCTGTTGTCTCATCTGAAAACTCAACTGGAAGAGGATCCACTTCCAAGCTCGCCCACATGGCCACTGACCAGAAACATCAGTTCTCTGCCGTATGGGCCTCTCCACACAGTGACTGGCTTCCTTCAATGCAAACAAGAAAGTGAGAAAAGATGCCCCAGACACGAGGCAATGGGACATCTTATCGCTTTTGATGTTTTCTGTTCATTAGAAGAGAATCACTACGTCCAGTCCTCTCCAAGGGAGGGAGTTACATAAAAGCATGAACACTATGAGGCAGGGGCAATCAGGAGGCAGCTTAGGGGCTGCCTGGCACACCTGCACCTCCCCATCCACATCCCCTTCGCCTCCTCACAAATGCAATCGTCTTGTCTATGGGGTCTACCCTGACCACTGGGTAGCTCTCAAGCTCTTGTCTCTCGTCTCTTACTTCCTCTGCTTTTTTTTCTAACATAGCACTTATCATCTTCTAATATTCTAAATTACTTTCTTTTTTTTTTTTTTGAGATGGAGTCTCGCTCTGTTGCCCAGGCTGGAGTGCAGTGACATGATCTCGGCTCTCAGCTCACTGCAACTTTCACCTCCCAGGTTCAAGCAATTCTCCTGCCTCAGCCTCTGGAGTAGCTGGGACTATAGGTGCATGCCACCACACTAGGCTAATTTTTGTATTTTTAATAGAGACAGGGTTTCACCATGTTGGCCAGGCTGGTCTCAAACTCCTGACCTCAAGTGATCCGTCCTCCTCAGCCTCCCAAAGTGCTGGGATTACAGGTGTGAGCCACTGCACCCAGTCTAAATTACTTGTATAATGTTAGTTTCTTTCTTTCTTCCTTTCTTTCTTTCTTCTTTTTTTTTTTTGACAGAGTCTCACTTTGTCACCCAGGCTGGAGTGCAGCGGTGCAATCTCAGCTCACTGCAACCTCTGCCTCCTGGGTTCAAGTGATCTTCCTGCCTCAGCCTCCCAAGTAGCTGGGATTACAGGCACCTGCCACCACGCCCGGCAAATTTTTACATTTTTAGTAGAGATGGGGTTTCATCATGTTGGCCAGGGTGGTCTTTAGCTCCCAACCTCAAGTGATCCACCTACCTCAGCCTCCCAACGTGCTGGGATTACAGGCATGAGCCACCACGCCAGACCTTATAATGTTAATTTCTGTCTCTCCCAATCCAAATACAAGGTCCATGAGGACAGAGATTTTTTTTTGTCTGTTTTATTCTCTGTTTACCCAGCATCTAGAACAGTGCCTGCACACTGACATCCAATAAATATTTGTTAATTCAATCCTCCGTGCATAGTTATATAATTTGCTTTTCTACAGTATGTCTTGGAGTATTTCCAAGGCAGTGTACAGACATCTACTTTACTTACTAGAAAGAGTCCACATTGTGGATGTTCCGTAGATTGTTTAAAATGTTGCCCTCTTGATGGATGTTTACTGGTTTGTGTGTTGTCGCCATTTTAATTTATGCTGTCACAGACATCCTCATACATACCTTTTCATGCATATGTGTGAATAATTATGAAAGAAAGGCCCACAGAAATCAAACAATCACTTTAAACCCTTGTCTTTTTGTGGTTGAATTATACAAGGAGGGAATTACATAAGGGCACTTTTACTTGTTTGCTTTAAAGTCAAGCCATGTTAATGGACTGCTTTACCTTCCTTTTCATTGACGTTTAATTTGTGTGGCTTGCATGGTGAGCTTGGGATTCTAGTTCCCTGTTATCTATTGGGTCTGGTCTGAGAGGTGTCATTTATGCCACTGTAGTACTACTACTTTCCGTAGAGTTAGAATAACTGAAAAGCATGTTGTCCTGATTTGTGCAAGGCGTCGTGGTGAACCTGGAGATAAAACATTACTTTAGTTCTCTAGAAACTTGCACTGTGCTTGGTCATTGAACATAATAAGTGAAATCATAGGCGATAATTCAGGCATTGAGTCAGAAATAAGTGTGAGCAATTTACAGGCAAGAGAGGGCCTGGAAAGGGGTGTAGGGAGAAAGAATGCCACAGGAGTGCTTTGGTTGACTCAGAATCCTTTGCAGTAACATCCACAATGCCTGGGGACCATGAGAATGTCCCCTGTACACGTGGCAGATTGGCTGAAAATTCAGTCTGAGCTTTGATCTGAGGAATGCTGGGTAGCAGACAAGCGGCCGATCGTGGTCCCCGGAAAGCTCTGAGTCACGGTTCTGGTGTGATCAGGACTCCAAAATCTCTTTCTGGTGATGACATTTGGCCCAGCATGACCCCAGGGGGGCATCCCTCTTACCTCCTTTCTCCTCATTCTGCGTGAACGACTTTGCGGTCGTTCACTCTCACACCCCTGCCAACTTCCATTGCACAAGCACACAATTTCCCATTTGCAAATATTTGCTCTCTGTCTCTGAGCTTGGCATGACTGGAACCTGTTATGAAATCAAACCATTGCCCTGGCTCACCCTCAAGGGCCAAATTACCCCAACATAAAGAAATTCCTGCAGCATACATGGGCCTGGGCCCCTCCTTAGGAGTGGCTCTGTCACCATTCCCAGAAGGTTGTCTGCTTGCTTTGGAGGAATTCCCAGGAGCCTGGCCTGCCTTTTGCTTCAATCTCAGCTATAAAAAGGGTGGAAACATGGAAACCAAGTCTCTCCAAATGACGGTAGGATGTGTGATAGAAGGTGAAAGTCAGAGTGCCTGAACCCCAGTGTGTCCCCAGACAACACTGCTGCTGCTGCACCACCCAGCACATAGTAGGTCCTCAACAAATGTGTGGTGAATAGCTGGGTAGTAGTAGAAGAGCGCTTCTCTTTTTGTAAGAGCCCCTGGCAAAGCAGATCTATTTCTTCCCGGTACAACTTTATCCAAATGAAACCAGTGAAAGTGAGCACTGAGAGGCATTCTGGAAAGAGAAGCCTTAAAGGGCAGCCTAGGGCTGGGAGTGGATTGGCAGCAGGGGCTCACGGCCTTTGGCCTTGGTGCTCCCCAGTAGTGTTGTGAGGGGTGGGGGTGGGTGGTTCATTTGGCCACATTAATGCAAATGCATCTCAGGTTTCTTTTGGTTCCAACAGGGACGCCCACTGTCCTTTGCTGGTCTGTGGCCTCCCAGTGACACCTGCAGCCTCCAGGAGCCCATCTTGCTCCCGTTATGGCTGCCCAGAGTAACTGGAGCTCCCCTTCCTCACCACTTTGCCCTGGCATTTCCAGACTTTTCAAAGCACTTTCAAAGTCACTATCTCACATCGTGCATGCTAACTGATGTGTGATTGAGATTTTTTTTACATATTAAGATGAGTACATAACTCAGGGGAAATAGCAGACTTTTTAAAAATAAAAGGCAAAGTCCTCAAAACCAAAACCAAAAAAAGATACCCCCTTTGCCGACCTGCCAGCCCAAGTTGTTTTGTCAGGACAGACAGGTCTGGCATTTCAACACCAGAGGGAGCTAGTGGTCAAGTTATGTAGACAAGTTAGTTGCCCTTCTCAAGAAATTCTCAACTTGGCTCTTTTATTCTCTTTTCCGTCACTTCACAGAGAGGCAGAAGACAGCTTTCATGGGTTTGGTGGGTGGAGCAGGTGTGGTGAATGAGCATCAAAGGGCAGCTGATGCAATGAGGCAGGGTAGTGGGGACAGAATTCTGGGCACAGTGCTGTTGCCTGGTCTCTGATCAGCCCGCGGATCAGAGTTATTAGTGATAACTCCATTAGTCAAGTCGGTGCCATGGCCTGGCTGCGCTGGAGTTTTCTTGTTTGTTTTTGTCCTGAGAAAGCCACCCTGCCACCACCTCACCCCACCCCCACCTTTAGCCCAATGGGCATCTTGGGTTCAGTAGCTCAGTTGAACTGTCCAGGCTGGTCTGGGGGGGCTCTCTCCAGACAGGTGACCAGGTTATGTAGAGCATTACGGAGATCTGGCTGCTTATCCTGCCTGGCTTCACTCCAGGAACAGTTTTGGTTTTTAAACATTTTTAGTAGACTTTACTTTTTAGAGTAGTTTTAGGTTCACAACAAAATAGGTCAAAGGTATAAAGATTTTCCACAAACCTTCTGCCTCCACACATGCACGGCCTCCCTCACCATCAGCATTCTGCAACGGAGTGGTATATTTGTTAACGGTCAGTGAACCTTCATTGACACATCATCATCAAAGTCCATAGTTTACATTAGGGCTCACTCTTGGTGGTGTACATTTCCATGATTTTGGACAAATGTATAATGACATGAATCTACCATTATAGTATCTTACAGAATAGTTTTACTGCACTAAAAATCCTCTGTGTTCTGCTTCTTCATCCCTCCCTCTCTCCTAACCCCTGGTAACCACTAAACTTTTTACCATTTTCATAGTTTTACCTTTTCCAGAATGTCCTATAGTTGGAATGATACAGGGGATAGCCTTTTGAGATTGGCACCTTTCACTTAGCAATATGCATTTAATGTTCTGCTATGTCTTTTCACAGTTGCTAACTCACTTCTTTTTAAGGCTGGATAATATTTCAGTGTCTGGATATACCATAGTTTATCCGTTCACCTACTAAAGGACATTTTGCTTGCTTTCAAGTTTTGGCAATTATGAATACAACTGCTATAAACATCCATGTGCGGGTTTTTATATGAACATAACTCTTCACCTCATTTGGGTAAATATCAGTAGTGTAATTGCTGGATCTTATGGTAATGGTATATTTAGTTTTGTAAGAAACTGCCAAACTGTCTCTCAAAGTGGCTGGACCACTATGCATTCCTACCAGCAATGAATAAAAAGTTCCTGTTGCTTCATATCCTGAATGGCATTGGGTGTTATCAGTTACCTCCTTGTATTTTGGCCATTTTAATAGGTGTGTAGTGGTATCTCATTGTTTTAATTTGTAATTTCCTAATGACACATGAAGTGGAGCATCTTCTCCTATGCTTATTTACCATCTGAATATCTTCTTTGGCGAGGTGTATGCTCAAGTCTTTTGCCCATTGGGTTATTCATTTTGTTATTGTTAAGTTTAAGAGTTTGTTGCCTATATTGGATAATATAGGCATATATTATCATATATGTCTTTTGTAAATACTTTCTCCCAGTCTGTTACTTGTCTTTTTATTCTATTGGCAGTGTGTGGTTTGGTTTTGTTTGTTTTTTGTTTGTTTGTTTGTTTGTTTTAGTTTGGGGAGGTGGGGGACAGAGCAAAAGTTTTTTATTTTAATGAAGTTCAGCTTATCAGCTCTTTTTTTCATGGATCATGTCCATGCATCATGGTGTTGCATCAAGAAAGTTATCTGTGTAGCCAAGGTTACCTATATTTTCTTCTATATTATCTTCAAGGAGTTTCATAGTTTTGCCTTTTACATTTAGGTCTACAGTCCATTTTGGATTCATTTTTGTGAAGATCGTAAGGTTTGTGTCTAGATTCACTGTTTTGCATGTCTAGTTTTTCTAGCACCATTTGTTGAAAACTGTCTTTGCTCCATTTTATTGCCTTTGCTTCTTTGTCAAAGATCAGTTGGCTGTATTTGTGCGGGTCTGCTCTGGGCTGTCTGTTCTGTTCCATTGATCTATTTGTCTGTTCCATTGATGTTTTGCCAATTCCACATTGTCTTGATTACTTCAGCTTTATAGTAAGTCTTGAAATTGGGTAGTGTCAGTCTTCTGACTTCGTTCTTTTTCTTCAATATTGTGTTAGCCTTTTGCTTGGGTCTTTTGCCTGGGTCTTTTGCCTCTCCATATAAACTTTAGAATGAGTTTGTCGATATCCATAAATAACTTGCTGGGATTTTGATTAAGGTTGCGTTGAATATATAGATCGAGTTTGGAAAGACATCTTGACAAATACTGAGTCTTTCTATCCATGAATACGGTATATCTCTATATGTATTTAGTTCTTGATTTTTTTCACAACGGTTTTGTAGTTCTACTTATATAGATCTTGTACATATTTTGTGAGATTTATATGTAAATATTTCATTTGGGGGAATGATAACATAGATGGTATTGTTTTTATTTTTAAATTCCATTTGTTCATTGCTGGTGTATAGGAAAACAACTGACTTTTGTATATTAACTTTGTATTCTTCAATCTGGCTATAATCATTATTGGTTCCAGGAGTTTTTTGTTGATTCTTTTGGATTTTCTACATGGACAATCATATCATCTACAAACAAAGATAGTTTTATAGTTTTATTTCTTCCTTTCCAATCAGTATACTTTTTATTTCTTTTTCTTGTCTTACTGCATTAGTTAGAACTTCCAGTATAGTGTTGAAAAGGAGTGGTGAGAGGGAGCATCCTTTTTGTGTTCCTGATCTTAGTATGAAATTGGCTGTAGGGTTTTTGTTGATGTTCTTTATTAAGTTGAGGAAATTCTCTTCAGTTCCTTGTTTACTGAGATATTTTATCATAAATAGGTTTGGATTTTGTCAAATGCTTTGTCTACATCTATTGTTAGAATTATTTGATTTTTTTTCTCTCTTTAGTCTATTGATAACAATTGATTACATTAGTTGATTTTTCAAATGTTGAACCAGCCTTGCTTGCCTGGGATAAATCCTACTTGGTCATGGTGTGTAATTCTCTTTATAAATTGTTGGATTCAATTTGCTGATTGTTGTTGAAGATTTTTTGCATTCATATTCATAAAAGTTATTGATCTGTAGATTTTATAATATCTTTGCTTTGATATTATGGTAATGGTGGCCTCCTAAAATGAGTTAGGATATATTCTGTCTGTTTCTTTCTTCTAGAAGATATTATAGAGAATTGATATAATTTCTTCCTTAAGTGTTTGGCAGAATTCACCATTTGGGCCTAGTGCTTTCTGTTTTGGAAGGTTATTAATGATTGATTCTATTGCTTTACAAGATAAGCCTGTTTGTACTGTGTATGTCTTCTTATGTAAGTTGTGGCAGATTGTGTATTTTAAGGAATTAGTCTCATTTTGTGTGGGTTATCAAATGATAGGCATAATATTCTTTATAATACTCTTTTATTCTTTTAATGCCCATAGGATCCATAATGATGTCCTCTCATTTCTGATATTAATAATTTGTGTCTTCTCTTTCTCTCTCTCTCTCTCACTAGCCTTACTAGAGGCTTATTGAGTCTATTGCTCTTTACAAAGAACCAGCTTTTTGTTGTTGGTTTTTCTCTACTGATTTTCTGTTTTTAATTCAAATGATTTTTGCTCTAATTCTTATTATTTCTTTTCTCCTGCTTACTTTGGATTTAAGTAAGCTACTTTGGTCTCCTTTTTCTAGTTTCCTAAGATAGAGGCTTAGATTATTGATTTTTAGAATGTTTTTCCTAATATATGCATTCAATGCTATAAACTTCCTTTGAAGCACTGCTTTTGCTATATCCCACTAATTTTGATGTTGTATTTTATTTTATTTCATTTTTTATTTTTATTTTATTTATTTATTTTTTTGAGACAGAGTCTCACTCTGTCACCCAGGCTGGAGTGCAGTGGTATGATCTCGGCTCACTACAACCTCTGCCTCCCGAGTTCAAGCGATTCTCCTGCCTCAGCCTCCCAAATAGCTGGGATTGCAGGCATACGCCACCACACCTGGCTAATTTTTGTATTTTTAGTAGAGATGGGGTTTTGCCATGTTGGCCAGGCTGGTCTCAAACTCCTGACCTCAAGTGATCCACCTGCCTTGGCCTCCCAAAGTGCTGGGATTACAGGCATGAGCTTCCATACCCGGCCGGTAAGTTGTATTTTAATTAATTCAAAATATTTTAAAACTTATCTTGAGATTTCTTTTCTCACTCATATGCTATTTAGCAATGTGTTTAATCTCCAAGTATTTTGGAATTTTTGAGCTATCTTTCTCTTATTGATTTCCAGGTTAATTCCATTGTGGTCTAAAGCCAACATTGTATGATTTCCATTCTTTTAAATTTGTTAAGGTGTATTTTATGGCCCAGAATGTGGTCTTTCTTGGTGATTGCTTCATATCTTGAGAAGAATGTGTATTCTTCTGTCACCGAATGAAGTTGTTGATAGATGTCAGTTATATTCAGTTGATTAATGTTGCTGTTGATTCAGTTGATTAATGTTGCTGTTGATTAATGTTGCTGTTGATTTGATTAATGTTTCTGCCTGCTAGATCTGTTTATTTTTGAATAAAGGGGTGCTGAAGTCTCCAATTATAATAGCAGCATCATCTGTTTCTCCTTGTAGTACCATCAGTTTTTGCCTCACTTACTTTGATGCTCTGGTTTTAGGTACATACACGTTAAAAATTACGTCTTTTTTGAGAATTGACCTTTTTATCCCTAATAACTTTCCTTGCTCTGAAGTCTGCTGGGTCTGAAATTAATTTAGCTTTTCTGCTTTTTTGGGTTTAGTGTTAGCATGGTATATCTTACTCTATGTCTTTACTTTTAATCTGTATGTGTCTTTAAGGTGGGTTTCTTGTGAACAACATATAGTTAGTTGGGTCTTGTTTTTTTTGATCCACTCTAACAATCTGTCTTTTAATTGGTATATTTAGACTATTGACATTTGAAGTCAATGATTATTGATTATTGACATACTTGGGTTAATATCTACTATAGTTAGTACTGTTTTCTATTTGTTGCCCTTATTCTTTGTTTCTATGTTTGTCTTCCACTCATTTTCTGCCTTTTGTGGTTTTAATTGAGCATTTAATATGTTCGTATTGTTTCTCTCCTTTCTTAGCGTATCATTTATACTTTCTTTTTTACTTATTTTAGTGCTTGCTGTGGAGTTTGCAGTATGCATTTACAACAAATCCAAATCTACTTTCAAATAATATTGTGCTGCTTCATGACAGTACAAGTACCTTATAATAACAAAATTATCCTAATTCCTCCCTGCCATCCTTGTCTCATTACTATCATTTATTTCACTTACACATAAGCATACCTAGCATATATGAAATACTATAATTACACATAATCAGCACATTACTAATATTATGATTTTGGGCAAACCATTAGCTGTTAAATTAATTAAGAATAAAAATAAAAGTTTTTATTTTACCTCCACTTATTTCTTCACCTTTCTTTACCTGCTCTCTTTTTCATGTAGATCCAAGTTTCTGAGCTGTATCATTTGTCTTCTCTCTGAAGAACTACTTTTAACATTTCTTACAAGGCAGATCACTGCCCATAAATTCCTTCCATTTTTGTTTGTCTGAGGAAGTTTTAATTTCTCCTTCACTTTTGAAGGATAATATTGCAGGGTAGAGAATTCTAGGGTGGTGGGGTTTTTATCTCAACATTTTGAATATTTAACTTCTTGATGGCATGGTTTCTGAGGAGAGGTTGGATGTAATTCTTATTTTTCCTCCTTTATAGGTAAAACTTTTTTTTTTCCTTTGACTTCTTTCAGCGTTTTTTAAATAGTTGATTTTCTGTAGTTTAGAAATTATATGCCTTGGTATAGTTTTTTGTTGGTTTGTTTGTTTGTTTCTTTTTGGCATTTATCCTGTGTGGTGTTCTTCAAGCTTCCTGGAGCTGTGGTTTGGTTTGGTGTCTGACATTAATTTTGGGAAATTCTCTGTCCTCATTGTATCAAATATTAATATTTTTTTCTGTTCCTTTCTCTTTCTTCTCGTAGTGGTAGTCTCTTTTTGCATATGTTACACTTTTTGTAGTTATCACCCAATCCTTGGATATTTTTTCCAGTCTTTGTTCTCTTTATTTTTTCATTTTTGAAGCTGCTATGGATATATCCTGAAGCTCAGAGATTGTTTCTTCAGCCATGTCTAGACTACTAATAAGCCCATCAGAAGCTTTCTTCATTTCTGTTAGTGTTTTTGATCTCTAGCAGTTCTTCTGATTCTTTCTTAGCATTTCCATCTCTCTGCTTATACTGCCCATTTGTTCTTACATGCTGTGTACATTATCCATTAGAACCCTTAGCATATTAATCATAGTTGTTTTAAATTCCCAGTCAGATAATTCCAGCATCCCTGCTATATCTGAGTCTAGTTCTGATGTTTGCCTTGTCACTTCAAACTGGTTTTTTGGGGTTTTTTTGTTTTTTTTTTTCTTTGCCTTTTAGGATGCCTTACAGTTTTTTCTTGCCAGACATTATATACCGGGTAAAAGGAACTGTCAGTAAACAGGCTGTTAGTAATGTGAGTAACGTGTGGAGGGAGGGAAAGAATTACATAGAGCTGTGATTAGGGTGTTTTCATGAATTTGTGCCTTTGAGCTGTGAACCTCACAAGTGCTGTTCAGTCCTCCCCTGGCCTTAGATAGGACAGGATGGCTAGAGTGGGCTGGAGTTGGGGATTTCCTTGTCCCCAGATCAGTCGGGGTCTGATAAAACCTCAATCTCTGATAAAAAAAAAAAACAACCCTCAACCTCTGATAAAATAGTTTCTCCTAAGAGAAGCCCTCGTTAAGAAGAGCAGAGTGCTCTGGGCTATTTTAAAAAATGGTTCTCTCCCCACGTTCCCCACCCCCAACCCCCACACTGAAATCCTGAGATTTTCTCCATATTTACTATGAGAATCTAGTTGAGCTCCTGAAGAGCACGACTCTCAACTGAATGTACAAAAGTCTATCAACTCAACGACTGGGTCCCCCTTAGAGTTTTTGACTCTCAGGCTTGTCTGCTCTGAGCCCATTTGTTGGTTACAGTTACAGTTTTTCTACCCCAGCATTGTTCCTACAGAGGTTTCTGCTTCAGTAAGTTGCGATTCTCTGTATTCGCCTGGTTGGCTGTCTAATTCTGGGAGCAGCAGTTTCAGTTTGCCCTAGGACTTCACTTCACTTGGTGGATCTCGGAAGAGCTGTTGATTTTGTAGTTTGTTCAGCGTTTTGCTTGTTAGAATGGAGTGCTGCTGACTTCTAAGCCCCTTAGGTGCCAGACTTCAATGAGCAGGTTGTTTTCACCTGTGATGTCTTACACCAAGGACAACTAAGTGAAGAGGGAAAAGCAAAGGAATTCATTGAATTCAGACTGGAGATCTGAAAGATTCCCAGTCCCTGGAGGGAAATATAAATGTGACATTTACTTACTTATCTATATTTAGGGTATACGTAGAAAGGATGGCTGGAATGAAGTACTAGAAACAGTGGTTATCTCTGCAAGGTGGTTTAATGAATGATTTTGGTTTTGTATGATGGAAGACATATATATATATATATATATTTCTGTATTTTCCAAATTATATCTTAAATGAACATGTAATACTTCATGAACATATAATACAATCTCAAAGAAAAGAAGCAACATCTTAGGCCATGAACACTTATCTGTCTTTTCTCCATGTCTCCTTACAGTCTGCAAAATGAATGTTCACCGTCGATGTGAGACCAACGTGGCTCCCAACTGTGGAGTGGATGCCAGAGGAATCGCCAAAGTACTGGCCGACCTGGGCGTTACCCCAGACAAAATCACCAACAGCGGCCAGAGAAGGAAAAAGGTAACTGGCTGTTTGGTGGTGTTGCTGGAGCCCTTTTCAGGCTAGCATTTCTGTGCTGACTTCCAGAGGGTGCTCTGGAGTGAGGTAATAAGATTCCTGGGTTTGAGGTATTTTACTCAGAACTGCAGTACTTAAAGAAAAAAACAAAGATAGAAGCCAGGCAGGTAACATTAATGTCTTCTTGAGCTCCAAAAGTGGACTGAAAACACAGCAAGCCTCAAGGGTTACGTTTGCCAAAGAAACATAAACTTTGAGATGAGGAATTTGAAATTCCTTCTAGAAAAAGCTTAACAACTCCATACAAGGAAATGGACTTATCTGCTTCCAGAACTGGCATGAAAGCAATGTCAGTGTCTGAACTTCACCCTTGGTATCATTATAATGGAGATAAATGGGTGAAGAACTGGAACCACATTCTTTTCTAGGGAGGAAGCCAAGATGATTTGTGATCATACCAGCACTGAGCTGCCTGGGGAATATTGTTAATGTCTCACGACATGAAACATCTGGGCCATTCTTTGGAGACCAAAACTGTCTCTATCTCTGTGACATTCTAAATATCAGTAAGAAGAGATCCATTTGCCAAAATGTTATTTTGGTAAGTCAGGGCCCACAGATGTAAACAGGGGGAAAGGCATCCGTAGCATTTCATTTGTAGGCTCTTCTTTAGCCCTGGCTCCTAGCCTAGAAAATTTAAGAGGTCTTTGAAAAGTAAGTTATGAGAAAATTAGAACCATGTTAACAGGGCAGAAAATCCGGGTGAAGGGTGCAGTGGGGCGTGGCCCTCATTGCCCAGTGGCGAACATCCTCAAGCCCCCTGCTAGAAAAGCAAGTCTGACTCTAGGTACCTCTGCAATCTTCCGCCTAAATAGTCTCCCTGAATTTTGCCCTGAAATGTCTTCTAAAGGCATTTCCTACATTTCCTGGTCATCTTGTCATGTTAGAAGCTACCCGTGGCTCTTCCATGTTGCTTCTCTTGTATAGGAAAGGTTGAAGGGTTCTTATTTTCTTAAACTTCTCCTACCCTGTTTTCTCAATAAGCAAAGCTGTTGTGCAAGGGTTGCAGAAAAAATTCTCTTCTCTCTGGTTGAGATAACTGAGACTTTGTGCTTTTGGTGGCTCTTCTCAGCTTTGTAAATTCCACTGGTGGAAACAAGACTTCACTTGTTGACCCAAGGCCCTGGAATTGCAAGCAGAGTATCAGTACCCAAGAATGCTAGGGCCCTGCTGAAGAGGCAAGCTGAGCAAACACTCTGTCATGACAACGTTATGCAAACACATTTAAAAGCTCTAGAGAGAACCCTTTTCAGGAGACATGGTTTTTATTCTTGTCTAGAAGTAAATTAAGACAGAATCTTTGTCATGAAACATTTGAAAGAAAACTCAGTACCTGCTGTCTTTGCGCTATATTTACATGGGTTGTCATGCCAGCTGTGAGACATTGTCTGCCTTGTCTTGGATTTGGAAGAACCAACAGGTAAGAAGCCAACATGGAGAAATTCAAGAAGGGGCAGGGTGGAAGGCTGAGGGACTGTAGTCCTGATATTTTTATTGCTGGGATGCTTCTGATGCCAAAATTGGGAAAAACCAAGTTGTAACTCAAGTCACTATGAGAGGTTGGGAGAGGAGTGCCCTTGGTCTGAAGCTCAAAGGCTTCTTTGCAGGAATATCAGACTTTCTGGTGTTTTGGTAGCCCTCGTGTTGCCCCTTGCAACTAGTCCATCATCCAGAAAGGATGTGTGTGCACAGCAGGTAGACCAAGAGTTAGTACTAAAAGGGAGCAGAAGTGTTTGTGATCTTTGAGTCTAAACCACTGATGTTAATGGAGACTCAAAGTGGATATGCCAGCATCTATGCGAAGGAACAAACCTCACTGGAGGTGTTCTATTAAAATTTACCAACAAATATCAATATATCTGAAAATATTTATTGAGCATCTATTATGTTTCTTACTTTGTGTAAGTCACTAGGGGCAATAAAAGTGCCGGACAGAGTCTTACCTTTAAGTATCCTATAGTCTACTTAAGTGGAGAACACCTCACAATATACACATAAAGATACTAACTATAAAAAGCTGAATAAGATATAAATAAGTGCCAAACAGGTGTTAGAGACAAGTGTCACATTGCTTTGCATGAGATAACTTGCATTGCTTGGATAGGTGGAGGGGGACGTTATGGAAGACATGGGGTGAGCTTTGCTTAGAAAGGTCAATTGTATTTGGATAGAATTAAAAGTGAACAAACTGAAGTCTCTTGTTTTCTTCCCTTAAATTGGCAAATGAAACCTTGAGTCTGTGCTTTCAGAATATCAATTCAGCAAGTAACACTGGGTATTAGGAACACTCTCTTTTTTTTTTATTTTAGCAGTTTTTAATGAAAGTTATATGTAAGATTTATTCCTGAATCCTCTCAATTGTTTTTTCCTTGCATTTGCCCTTCTCTTTTCCTACTTGGTGAGATGTGGCTTTCCGTTCAAAGATCTCTTTGCAGTCTTTGTCCAGCTTTAGCCTGGTGATAACCACCTTGCTGGGGTAGATACCCACGTGGATAGTTGAACATTAGCCTTTTCCTGCTGTACCCGTCCAATGTAGATGATGTATTTCTTCCTGTAAACCTGGACTACTTTTCCAGCTTGCTAACCTTTATGGTGTCCTCGCACAACCCGAACTACTTCATCCTTTTGGATGGGGTTGGATCAAACATTGTACCTCTGTCTCAGCTCTTTGGAATGAGGGGAAGACATCATCCTTCTGTGAATGTAGGGAAGGTGCACTGAAATTCCTTTTGTGGTTCTTGCTCTGGTCAGACGTCACAGAGGGATCGAACTTCATTTTGGCTACTTTGGCGATGGCTGCAAGAGGACAGAGATCTACTGAATTCCTGCTGCTCTGGGAACTCTCATGGCTCTTATACGGCATCTTGATGCTTTTGACATCAGAAAACTCTCAACCCTCCCTTCTGATGCCTCTGTCCCTGCTTTCTCTCCTCTCTAGCTCATTGCTGGTGCCGAGTCCCCGCAGCCTGCTTCTGGAAGCTCACCATCTGAGGAAGATCGATCCAAGTCAGCACCCACCTCCCCTTGTGACCAGGGTGAGACCCTCAGATTTGCTTCCTGACCTCTGAGTTCTGCCATTGGATGGACCAAGGAGCTCTGAGGCCTCTTTAACCAAGAGTGAGCTTGTTAGCTGAAATAGCTAGCAGCCCTGGTGGGTTTTCACACACCCGTTGCCTGTTGATTTAACAGTTCTTTCATTCTCCAAGACCTTCTTGAGGGCTGGGCACTCCATGGCCATATCTGCCTTAATTTCCTTCCAGGCCAGGGTAAGAGGAGAGCGAGTGTATGATGTTATGGTTATCTGTTTTCCCTTGCCTCTGTCCCTGGTTCCAAGTGTACTGCAGAGAGAAGGGTACAGCTCCCTCTCTTAAAGCTCTTGCCTGGCCCTAGACCTGTCAACACCACTCCCTTGAGTTGAGTTTGACACTCCCTCCCCCATCATCATACCCAAAACCTGAGATCAGCTTGAGTTTGGGGCTGGGTGAGGGAGGATGTCTTCTATCCTGGCCTTTGGGTGGGTGAGGATAGAAAGATGAAGCTAGAGGAGAGACTGAGAAAAGAAGTGGGAAGGAGGCCAGTCCTAGGCCTGTTTCCCCTCTACAGCTCCAGATATCTCCTTCTGTCCGACTGTGCTTCAGACAATAAGTTCTGCAGACATAATTTGCACAATAATAATTCTGCAGCCATCCGAGAATGATGAGGCTGAGGAGGGACTTACACTTGCAAAACCTCCTGCTCTCGTGACCATTATCAGATATGCCTGGTAAGGGACATATGCATCTGCAGAAGAGGAATAACCATCACAGCCTGACAATGGTGCCTTGGTTTTTCTATATCCCTTTTTGTATTCATTATCCTAATTTTATGCCCATACCCACTCTATGTTGGTGCTTCATTACTGTCCCCCAGGTTAGTGAGTGGGAAGTGGGAGGTCAGAGTGTGGAAAAGTTCTGTCCCAAGGTTTGGAGATAAGTCAGTGGTAAGGGCAAGACTGTACCCATGCTGGCTGAGGGACACACTCTCAGAAACCCTGCCATCAAACCTTCCTTGGAGGTCACCACCATGACCCAGACCTTCTTACCCAGGAGTAAATAAAAGAGCTTCGGGGGTCATGCACCAGCCCTGAGGCCACAGAATAATTGGTCTCAGTCCCTCTTCGTGCTACTCCAATTAACTTTCTGTGTCTTTATACTCTACCTCATTCCAAATGAGATTTGAAGCATTCATAAGTAGCCTGATGTACTCTGGGGCTGCAGAACTTGTAGCTATTTTCCCAGACCAGTTTGGGGGTTTTCACGTGTTCCTTTCTGAGGCTGAGATCCCCTTTGGGAGCTTCAGGGAGACAGGGTCATATAGAAAAGAGACCCCAGGTAAGAGTTCAGAGACCAGGGTTTGTAGGCCTGGCTCCTGCCCTGCATGCTCTCTGGCTCTGAGCTCTGCCATTGGATGGATACAGTGGCAGGATACAGCGGCCCCAGGGCCTCTGTTCATCCCACTTGACACAGACGCCAGGATTTCCCAGTAGTGATGTTAGCACAGATGTCCCTCTGAGCGACATTATTACAGAACAGAAATAAGACATAGTTTCTTTTTCTTCCCTTGTAAAGACACATAGAAAAACCTTTTCTTCAAGCTTTGCTGTCCCCAAACAACTATGTTTTGCCTTCCAAAATTCATTTAATAACTGAGGCTTTTAGCTCTATTGTGAGATTAAAAGTTATTTAGTCAAGCTAAGTGATAGGTGGATAACTGCTGAACTGGCAAGGGGAGTGTCTGCAGACTCAGCAGCTTTCCCCGTCTTCACCCTCCCCAACACGTCTCAGAGGAGCCAAACTCCAGATCTAGGAAAGATCTCCGGATTCCTTGAGTAAGCCCTTATGGGACTCTGTCCTTCTGAAAAGAAGCTGAAGATCTCTTTCTGTCACTCATGCCTAATTCTCATTCCCAAGGGTTAATAGGCTATGTTCCCCTTCCATAATCCAAGTTATTCACAAGCATCATTTAAAATCGGATTTTGCTCAAGATGCCCATTTCCACACAGAAGAGTGCGTGTCTTGATGAATGAGTTGCTAACAGTAAAGCTTCTTCAAATAGAAAAGGTCAGAGGATCATCCAGCATTATCTCCCCCAGGTAATTCAGGTCATAAGCTCTAGAGCGGGGCACAAGACTGTCTCGTAGTTGAGAAATTGTACTGAGAAATTCCCGCCCCATTGGAGATAAGTTTGCAACATGTCACTTGGGAAAGCAATTCTTTTGTTAATAATAAGCCCATTGCTCATTTTGTTAGATAACCTTGTGTAAGATGGGTATTTAGAAGAAACCCGGCAACAAGGCTGAGTAAAGGTTTTTAGAAGGTATGAAGGTTTCTACCTTCAGTGATCAGCCACCGTTCTGATGGCTCAGTTGTTGAAATAATTATATCACCAGTGATTACTGTGATGACAGTTCTTGATTCGTTGTTCTCATCTTCAGAGGAAACTTGAAGGATACCTGTGACTCTGCAGAATTCCAGAGAGGGCCCAGATTTGTGTGCTTTACCTAGAACAGTGGAATAGGCTACTAGCCAAAGGGGGCTTTCAGAGAGACAGCCAGGTCCAGTGTAATCTGGAGTTGACAAGGGCAGGGAAGGGACTGTGTCCTCCTCCTCTTTGCATACCTAAGCTCTGCTGCGCATTAGGTGCCAATAAGAGTGTGGTGAACAGATGAAGGAACATACAAAGGGATGTCACACTGGATCTGTTGTGAAGAACCAGAAAGAGGACTGAGAGCTTACAGGGGAAAGTCTGAGTGTTGAGTCCTAATGTAACAGGCTTAAGAGGTATGCACTAATGCAATTTCTTGTTCCCCTTGGCCCTAGAAATAAAAGAACTTGAGAACAACATTCGGAAAGCCTTGTCATTTGACAACCGAGGAGAGGAGCACCGGGCAGCATCGTCTCCTGATGGCCAGCTGATGAGCCCCGGTGAGAATGGCGAAGTCCGGCAAGGCCAGGCCAAGCGCCTGGGCCTGGATGAGTTCAACTTCATCAAGGTGTTGGGCAAAGGCAGCTTTGGCAAGGTCTGTGGCACACACGGGTGGAACTGCTGGTTTTGTTCTACTCCTTAGCATTGTTTCGTCTGTTTGATCTAAGATTGAGAGAGGAACCTTTCAGCCTGATCTCGTTAGGTTTTCTTTCCTTTTTTGTAAGTGCAAATGACCTGAGGCCAAGTAGATAGGAGCGCTGGTTCTGCTATTAATTGGCTATATGAGACTTTCAAGTAGTGATTTAATCTCTTTGGAATTCAATTTTTCTCATTTGTTGAATGGGGACAGGAATCAAGTGAGATGGTAGATGAGAAAGCACTTTGGAAAGTTTTAAATGCTCAGTGTTCCAAATCAATAGTAGTGTCAATACATGTCTTCCCTCCTTCAGAGATCAGCTGAAATTCTGTTTTTAATTTGTTATGAAGACTTTGAGAATGAATCTCTGCCCTCAGCAAACCTAGGGTTTAAAGCAAATTTAGCATGCATTACTTTGGAAGGTAAATGTTATTTAACTGATCTTTCTGGCATGTAATAAATGTTCTGTTTATCCTTTACACGTGGCAAGAAAATGGGAATAATCATCTCATGCCTCGGATCAGGGTCCTCTGCCCTTGGTGCCATTCTCCATATCCTGTTCCCACTGAGATGAACACAGTGGTGTGGGGTGTGGCCTTTAGTATGCTCAATAAAGCACTAAAGGTGATCAGCCACCATTCCGATGGCTGGGTGAGATGGAAAAATTAACTCCTGTTCATTTAGAAAGAAGATGAAGGGGCAGGGAGCAGAGGAAGCTGTTTGCATTTCACCTGAGATCTCTGATTGTTCCCTGGTTCTGTTCAGAGCTAAGCCTGGGAGTCACCTTTCTGGGACCCCCTGAGAAGTTCTGGGAGGTCCTGCTCTGGGGACCAGGAAGCTCCTGGGATCACATGCCCTGGCATGTCCTGGACTCTTGAAAGCAGCAGCCTGTAGGTCAGTCAGCTGGCCCATCCCACCTGGTTCCCAGCCGTCTCACCTGCCCCTATCTCACCCTGATACCACTCTGGTGGGAAGGTAACTGGGGTTTACTTAAATGGCAAAAGCTGAAGCAATTACATTCTTTAGAGACTGACTAAATAAAAAGAGGTCCTCTGGTTAGGCATAACTCTGGGACCTGAACAGGATGTGGTCTAATTTTGAGCAAGACTCCGAGATTCTAGGTTTTCATATAGTGTAGGCAGAATGGGAACTTAGATGACTTTGGAGCATTTAGGTTATCTCTTAGGAAAAATCACAGCCAAAGTTTGAGCCAGTTTTAAAGAGTCTGTAAAATACGCGGGCGACAAAAAGTCTTCAGGTTAACATCATGAATTCCCTCATTAAGTTTCTGATGGCTGCTTTTTAGCTTTGATGACTTACATTGGAATACTGTACTTAGGAGTTACTTATTTAAGAAGAGAAAGGCTTGTGACGTTTGTAGGTAAATGAGTGCAAAAATATCAAATGATAGGAACACTTTAAGAACATAGAACTGTTAATTAGCTCTCTTGAAAAGGAATCACGTTTCCAGCTTCAGAGTTATAAAAGAAACCATAAAGGCAAACAAGGACAGATTCAACTACATAAAGATACATGATTCTTTTCAATAGAATAAAATAACAGAAAATTATAAAACAGGCTTAGAAAACCTTTTACAGAAAGTAAAGGGTTAGTATCTTTATATATCACATGTGTATAAATTTGTAAGAAATTAATATGATAGCAGCATAATTAGACAAAGGAGACGTGAATAATTTACACGAAAAGAAATACAGTCAGAAAACAGTTAATTTTAAAGTTTCATTTTAAGTAAAAATAGCATCAAGGTAACATTTCACACCTATTAAGTGAGCAAAAATACTTTTTAAGTGAAACTACTCAGTATTGGTAAGTCACCATGAAACTCCAACACTTCTACATTGCTAGTGGCACATTGTATCACACATCCTTTCTGAAAATAGGAAATGTGCAAAATGCTTCACCCTTTAATCTACTTATGAGGGTTTCCATCTTACAAATGTAATCCAAGAGAAATTGTTTTAATTGTGTACAAAAATACTCAATGCAACTTATATAATACTTAATGATTAGATATAACTGAAGTGCCTAATTTGAGGGAAATGGTTAAATAAATTATATTTACTTGAATTGAGTATAAGCAACCGTGATAATAATGGAGACCATATGGAGAATGTCTGTAAGATAATGTTCAGTTAAAAATAGTTACATTATTTTACTGTACTGTAACTGTAAAAATAGTTGGTGTACTGTAATTGTAAGTATGACAAACACATATAAACATATGAATAACCATTCAACAGATGTGCATTGAACTTCTCTTTTCTATGCCTGGGCATTGTGCCAGAGATCAAAAATAAATAAATTGTAGTAACTATTAGAATGTAGTAACTGTAGAACGGTAGTAATTGTAGAATAGGAAGTTTTCTTAAACATTATGTATACATCTTGAGAGGGGGTCTTGCTATGTTGCCCATGCTGATCTGTAACTCCTGGGCTCAAATGATCCTTCTACCTCAGCCTCCCAAGTATCTTGGGTGCATGCCACCACACCAGGCTTGTTATAATATTTAAAATTAAAGAAAAAACAGAATTCGTTTTTGAAGTATTTGGTATTAGCTTACACTTCTTCTTTTTATTCCATACATGCATAGATTGATGGAGGCAATTGATTGATTGCAGGTCATGTTGGCAGAACTCAAGGGCAAAGATGAAGTATATGCTGTGAAGGTCTTAAAGAAGGACGTCATCCTTCAGGATGATGACGTGGACTGCACAATGACAGAGAAGAGGATTTTGGCTCTGGCACGGAAACACCCGTACCTTACCCAACTCTACTGCTGCTTCCAGACCAAGGTATGTTAGGAAGAAGCTGGCTGGCTGCCATGTTGGGGCATCTTGACTATCAGATAAAATACCAATTTTAGACCCTCTACATTGTTCTCTCAAAGACTTTGTAAAGTGGGATGGGTTTTACCCTTGAAAAGATCAGGATGTATTTGAACAGCATCTTCTTTTTTAGGGCACAGGATTTTCCATTCAAGGTTGTGCTTGTGAAGGGATGAGAGAGCTGTAGAATTCTTTGCAGCCAGAGTTGGACAAAGCCAAATGGCTAAACTCACTGTTTGCTCATTGGAAAAACCAACAAGTGTGGTTAGTCCTTGCTCTGCTCCTAACTTTCTATCACTAATCAAATCACTTAACTTCTAAGTTATTTTCATGTCATATGAAAAAGAGTAAAGGCCACCTTAATCTCTTCTAATCTGTGTAATGTCATCTGAAATAAAGGATGTGAACAAATGCTTAAAATTTCATAGTGAAACACAAATATAAGGCAGCATTTTTAATTTACCGCATAGGTGTCTGGGAACCAGAAGGTGGCAGTAAAGAAACAAAGATAATCCATAACTCCATGGTAGAGTCTGACTCGAGTATTATTAACTAATTTGTTACCTGTTTTTAGTAAAGAAACAGCAATGTTCTTCATGAAGCTCTAATTTTGTTATCCTTTTTGAGGGGTTGGGAGGAGTTAAAGTCTTTTAGGATCATTATGGATGTTTGTAGTATTTTGCTTCTTGAGAAGGCAAAGACAGACATCACCTGAAACTCCTAGCTGTGGCTTATGTGGAACCCAGACCCTGAGGGTGACATCATGGAGAGGTGATACCTTGCTTCTGGGTGTATTCTCATCTCCATGTCATTTTGAATGCCAGTTTTTCCACTTAAAATTCAATAGTTATTCATTGAGTCATTTGGCAAACTTTTCTTTTATTATATTTCATTATATCCTTCCCGTGTATCTGATGCCATGCCAGGTGCTGGAGATACAGTGGTGAACTAGACTAGTCCCTGACCTCATGGAGTTTACATTATCTTTGGTACACCGTTTCCCAGAGAGGATTTCTCAGAACCCCAATCACTTGAGCAGCTGTAAGAAGAAAGGACTCTGTGACCCATAGTTGGAGTCACTGCAAACGTAACCTCTCTTAGTCTCAACACACGTATGTTTATTAGCATCCTTGAGGAGACCTGCAATGAAAACAAAATTACCTTTGTTTAATCTACTTTTCCGAACTTATTTGATCCCAGGGTCCCCCATCTCTCTCTTACACACACATACACATGCACCCACACACACACAATGCCCATTCCATACTGAGGAACCCTGATCCAGTGGAATTTTTCCTATCCTTCTGATCTCTCAGGAGAATAAGAAATATCGTCTGAAAATCTGGAAATCATTCTGCTTATCTTTCAAGATGGACACATATTTCTTTGTCTACGAAACTTTCCTCAGAGACCACTATTTAATAGGAATCTATCCCTTTTTCTGCACAAGTATAAGAATTACTAACTCTTCTCATTTTTCATGTGTGTTGTGTAATGCCTAATATTTATGGGTTTGTGTGTGTACAGAATCCTGAATAATAGAGACTCAGTGATGGAGTTAACTTTCTTCTTTTTTCCACTAGAGCATAATTTTAGATTCATGAGAAATGTATCATATTTTGTATTTTCCATGGTGCCTATCACAGGGCCTCACACTTGACAGGTACCCACGGACAGAATCAAAGACTTGGAAGATTTTTTCAAAGTCACCTTATCTTTCTTTATCTCTCTCTCTTTTCCTTTCTTTTCTTTTCCTTTTTTTTTTTCTTTTCTTTCCTTTTGGTACCAGTGAGAAAATTGGGTTTCAGAGAAGTAAAACTATTTTGCTCATAGGCACTCCATCTTGGCAGAGTCAGACCTGGCATCTCATCTAGTCTCAGGGACTCCCAAGGTAGTGGGGCCTTGCTCTGATTCACATTGCTAGTTTCTTGTGCCTGATCCAGCACAGGGTCCCTTCTGTTGGAGGAACCCTCCCACTTCCCCCTGTCCCCAGCAGGTAGCCCTCCCTCTCACTATCTGAGGTGGCTTTCCAGGCAGGGAGCCACTCTGGCAAGTTTTCTTTACACCATTATCAAGAAGCCCAACATCCTAGGAGGGGTCCAGTTTAGTTGTGAGGGCTCTATGGAGCCCCTGTACGTGGTGGATCATGGGAAGCCACGTTGAAGGTCAGCTTGGTGAATGAGTGAGGGAGTGGGAATGGATGTCTTCAATGTCAGCAGTGTTCTCCTTTGTGCGTTGTAGAATAACAAGGCTAAGGATTCCTCATCATATGGCAGCTTTTGGAGCACAAAATGGTGTTGAATAACACCAGGGATTTCTTTTATGGCAGAACAGTGATCAAGCTAACATGGATGTTGTCATGGATGGCTGTAGGGTGAGGATGGGCAGAGAAGGAGCTTCCTCTGTAGTTCAGATATTTACTATCTTTTCTCAGGCCACTGTCAGGCAGCCACAGTCACAGGAGCAGCTTTGCACCAACTCTCTCATGCCACCTCAGTTTCATAGAATACTTAGCTTTATGTAACAGATGCATATTCACTGAATTTTTCTAAACTGAATCATATTTTAACCTCATAGAAGGATCTTAACTTACTTATGAAAGGAACCTGATGAAGAATCAGCTTATAAACCTTCAACTTAACTTTTTAAAAATGTGACTTTCCCTATGACAAACCAACAGTTTATCATAGTTTTAAAGAGTAGCTATTATTCACCTGACTCTGAGGTAGATGCTGGGGTTATTAACCAAAGGAAGACAGTTCTCACGTGGAAGGATTCACTGATAATAGATTGGGAGGTTATTCTAAATTCCACAAGCTAAGAGGGAGTAGCAAACAGCATTGAATAGTTATGTTCTAGATGGGAGTATTCAAACCAAGAAGACTCAGGGGAGGGGGTCTTCCCTACGATCTAGTGGAAGAAGTGCGATCAAGCCAGGCTTTGAAAGGTAGAGAGGATTTGGACAGGATTTGGGAATAGCAGCTGGGTTTGGTAGCCACAGAATTCAGTCTTGATTGAGTTTCACTTTTCCTGAAAACAAAGGACAGTTCCTCTGAGCCACCTTAAACCTGGTTTCCACTAAGACTCTGATACAACATTCAGGAACACAAAGACCCGATTGCAATCCTATTAAGATTTCTTTCATGCTTGTTTAATTATGACATACAGAACAGCAATAATATTAAGTCGAGTTTAATTATTTTTAGGTGAGCCTTTATTTTTCAATATATCGGAAAAAAATGGTCCTTTTGGAAACATTCCTTTGAGAACTTCTTCTGAGAGATTAGACATTGCTTCAGACTGCACACTACATACAAGTTGCCTGGAAAGACTCAGAAGTGTGTAAAGTGATGTCACCATATCTAATACGGTGACCAATGGCAATGGTCATATGAACCCATTGGCATCAGTCATGATGACATAGTCAGGTTCAGGTCTGGTCAGTGCAGCCCAGTGAAGGGCCAACTTACAGCTGAAGAGAGATTTGGGCTTTTCTTTACTGAGCCCGCCTACCCTTGGCTCATGTGCTCCATCCGCTCCATGGGATCTAGAAAGGCAAAAAGCAAATAAAATGGCTCCAGCTTTCCAGGGCTAGTGAGAAAAAGCAGACAGAACAACAAATTAAGCCAGTGGTTTTAATTTCAGTCAAATTCAAACCAGTGTGTCTTTGGGATGCAAGAGTAACCTGAACCATGTAGGGAATTCTACCAAACTTGATTTAATTTACTGTCAAAATATAAAGTACAGAAAGAGGAATAAAGAACTTCTAATTCCAGTCAAGATCAAGTAGCCACATTCGTCCCAGGTCCTCCCTCTTACAACTAAAAATCCCTGGACATAATTCTTATTTTATAAAGGTAGGGTGCTTATCAGCTTATCAAAATTGGCATAGTCACAAAAAACTGTATCTGTTGATGTGAATGAAAGACCAAAATTTTTATATTTAAAAATTCTAGAAGACTTTTAAGTGGGTAACATTGTCAGTAGTGTTTAATATTTTCTTGCATATGAGAAAAAAAATTTTTTATACATCCACAGTTGTTTCTTGCTATAAAAAAATTATGGCCTATAATTGTTTCAATTACAAGTCTTTATTGTTAAGCATCTATGTGCTAGACACTGTGCTAGATTCTAGGGCTACAAAGCTAAAAGATACCAACTCTGAACTCATGCCAATTACTGCCTAGTAGAGAGATAGACATGCAAGGAGGCAGTCAGGAAGGTTTCCTGATGGAGGTAGAACCTACCCTGGACCTGGAAGCATGGGTGGCATTTGCAAGAGGGTAGGGGTAAAGACATGGCTGCTGAAACCTAGAAATTATTTCCAAATCTCATTTGTATTATTTTTCCAATGCTTGAACTCCCAACCAATGCTATCTCCTACTTCTTCCAAGGAAATGATAATGGCTAAACCAGAGCAAAGAAGGAAGAGGAGAAAGGGAGGGTATTTGGAAAATAAGGAGACAGATTCCTGCATCTACAAGATCAGATGCCTATCGGTAGAGGAGGGAGGTAATGCTGTGAGCCCTCCTTATTGGACTGCTAGGCTCTAAAACTTAGGGGCTTGGTCAGGGTTTGTGGGGGAAGTGACTTTTGGAATTGCCTCTCCCAGTTCCCAGGTTCCCATTCAGGCATTGACTACAAGGGATAGGAGAACCACTGAGAGGTAGTTTTGTTTTTTTTTTCTGGAAGTTACAGGAAATGAAATTCCCAGATTTTTAGAGTCTGTGCATTTGTATTTATGACCCCCATTGTTGAAACCATTCTCTCCAACAGGATCCCACAAAACCTGTCTTGAATAATTTCATGATTTTTCCTCTTTAAAAATTTCATCTCTACACAATTCTACCCATCCCCCACCCTTTGGCATTTCCTGCCAGGCCTGGGAAGCCAAATTCTGGAGGGCTTTGCTGCAAAGGAAACAAAGGGTGAACTAGAGAATCTCCCTTAGCCAATCTCCCTTGCTGCCCTAGGGAAAATGCAGCATGGAAACATCCTTACAAAGCAACGGGAGACGTTTTTCAAATGCGTTTGAATCATCTGTGTGAGCACGGGGAGAAGTGAGAAAAGGAGTGTTAACAACGTAGGAGCAAAAGTGTCATTTCAAGGAACTCAACTCTGAAGAACAGAAACACTAAACCAAAAAAAAAAAAAAAAAAAAAACGAAGTAAAAATTAGGCCATTGGTAGATTTTGTTCTAAAGAGACAGCTATGTCAGATTAAATCTAAACGAGCTGACAGAGCCGTTGAGGATGGGTCTCTTTCCTGCTAGACCATACTGTCTACCTGAGGCACCACTACTACTCCGAAGGAGTTGGAGAGTGTGTGAGCAGGTTTGGTGAGTGCTTTTCGAGAAGAGATTGAGATGCTCAACACAATGAGTTGGTTTGTGGGTCAGGCAGCCACCTGGGAATCAATATGCTCGCCAGTAACAGATTACAAGCAGAGATAGCCTCAGTAATTTGCAATGGATTTTAGAGAAATGAGATCCGTGGTAGAGGTTACAGGCTTAGTGTTGGCAGAATCAGTTATTAATAGAATCAGACTCCAGGGAAGTCCATCTCTTTACTTCTGAAGACCATCTTTGCTTGATAGTGGGCTGGACAGCAATGCCATTTATTCTAATCAGCCAATTAACACATCTTTAGTGAGCACCTATGGTGTGCAAATCACTGCAAGATGTGACAAGACTTTTATGGCAGGACCTTTGGTCAAACTAGTTGAGGGGTAAGCTCTACTCTCTTGTGAAGGAATGCACGGGTGTATGTGTGTGGTGGCGTGTGTCTGTGTAGATGAGCTGGCGGTTCTCTGGCCGGTCAGAGAAAGATCGTCACTGGTTTCCACGATCAAGCAAGGCTTCATGGAGCAAGACAACTTCACCCAGGTCTTGAAGCATAACAGGATTCATTCTGTGTGATAAAGGAAAAGTTGTGGAGTTTGTTAATGCTCATGTGTCCCAGGGGCAGAGAAGGATGTGTTGGCTCTTAATCTAACTGCTGCAGCTTCGTGTAACCTCTTTGCATATAAGGAAACCTTACATTTGAATAGGACCTTTGCTTTTAAAAGTGCCCTGACTGGCTAGGTGCAGTGGCTCATGCCTGTAACCCCAGCACTTTGGGAGGCCGAGGCAGGTGGATCACCTGAGGTCAGGAATTCGAGACCAGCCTGACCAATTTGATGATACCCCATCTTTACTAAAAATACAAAAATTATCCGGACACGGTGGCGGGCACCTGTAATCCCAGCTACTCAGGAGGCTAAGGCAGGAGAATCGCTTGAACCCAGGAGGCAGAGGTTGCAGTGAGCCGAGATCGTCCCACTGCACTCCAGCCTGGGGCAATAGAGCTAGACTCTGTCTCAAAAAAAAAAAAAAAAAGAAAGAAAAA
The DNA here is from genome assembly GCF_000001405.40 of Homo sapiens. Lineage (NCBI taxonomy): Eukaryota > Metazoa > Chordata > Mammalia > Primates > Hominidae > Homo > Homo sapiens. The sequence goes on from NC_000002.12 coordinate 46,016,937, forward strand.
AGCCCTGACTTAGATCAGCCATTTTATAACTGCCTAATGATGTCTCTATGAATTCACCTACCATACTCTATGGTTATTCACTCCCCCTTTTTTTTTTCGGAATTTGTTATTGTGGTAAAATACACATAATATAAAACGTGCCATCTTAACCGTTTTTAAGTGTACAGTTCAGTGGTATTAAATGCATTCATAATGTCCATCCATCACCCCTCTCCATCTCCATGCCTCTTTTCACCTTACAACCCTGAAACTCAATACCCATTAAACAGTACCTTCCTATTCCCTCTCCCCACAGCCCTTGGCAACAGCCACTCTGTCAGTCTCAATAATCTTGACTACTCTAGGTACCTCTTATAAGTGGAATCATACAATAATGTCTTTCTGTGACTAGTATATTTCATTTAGCAGAATGTCCTCAAGGTTCATCCATGATGTAACGTATGTCATAATTTCCTTCCTTTTAAAGGCCAAATACTATTCTATCATGTGTATAATATCACATTTCACTTATCATCTATGGATGGACATTTTGACTTCCACGTTTTGGCTACTATGAATAATGCTGCTGTGAACATGGTTGTCTGAATATTTCTTTGAGGCCTTACTTTCAATTCTTTTAGCTATATACCTAGAAGTGGGATTCCTGGATCATATAGTAATTCTCTTTTTAATTTTTTGAGGAACCGCTATACTGTTTTCCATAATGACTGAACTATTTTACATTCCCATCAACAGTGCACCAGGGTTCTGATCTGATTTCTCTATTACTTTGCCCAACACTTATTTCTTTATTTGATAGTAGCCATTCTGATGGGTGTGAGGTAGTATCTCATTATAGTTTTAATGTGCATTTCCCTAGTGATTTGTGGTCACTCATTTTTACAGATAAGAAAACCAAGGCCCAGTCAAGTCTTATAATTTGTTTGCAACAGAACCCAGATTGGAATAAAGGTTTCCCAACAGTCTTTGTTGTTCACCATGTATTTCTGTCTCCTTCTCTGTCCTCCTGTCCAAATTCTCCACTTCAAATAGCCTCACCTCCAAATCCCCTCTTCCCCAATTCCTGTCACACACATGAAAAAGGGTCTGAAGGGGTGTCAGCTCAATTTTACATGAACTCAATGAGGCTGGGATTAAAAAATATTAATGTCCCTTAAGCTGGCAAGAGGAGCAGGGTTGATCAGCCTGTTTCTGGAAATGTTTCTGTTTTCTGAAAGCGTAAGAGAGAAAGGAGGAAAAAGGGGGCATGGGCACAGGAACGATCCAAAATGGGCTGGAGTAGGATGAGGCCCTCACACTTGTCTGTTTAGCCATTGCTTACTGAGCACCTGCTATGTGCCGTGCCATGGGGCATCATGGGGCGCCATGCTGCCTGCTGAGGAACACAGGTGTGGGGAAAGGTAGGTAGGAGTCCCGGCCTTGTGAACTTGAAGCCTCATGGGAGCGTAAAACTGCTGGCCTCTACAGAGGTTACAGTGAGCCGAGATCCCGCCACTGCCCTCCAGCCTGGGCCACAGAGTGAAACTCCATCTCAAAAAAAAAAATTTTTTTAAAAAAAGCCCTTCTGGCCTCTATACAGTGCCCAGAACTCAGTGCTTTATTTTCCTTCAGAAACTGTTGGCCTGATCTTCTTTTGTAAATTGTGTTTTAATCACAAAGATTATTTATTAATTGTAGAAATTTTGGAAAAGTCACAAGAGGACAAAAAAGAAAATAAGAACAATTCACATGACTACTACTAACATTTCGATGTGTATCATTCCAGTTTTAGAAAAGTACATGTCTGTTCATACATATATATTTATAACATCAGTATCATACTCTATGTAAACTGTTTCACTTAGTAATATAGTAGAGCTATTTTCCTTGTCACTAAATATTCTTCAGCCAAATGATTTCTAGGGTTCTACAGTATCTGAGGGCGTCTCGTAGACATTCTGCATCGGGGGTTGCAGGTGGCTGGTAAGTGCCTGGCTTCCTCCCAGCTGATGTTAGCAGTGAATGGACCGCATGCTCTGCCCAGTGCTGGCCAGTGATGGTGCTGCGCTCTCTGCAGCAGAACTGCCTCCTTCTATTTTTATTTCTCTCTGTAACATCAACCTGAGTACAACATGTAAATAACCTATTTGGCATTGACATAATGCAAACTAAGACTTAAATGTCTTTAACATTAAATATGTGTGTATACAGCAGGTCTTTGAATAACCTGATTTTGTTCAATGTCATTTCTTTATAACATTAATGAGAAAAATATCAATTCCTGGCCAGGGCCACTGACTATGTGGAGTTTGTACTTTCTCCCCATGCCTGTATGAGTTTTTTTTCAGGGACTTCGGTTTCTTGCCAAATCCCAAAGCTATGCACATCGGGAGAATTGGCGTGTCTAAATGGTCCCCATCTGAGTGTGGGTGTGCGTGAGTGTGCCCTGCCATGGGATGGGGTCCTGTCCAGGGTGGTTCCCCGCTGGCACCCTGAGCTACCAGGAGAGGTTCCACCCACCCATAACCCTGAACTGCAGCAAGTGGGTAAATGATGCTCTTACTCATTTTTCTTCATCTTTCTTAAACATATGTATAGCTCACATTTACTTCAGTGCTTAATATTAGAAGTGTTATTTCAGTTTTACTATTCAAAGTGTTCTAAATAATTTTTCTTAGAAGTCTGATGTTTTTGTAGCCAGAAGTATACTTAGGAACTTAACTCTTCTTTATACCAATTAGCCTATGGTAAAACTGGTTTCCTTACGTGTCTTTTCACTTGAAGTTGCAGTTTCTAAGAACTTACCAATGACATTGTGAGGACTTCCTGTACACTGTTTGGCTAGGAGGCATTTTTTTTTTTACCACTAAGGAATATATTTACCCATTCTCCTAAACTGTTTGCTTTTTCTTGTAAAGCTGTTGGTTTTCTCTTTTTTTTTTTTTTTTTTTTTGAGACGGAGTCTTGCTCCGTCACCATGCTGGAGTGCAACGGCGCAATCTCGGCTCACTACAACCTCTGCCTCCCAGGCTCAAGCAATTCTCCTGCCTCAGCTTCCCAAATAGCTGGGATTACAGGCACGCACCACCAGGCCCAGCTAATTTTTGTATTTTTAGTAGAAATGGGGTTTTACCATGTTGGCCAGGCTGGTCTCGAACTCCTGACCTCAAGTGATCCGCCTGCCTCGGCCTTCCACAATGCTAGGATTACAGGTGTGAGCCACTGTGCCCGGCCAAGCTGTTGGTTTTCAAATTACATTTTGTGGAGGTGCCTCTGTTGCTTCAGTGTATGGTGGGTGGGAGCTGGGTACACAGACCCAGTATGCGCTATTAGAGGAGGATGTACACGCACCACCTACTCCACCTGGCTGTGCAGCTCCATGTCCGACTGTTTCACATGTTAGCATTCCAAGGAAGATAACATTTGAAGAAAGGATTTCACTTTGAAAACAGTTTAAAACCACTACAGCTCTGACTGGGAGCTGGAGTGAGTCTTGATTTTTTTTTTTAACCTACCCATATTATAATCTAATGTATACAGGTGTCATTTCCTGAAGGTCTCCATTACAAATGTCCTTTCATTATTAAAATGGGCACATTCCTGAGATTTGGGCAGAAATGGAATTTTGGAAGCAGATTCAAGATTCTGGTATTCTGTCTCAGTAACATATTTCATTGTTTAGATCACGCACAGAAGTGCCTGCTGATGTGTAAAAGTGTGTGTTTAAACCTTTGACTCACTGCTGACAGATGTAGAGGCCTGTGATAGAATGTAACTGGGATGTCACACTACTTCATTGATCAGGAGAATTTGCGTCAGAATCTTTTGAGGCACAGTTGGGAGATAACAGGGACTGGGAAGGAGAGATATGACAAGGCACAGCAAACAGTAACTTAGAATAAAGACAGTATGTGATAAAGAGGAAGGAGAGACGTATTTATTGAGCACCTATTATGTGGCAAGCCTATCCAAGTTGTTTAAAAGCTGATTTCATCAATCTTACCCAAGTCCCATGGGATGTAGGTATTGTTGCCAGTTCTTTGGGCAGCTAAGGAAACAGACTCAGGGAGGCTTAACCATTTGGTCACGATCACACGGAGTTAAGTGATAAAGCTGGGATCCCCACCTTTGCCTCCTGGGGGTGAGAAGGGCCACTGTGGAACAGGGTGGATGCTGGGGCATTGGGGGGCAGGGCACAGTGAGTTTGGGGGCAGGAGGCATTTGCAGGAACAGACCCCTGATTTAGCGAGTGTAATGATGAGTCCTGCTGCTGTTGCAGGCTCATGCTAGGAAGCCGTGAGGAAGACAACCTTGTGAGGAGGTACTGGCTAAGTTGTGGAGTTCTTACTCTGCTAGGCAAGGAGTTTGCACTTATTCTGGAAGTAAAGGGGGATTCCTTGAAGATATTGTGGGAAATGATGACTTAAATCATAGCCTGACAGCTCTGCGTAGCCTGCATTAAAAGGAAAAATGAAAAGCAGAGATATCTGTGAGCAGGCTATTTCAATAGGCCAGGAGTCCAGAGGCAGTGGGGAAGAACTTCTGCAGGAAGCACTGACGTGGCCATTCGCTTTCCCCTTTGCATCTGCAAAGGCCTCCTGCTTGTGAAGAAAGCATAGTCCTCCCTTTAGCACTTAGAAACTGTCAATTGTGTAGCCCCTTACCGATTAGAAACAAGAACTTAAGTTGCTGCTAGTTGCAGCAGGTGATCTACACATTTCTAAGGTGTCATTTGGTCACAGTTCAGTTGGCACATCATGATCCAATTTAAGTAAAAAGTTTCATCTTGAAATCTAAAACTAGAGGTCTAAGTTATCTAACCCGGTCACCAAACAAAGCCAGTTTCCTCATGGCTGACGTCAGATTCTCTCACCTCTCCCCAACGCCCGCCATCTATTGGATTTCAGAATTTACCTTTTTGTGTGTGTGTGTCCAGTTTAGATTCGTGTTGAATTTTGATAGTGGTCTGGTGGTGTTTTCTACAGGGAAAGTCATCTGGGGCCTTTCATAGGGAGCTTCTACATAGTCTATTGAGATGACTCCATTGAAGCAATGGGCTTTCCCCATATAACCCGAACTTTTTGTCCTAGTGGTCTGAAATACTTCAGACAACCCAGATGATTCCTAATGCTCTGATTTTGAAGACTTTGGTGGGTGGTAGGTGCAACCTATTCAGCTGTTTGGGTTCACATATGCCCTGTTGACGTGTGGGAAACACAGGATGCAGTAAAGAAGGCACCACGAGTCAAGAAACTGCAGGTCTAGCTGTGACTTCTGCCACTGATGCTTGCTCTGAGACAGTTATCTGGGCACTGACTTTTCTCATTCATAATAAAAGATGTGGGGAGGACACAGAGAGGGGAGTTTCAACTACATGACCTATACGATCCCTCCAGAATCTGATTCTAAAGACCTGTGACAATGCAATTCATTGGGAAATACGCATGGTATCACTACAGGTTTACCTGTTGCTAATGCATGAGTGAGACAAGGACAATGACAAAGTCAGTGAACAGTCCTTCTGTTTAGTGGTCTAGTGGTGTTTTCTACAGGGAAAGTCACATGGGGCCTTTCGTAGGGAGCTTCTACCTAGTCTATTGAGACAACTCCATTGAAGCAATGGGCTTCACCCATGTAACCCGAATTTTTCAAAGCTCAATTCAGCAAATGCTTCTACCTTGATCAAAGCCTCTGTGTTCACAAGGCTGTTATTTTACATCAGGGTTCCAAACTCAAACACATTTTCAATGACTAATGCTCCTACATCAGAAAATTTACCAGGAGGTTTTATAGCTGTCTGTTTAAAGTACAGCATAGTTTCTAGCACACAGAAGGTTCAATAAATTCTAGCTTCTGTCTTATCCAGTTAACAGTTTCAATATCATCGGCCGGGCGCGGTGGCTCACGCCTGTAATCCCAGCACTTTGGGAGGCCGAGGCGGGTGGATCATGAGGTCAGGAGATCGAGACCATCCTGGCTAACAAGGTGAAATCCCGTCTCTACTAAAAATACAAAAAATTAGCCGGGCGCGGTGGCGGGCGCCTGTAGTCCCAGCTACTGGGGAGGCTGAGGCAGGAGAATGGCGTGAACCCGGGAAGCGGAGCTTGCAGTGAGCCGAGATTGCGCCACTGCAGTCCGCAGTCCGTCCTGGGCGACAGAGCGAGACTCCGTCTCAAAAAAAAAAAAAAAAAAAAATCATCTATATAGATAGATCCCAAGCTGACTTGAGAGCTTTGTCATGTTTCTCTTTGCCTAGAATGATGGCCTGTTCTGGCCAGTTGGCCAACTGTTTGTGAAACAGAATTGAGACTACCTGAGTCTACCATTGTTGGTAGGTTTGACCCCTGGCACACTCATTTCATAAAGAGAAAATATGTATTACCTGTCCCCTAATCTGGGCACACGTTGCCTGTAACAACAGCGATGGGCCAACCCTGTAACCTGTTTAGTCATCTCACAAGTGCCTGTTCAGGAGGGCATCAAGCAAGAAATGACTGACAGCCACCCCTTTTCCCAGAAGTTTATGCCAGCTAGAAGATGAATGCTTTGTGGTAGCACTTTTGTTTCTTAATTATATAACCTGTTTATGACTTTAGAACTACAGCTGGTTAATGTGAGGATAACATCTTTGGCTGTGTGTCCTCAGGAGTTTGATAGCCCTTCCTTCTTACTGCTTGACCCATAGCTTGAACTAGGGCTAGCCACAAGATTCCAGTGAATTCCTGCTGGGCCCTTTGTCTCCTTCCTGTCACTGAGGAGGAGGTCACAAATTGGGGCTGGCTTCCAAATGTGTGAAGAGGAGGTTACCGGTTCCAGTGAATAATAACTTGGACAGAACTGTGCCCCCCACTGCCTGTGGTTTGTCTTTGGAGGCTTCTGGTGTAGCCTGAAAGGAGAGAGGGGCCATCTGGGTGGGCCAGTCACCACCTTCAATTTCAGGGTCATCTTTGGCTCAATAACAAAAATGGCAGGAATTTCTATATAGTGTTCATTACATGCCAGGTTCAACTTGGAGCATTTTACACGTATTAATTTAATCGTCACATCAACCCTATGAGGTAGGACTGTTATTCCAAAGAGGGATCATACAGCTGGAAGCGGCAGAGCCTAAATTCAAACCTGGTTAGCTAGCTTCTATTATAGAAACCTCATTTTGTCTGAATGCCCAGGGGAGATTAGCCTCCTGAGGATTGATAAACCAAGGTCCCAAGAGCCCAAGGTGTAAATAAAATGGCAATTGGTTGATTTATACTGGGGTGACTGAACTACTTACGTGAGTTGCCCAGGGCACCCTGGAGTAATTCTTTAAGGGTGGTATTCCAGGCAATCTGAGTTGTATTGGGAAAGCAACTGATGGAAAAACAGACCCTCTGCTTCCTGTTATGAGGACATTTTTTTTTTTTTTTTGCAGAGGCAATAGGAAGTTGAAGCCTCCACTTTTGACCTCATTGGAGCATTTTGTTTTTACCATGACGTTCCAGGGAGAATGCCAGGAAGGATCATGGGCAAAAAGAATTCTCTCAGTCCGCCTCCTTAGTGTGGCAGGAGGTACAAATTAATTCCTTTGTTGGGTCAGTATGATATTCACCTGGGATTCATCAGCAGTATGTAATCCATTTTATCGGGAACACTTGTGTGCGGGTTGCTAGGAAGCTAAGCTTATTACCTGGCTCTGGCTCTTAGAGCTGAGCCTGCTGGTGCTAACAGATTTGGGCCTGAGAAGTTTGTGGCCTTCCCTGGACTTCAGAAGGAGGGTGGAAGGTCCAGTAAAGTGTCCAAGGATGAGAGTGAATGGGGAAAATGACTTTTGTTCTCAGTGTTTCTTTCACCATTTATCCAACCTATCCCCATGTGTTTTTGGTATTTTTTTTTCTTTTTCAGGTAAGAGTTTAAATCCAACCTCCTTTATCAAGCCCCAGTTTATGAAAACTTTCTAGATTCACCAGTGTTAACACTAAAAACATACCAACACAACCAAAGGAAACACGTTGTCATGAATGGTGAAATACTTCTACCATCCAATTTGCCCAGAGTTTTATTCCCTTGGGAGAGCTTCTTAAAGATCTAGGAAGTATCTTTTGATGTACATAACTCAGAGATTAAACACACTTCACAAAGTATAGGTAGGCTCCACTGAAAGAAAGCTCGAAAATTTGACTGTAAAAAAAAACAAATGTAGGTGTGATTGTTGACCTTGCAAAAGCTAACTCCTATTATAAAATGTTTACAAAAGAATTCACGAGAGAACTCCCGGGGTTGGCAAGATCCATTTGGATTGCCAGACGTGGTGACTGAGGTGCAGCAGTGCTAGGCAGAGTAACTGAACCCTGAAGTGTTAAAAAACAGCTGTGCAGGAGCAGTACCAGGGAACGTAAGACATCTGGAACACACACCCCCAGCCAGGGACGAAGTGTTCTGCTTCAGTATACATTAGACAACCAGTATTTTTTTTAGTACCTGGTACGGTATGTCTTCAACTTAATATCAGGTATTCCAGGGATAGAAAAAGACACAATCCTTGTTCAAAGAACTGCTGGTCCACCTAGGGAGGTTAGGCTAATAGGTGAACCAGAGAATGAAAATCAGAGGAAGAGATGAGTGGGCTGACTAGTAGGTATACTCCTACAAATTGGAGGAAACTGAGGCACAAGCGTTGAAGTGCCCCTTCCGGGTCACATACACGCTCATGTGCTCCCTCTCTCTCCCTTGCTCTCACTCTCTCCCTCTGTCACTCTCTCGCTGTCTCATAAGGGACTTTGTCACAGGAATAAGAACCCTGGGTTCCACCTACCCCACAGGAGCACAGTGGCAAGGTCCCATCTGATTCAAGGAAATTGGCTTTGTAGGGTTGTTATTGTGTGAAAAGGAGCAAGCCCTGTCCAAGGCAGATCTGGATGTTTGTGTAGTTCAGATCCATTTAGCTCCCTGGCCAGTGTTGATCTCTGCTGCTTTAAACCACATTAATCTCTGGGAGGGCAAACTGACCCATCACTATGGGAACCAGAGTGAGCCTGTGTCCTGGGTACTAGGTAAACACTGGAAGTCAGTACCTGGTAGACGCCATAGGCAGAAGCAAACTGGGGCCTTCCAAAAGCTGAAAATGATCAATAGATATGATTCTTGTGCATCCATATCCCAGGAAGGAGGGATTCTGTTTAGCTCTTTGAGCTAATTGTTAATTTTCAAATCTTGAAGACACTATTGAGCATGAAATGCAGATATTCAAATACCCCTTTCTCCTTGGTAGGAAATGGTACTAACAGTCTGCAGGATCATGGGAGTAAAAAGCGCAGTCTAAGCACATAGGCATTCATGGGGAGAGTATACGAAGTTAGAGGGTATAAAAGCTATGTGGATGGTTCAAAGATTAAGGTAAAGATGTGAAACCTAAAATCTCAATTCTCTAGAATGGGACATTTAGACTTCATGGGTAGAGGAGGACAAGAATCGGGAGTATGGGCAGTTAGACAAAATCAGAAAGAAGCGTAGAAGACTATGCAGAAACATTAAGAATGTAGTGGTGGAAATGTTACCTTTTTGGAAGATGGTATCATGCAGAAGGTTTGAATGCATTTCTCTGATCTTTAATTCTACCAAAAGTGTCACTCTGATGTAAGAAAATATTTAGGTTGAAAAGGTGAGGAACTGGCCACAGCTTTCCTAAATGTGGTTGACAACCTGTATCCAAGAGAACAGAATGAATTGGTCGATTTGCTGTGTCATGACATTTTAGGGATGTTTTTGGGATGTTTAAGGGATGTTTTTGAAGGGGATTTATAAGAGAGTAAATGAGACCCCTTAAACACAGAGATCTGAGGCATAAGAGCTGGTAATTTTAAAAGATACACAGCTGACTACAGAAGGAAAGAAGCAAGTCCCAGAATAGACATGTAGCATATTTCCATTTCTATAAAACCCCCAAACAGGCGAGACTAAACAATATTCTTAGGAGGAAACACATGGGTGATGAAACTGTAAAGAAAAGCAAGGGGCCGGGTGTGGTGGTTCATGTCTGTAGTCCCAACATTGGGAGGCCAAGGCAGGAGGATTGCTTGAGCCCTGGGAACATAGTGAGACCCTGTCTCTACAAAAAATTGTTTTAAATTAGCCTGGCACGGTGATGTGTGCCTGTTGTCCCAGCTACTCTGGAGGCTAAGGTGGGAGGATCGCTTGAGCCTAGGAAGTCAAGGCTGCAGTGAGCCATAATCATGCCACTGTACTCCAGCCTGAGCAACAGAGCAAGACCCTGTCTCAAAAATAAATAAAAGAATTAGCCAGGGATGGTGGCACACACCTGTAGTCCCAGCTATTCGGGAGGCTGAGGTAGGAGGGTAGGTTGAGCCCAGGAGGTTGAGGCTGCAGTGAAGCATGATTGTACCACTTGTACTTCATCCTGGGCATCAGAGTGAGACCCTATCTCAAAAAAGAAAGAAAAAGAAAAGAAAAACAAGATCATGATTACCAGGGAAGTCCAAATAGGGACTGAATGAGGATGGGGAGAGAGGTTGCAATTAAAGAGAGTTAAAGGGGTTTCAAAGGCCAGCAACCATGTTCTATCTGTCAAGGTGGGTCACAGCTAAAAGTGAGTCTTATTTGATCTTTAAAATGCATATGCATATTTTACATATTCTCATTCGTAGGTATATTTTACAATAAGGCAGGGAAGGGGAACAAGAACATGAAAGCATCCAAACTGTCATAGGCACTAGCATTTTAAATGATGACATGCTCTCCAAAAATTCGAACTTTAACAAAAAACTGAGCTTGTGCACTACCTCTGTGTATCATTCTTTTGCCACTAAAGTTTCGATTTTCCTGTTCTTTTGGCAGTATGATCTGTCTCAAGGACAAGAAGTGTGGTGACTGGTCCCATGGCCTATTTAGCTGGAAGAATGAAGCGTAGTCCCTATCCTCTTTCCAAGACCAAGGCCAAGATGGGGCTCAAGACCAGGGGGTTATCTACAGAACTGCTGGCCCACCTTCCACCTACCCTGGGGGACCTCCCTCTTGAAGGTTGGGATTCTTTTTTTTCTTTTTTTTTTTTGAGATGGAGTCGGGCTCTGTGGCCCAGACTGGAGTGCAGTGGCAAGATCTTAGCTCACTGCAGCCTCCGCCTCCCGGGTTCACGTGATTCTCCTGCCTCAGCCTCCCGAGTAGCTGGGATTACAGGCTCCCACCACTGCACCCGGCTGACTTTTGTGTTTTTAGTAGAGACGGGGTTTTGCCATGCTGGCCAGGCCGGTCTCAAACTCTTGACCTCAAGTGATCCGCCCGTCTCAGCCTCCCAAAGTGCTGGAATTACAGGCGTGAGCCACCGCGTCCGGCCGAAGGTTGGGATTCTTAAAGAGTAACCTAGCCCAGCCTCACTCTTTCAGCAAGCAGCTCTGAGTTGGGGGGTAAACTTTCTTCACTGCCACAACATTTGTGTTTTGCAACATGTTTTTAAACCATGTTTTATAACTAAGAAGATGCCAAACATTTCATTTGGCAGTTTGTATTATGAAAACCATAGTTATCTTTCCATTTTCACCTATAAAGTGATGTTATAAATTGAACCTTTTAAACTGTAGATGTGTGTGTTCTTTCTAGATTCTGGCATATTCTATAGGGGACATAGCACTCACTGTGCTGCCCTCCCCACCTGCCACCACTGGTTGAAAATAACAGCTTTCCTTGCTGCCATCACATACGTAAATGTAACTAACATTTATAGAGTGTTTTCTATAAGCCAAGAATGATAATAACTGATGTTCTTTTTAAAAACTTTTAAGTTCAGGGTATATGTGCAGGTTTGTTACATAGGTAAACTTGTGTCATGGGGGCTTATTGTACAGATTATTTCATCACCCAGGTATTAAGCTTGGTACTCATTAGTTATTTTTGCTGATCCTCTCCCTCCTCCCCACTCCCACAGGCCCCAGTGCATGTTGTTCCCCTCTATGTGTCCATGTATGCTCATCATTTAGCTCTCACTTACAAGTGAGAACATGTGGTATTTGGTTTTCTGTTCCTGTGTTAGTTTGCTAAGGATAATGGCCTCCAGCTCCATCCATGTCCCTGTAAAGGACATGATCTGGTTCTTTTTTATGGCTGCATATTATTCCATGGTGTGTATATACCACATTTTCTTTACCCAGTCTATCATTGATGGGCATTTAGGTTGATTCCACGTCTTTGTTATTGTGAACTTAGCTAATGTTCTTATGGCACTTACTATATACCTGTCATTTTTTAAAGCTCTTTACGTATGTTGATTAACTTAATCTTTGCAATAGTCCTGAGAGGTGGATATCCTGAGACACAGGGAGGTAGAATGACTTCTCCAACGTCACATAGTTAAGAAGTGGTAGAATTGGATTTGAACCAAGGCAGTTTCTGTTCCATTGTCCTAGTGTTCATCATTCTACAGTGCTGTCTCAGATAATATGTTAAATTTACATGGTGGTTTCATCTTTTCCACAACTTTTTTATTTCCCCATTTTATGGATAAGCACATTGAGGTTTGGAATTTCATGTGACACCGGGGTGAACAGCAGGGGGAGCCACAAAAGTGGCTTGGAGGTGGGACCAATGAAGATCCTGTCTGTTCACTGCCCCCACTAACGCCACCCTTTGTGAAATGAAAAGGCCTCCCTGTATCCCTCAGTCCCAGGGTGAGTGGCTCCTGCAACAGGAAGAAGGAGCAGGTCCTAGACCAAGAGCTCAAGCAAGCCTGTTCATGCATCGCTAATTGCTTAAACATCAGGGAAAGGGGTTTGTCGTCGTATGGGTTTTTTTTTTTTTGTGGGAAAGCTTTTCATACAATGCTGGCTGACTCCTGAGCCTTAAAGTAAACAACTACATCATCCTGTACAGAGGGAGTCAGGAAAAGGAAACTAAGAAAATATCAAACTCCTGCAGCTTTTTTTGAAATGTAAGTGGAGGAGGAAATGATGTTTGGAGGGCATTTGCTGGGGTCCTTGTACCAGAAGACTCCATGAATAATGATCCTCTTCCCAAGCTGTGTATCTGAGTAAATGTTTCCCACACTGTCCTTTCTTCTAAATACCCTCTCTGTGACGCAAGGTGAAAAACCCACCCGCAAAACATGGCTAGAAGATTCTGTAAACCCATTAGAAAGTTAAGCTATTTCCCACCAGGGAGTAATGAAAAGCCTCACTTGCAAAACTGCTGGGTGACTGAGCTGATCACTCCCTGAGATCCCCACATCCTGGGAGGGCAGCATCCTCACTGCTGTCTCCATAGTCTAAGAACATGGACAATATTCTAGGCATCCACCTTGAACATGGAGAAGACAGCACTGGAGAACCTTGCAGATATAGACACACTCAGAAAGACAGCAGACTTGTTGAAAAACAAGCTTATTTTCTCATCCATACAACAGATGTGAACCTCCTGTCTAACCCCCAGGTCCTTTAAACCCACATGGGGCACTCTGGAGTGCTTTCCTGCTTCCCTAGCTAAGTTTAAGTCTTTCCTGTCCTCCCAGAATACCCCAAGTAGTGGGGCGGTCCCAAATACCAACTTGGTAGTGGGGGTTAGAGAGAGGGAGAGACTGAAAGGACAGAAGACAAAATCATGAAAATCATGTGGCTGTTCCACCATGCCCCCCTCCCTGGGGATTCTGAAGTCCTGTCCCTCCTCCCTCTTGCTGTTACTTCTGAACAGCTATTGCATCTTTCAGGTGTGATTTGGGGATGCATAAGATCTAAAGCTGCTACCTTCAGGGTCTCTGAAATTAATGTCTCTTAGGATTGCTGCTATCATAATACTTCCCTGTAGCAACTTGTAATTATGTCCCAACGAAAAGGAATTATTCGCTTAAACGACTTTTCCCTTTTCCACCTTCTAACCCACCATTTGTTTCTCCTAGCCCTGTGTGATGTGGGATAGTCCCTGTATTCCTGCACCACAAACTCTAACATCCTTGCAGTCTTGGTCATCCACGGAATATTTCTTCTCCGTGAAGACAGTTTTCGTTACGTGTTTCCTTTTATGATTGGTGGGACCTTCTCTGGAGTGTCTTGCACGGTCCTGTATACATCATTTGTTACCTGGAGTGCATTCTATATTTAAACAACTCTGTCGTGAATGATGTACCATGCTCTATGTGAGTAGGGATGAATATTTAAATGGATTTCCCTTAAATACTACTTTGGATAGTAACTGAAGCAATGGATTAGAGTGGGATAGCCAATTAGATTTTTATTTGAAATAAATCACTTGGGAAAGGAGCTTTACAAATAAACGAAAAGAACTTGCCCACTTTTGTGACCGTATTTTGAGACTTTGAGCACCACTCATGCCCAGCAAAATAAAATGTCAATATCTCCTTGTTCCTTTGTTGGCTCTCAGCCTGCTGTCTTCGATCTCACTGCCCGCTTTCTGGAAACATTGGCATGTGAATTCCTGCCTGTTCCCTCTGCCTGAGATGCCCCAGCCATGCCCCTTGATTGTCCTGACCTCCCACTGATCATCTCACATCCCGCCTCTTCCACAAACCCTTCAGTTCATCCAAATCCCTGTAGCATTTATTAATTTTCCTTCTTTCTTGGCAGCCAGCATACATACCACGACTAGCTATTTAGATTTCTATGCACAAAAGTCTTATCTCCCAAAATCACTGTCAGTACCCAAAGGCAGACACACAGTCTTCTACCCCTTTACATTCTGCTCGTGTGTGTGTGTGTGTGTGTGTGTGTGTGTGTGTGTGTGTGTGTAGAAAAAACCCACTTACCCAGAGTAAAATGCTCATAAATGCTCATGCATCCTGTGGCAGTGATGGTAATGAAAGCCAGTGTGATTACACCCAGCAGGAGTCATTTCTGGAACTAAAATCGGCTGATTTAGCAGCTACCGTCAAGTTGCTAGTCCATCATGCTCCTCCTCTCAGCCCATGACTAGAGAATCCTGAATATCCCACATGCTCCTCACAGCCCCTACCAACTGGTCGCAATTTGCATGGGAGAGAATGCGAACTTATTTTTTTAACCTCTTCCCACCCACACAAACTCATCTCACAGCCTCTTAGCAATAGGGTATCTCATTTTGAACATTTACTTTTCAGACATTTATTTGGTTTTTTAAACTTCCAGCAAATATTAACAATGCCAGTGAATCCTGGTGTTCTCCTTTGCGCAGTGGAAATAATACTTCCCTTAGAAGACTGCCGCAAGAATTTAGTTAAAACATGTATGGCCTTTAGCACAGTGCCTGGCATGTAGCACACATACAACTTTTAAATTGCTTTACAAAGTCCTTTGTCCATGATCTTACTTTATCTTCATGGTGCTTTTGCGACAGGCAGGGTCCTGGGATATCTTTCTTTGACAGATGAGGAAATAGGCACAAACGATGAGCTGGGACTGGAACTGAGATCTTTCCAGAACCACGCCTGTGCCCTTCCTGTTCCTGACAATGTTCATTTTAAGGAGGGGAGAGAGGACAGCATTTGTCTATGGAATGAGCCCTGGCACCCAGCTTCCGCCTGGGAAAACCGCCATCCCTCTCTTAAAATGGGCACGGGTTTGCTGGCAGGACTTGCCCTTAATTATGGTCAGGCCACCTCTTTACCCCCAGCCTTCCAAAACCTTCCCGCTGGTTGTCCCCAGTTGTACAGTTTGTTAAAGTCTACCGTGTTTTTTTTCTTGCATCTCAGTCATCTCCAAAAGTTCCAGGATGACTTGGGAGTTTTTATTGGCTAGGCTGAAAAAATGCCCAGGCAACAATGGTGTGTTGATGCTTGGAGTCAGGCTGGCTAGAGCAAGAAGTGATTTATGTAACTCTAGAAGGTCCTAATCAGGAAGCTGAGAGAAAGGGATGAAGCATGTTAATCCTCTCCATAATTTTCTCTTAAGAATGACTTTAGTTAGTCATGGGTAAAGTTTATCTTCCAAGGTGTGTGCTTTTGGGATATCGAAAGATTTCATGTTTCCCAGCTGAGACTTCCACATCTGCAGGCTGCCAGTGTTTTCAACTGTGAGAAAAGAGCTCTCTTTCCCAAAAATTCATCATGGACTGGAAACACGGAGGTATAAGTTGAAGTAGCCGTCAGTGGTGCTTCTAAAGGTCAGGGTTTCATGTATAGAACTGGAGCCATCCAGTTGGAGGAGAAGCCCGTTCTCACCTGTAATCAGATGAAAAATGTAGAAGCATGAGTTGGATGGCCTCCACTTATGACGCAATGACAAGAAGTCAACATGTAGTATTTACAAAGATCAGTCATTTCTGGGAGGATTAGAGAGGAGAAAAGGTGAACCAAACATCACTTATGGACTTAGTCATATCATTTTCACTGATGGTGATGACAGCACGTCAACACATCATCATTTGGTGAGAGAGGTCTGGTAGCCGTTGCTCATCATCTTCCTCACTGGGCGTGGTGGTGGGAAGTCCCACCACAGTGGGTGGTTTCCTTGGCATTCATAGCAGAACCCCACACCCTGTCTTCTGATGGCCCTTGGACATGGATCTTGCTGTCTCAGTTGACTATTGCATTGTCCCTCATGGCAGGGTTCTTAAACATTAGTGTTTTTGGATCTCCCAGGGAGCCGGTTAATTGGCAAATTGTAGGTCCCACCCCTTGAGATACAGATTCAATAGGGCTTGGGGATCTGCATTTTAAAATGCAAGGTGGTTATTGGCCACGCTTTGAGAAATACTGCCTGATAGTGGCATAGACACCTACTGTTGGAGAGAGTTGACTTTAGAATCAATCAGCAAATGACTGCCCAAGGCACTGTCCTAAATCTGACTGGATTTGAAAAAGATCTGTAAGCTATGAGCCTTATCCTCAAAAGTGTACGTATGAAATGAGGTAAGCAGTGCAGGATTCGATAGAATCAGATGCCGGGCTGCTGGAGGAGTTCCTAGAAGAATGGAGAGTCAGGGCAACTGGGCATGGGAGGTGGCATTTCACCTGAGCCTGGAGGACTGTAGGATTTGCACTGATGACTCAGAGGGGAAAGAGCATTTCTGATGAGAGGAACAAATTGAGGGGTCACCAGTGTGAGGACAACCTTGAGCTTGGGATTTCAGTCTGAAAGCCTATGTTTCAGTTTAGAGAAAGCCGTAGGCTTTCTAATGTACCTAAAACAGGCACCAAGTCTAGGCAGATGGCCCCAGCCCACTGACAGTGGGTAAGGACATAGCCTTAAGCCATGCTGGAGATGACAACACTCTAGGCTTTTAGAAATTTGGCTCTGAAATAAAGGATGTCTTGGGGCATCCCAAGAGCCAAGACTGCGGTCTGTGAGAGTCCAAACCTGAGTACTTATACCTCAATGTTACTTGTAAAGTAGTTACAGATTTTCCAAGCACTCACTTCCATGTTATCCTTAGATAGGGGCTGTCACCTACCCCATAGGGTTGTAGGGAGGATTAAATGAAATAAATTGGGTAAAGCACTTACCCAACAGCACCAGGCCCATAGCAAGCATTTAATAAATGATAGTGGTGATTAGGGCTCTTCCCCCTACTTTCGTAAGGAGGGGGCTGTGTGCCCGTGTTTGCATATTTGGTATTGTATTCTTCCTTGGTCGGAGTATCTTCCATTCCAACTCCTAATTTTGAAAACATTGCATATAGATCTCTAGCCACCAATCCTTCAAACCTCAAGCAACACCAGAATTGGCTGCTTCCTTCCGAAGATCCTCCCTCCCACATCTAAGGACACCACAGTAACTCAGTCTCTGTCAGCTTCCCCTCCTGTAGCCTTGGGAGCACGCCGAGGCCATGGGCTTAGGAGAGGCAACCTAGCATGCTGGACAGAACCCAGGGCGGGGATCCTGTCTGGGCTCTGCTGCCCAACCACAGGGAGTCCTTTGGCAAATCAACTGCTCTGACCTCCTTTGGAGGCTTGTTGGGAAGATTAGAGATATTATTTCTGGCATAGTGCCATGCACGTATCAGAGGCCAAACAGTAGCCAGATTCATTACTGATGGTATGTTCTGAGGTTTGCACCTTTGCAAACCATTCTGAGACTGCTAGCTTGTTGGCATGCACTGCCTACACCTTAGAGTGATAGCCCTACTATGTGTGGTCTCTGTACATCTTGGTTCTGGGAAGGGGCTACAAATCTGGATTAGACCCAAAGAGTCCCTTCTCGAAAGCAGCCTGTGACCACATGGGTTGTACCTCTGAAGCTGAAGGTCTCACCCTTCCTCTTCCTTCAGACAGGGTCTCCTTTGCTCTGGCTCAGCAAAATCAGAATGACCCTTGATGTCAGGGCTTTCAAGCAGAGCACATTCCCAGCTTCCATCGTCCAGGTGTCCCCATACACCACAGGCCTGCCCATAGCTCATGACACCACACTTCAGGATTTCTTTGATACCTCTAGAGAAACATCAGAATTTTTGAAGCTGGCCTGAAAGGCCAGAGCCTTCTCTGTAGCCTGAAGGATCTGAACTCCTTTCTCATAGAGAAAACAAGGTCCAGGTCTCCTGTGTGAGCAAGAAGCACAAAAGGCCAGGGCTTTGCTTGACTAGACCATACCCCAGGGCAGGCTCTTTTGTGCAGATGCTAACTTGAAACAGGACACTTTGTCCTTCCCAGTCCCTGCCTGCTCCATCCCCACCTCATAACTCCCCTCTTTAGTCCAGGGGGTGCCCTCCCAGACTTAGGGAAGGAGTGTGTGAAATGAAAAACCATTAGAGGTCTCAGCTCAAGGAGGGAATAATATTGTTGTTCGTAAATGTCTGCTGAACATTTGTCATGTATTTGGCATATGCCATATATGTGCGTGTGTATATAGTAGATGGTAAGGTAAATATAAATTACTATATATGGTGTATATGGCACGTTATATATAGTAAGTGTATATACATAAACATAGCCTAACACCATGGAGGCAAACAAGTTATAACAGATATGCATTAATTTAACATCTGTTTATCTTATACCTGCTACATGCAAGGCACAGTCCTAAGTCCTTGAGATCCAGCAGAGAACAAAAGAGCTGGAAACCTGTCCTCATAGAGCTTCAAGTAGTGGCAGAAAGGCAATAACGGATTAAAAAATCCCTGATGTCAGGTGGTGATAACAAATGAGACTGCAAAGCAGGGGAAGGTGGAAGTGCTAGGGAAAAGGTGTTTGTTTGTTGTAATCCAGGGTGGTCTCTGATGAATTACAGTAACATTTAAGCAGAACATGAAAGAAGTGGAGGAGCCGGCCACTCATATGCCTGGGGGAGGAGTGTCCCTGGCAGATCGAGTGGCCCGTGCAAAAGTCCTGTGGCAGGAGTGTGTCTGGGACTTCTAAGGAGCAGTGATGCTCTGCTCATGGTTGGAGACAGAGGGAGTTAAGGGGAAAGTGGGATGAGGTGGGGTCAGAGCGAGAGCAGGCACTCACCTGACCATTCTAGAAAAGAAAGAATAACTAGGCCGGTGTGTGGTGGCTCATGCCTGTAATGCCAGCACTTTGGGAGGCTGAGGCAGGAGGATTGCATGAGGCCAGGAGTTCAAGAACACCCTGGGCCATATAGTGAGACCCCTATTTCCACACACACACAAAATTAATTAAAAAACATTAGCCAGGTATGGTGGTACATACCTGTGGTCCCAGCTACTTGAGAGGCTGAGGTGGGAGGGTCACTAGAGCCCAGGAGGTGGGGACTGCAGTGAGCCATGATCGCGCCACTGCACTCCAGCCTGGGCTACAGAGCAAGACCTTGTCTCAAAAATAAGCTTGGGTATCTGGACAAGGCAGGACATGGCAAGCACACACTAAGGAGCACAGAGCATCCATCTCAAAACTCTCAGAGGGGAGGGAGTGTCCTCTCTGGGCTGGGGTGGTCAAGGAAGGCCTCTTGCAAGAGGTAGGACTTGAGCTGATGAGAAGGACACTGCAAGCCCGGCGGACACTTGAGATGTTCCTGGTGGGAGAAAGGTGAACAAACCTCAGTGGAGAGTTTGTGTAGGGGCCTAGTGGAAGATAATGCAGAAGAGAGATGTCGGGGCTATGTGTAGAGGGCCTCAAGTGACAGAGAAAGTTGTAAAACCAGTGGAAGCCTGGCTGTCCCCCATCCTCTTCTCCCAGTCAGCTACCTTGGCCCAGGCCCTGGTAGATGCTGACTCTCAGAAGCTCCCAGCAGCTGCCAGGACGGACCCTCCTCCTCGCCTGCCTTCCCACAGCTGGCGTCCAGGACACTTGGGTTCAGCCCCTTCATTTGCTGACTCAGATTTTCCTGTACCCATTCCAGTGATGACTATCACTCTGCCAGGGCCCCCTCCCAGCCACAGACACCCTCCCCAGACATAAGTCTCTGCGGTCTGCAGGAATTCTCTTTCCGCCTTTCTGGAACCACTGGAATCCCACAGACTGGGGTGGACAGCTATTCTTATGAAAAGTGTGGCTCCATTTCTGGACTAAACAGGCGTACTGGCGCTGAAGATAAGGATCCCAAACTCCAAGTCAGGCCTATCTGCAAGCAAAGTCTCAGCCTCGCTCACCTCTTCCCTTCTTCCATCAGTCATTAGCCCTGTGTGAGAAAGCAGGGGTGCATTGTTACCATATGACATGGCAAAAAGGGATTACCTGCTAATGCCATTTGGTTTAGTGATGCCTTGTTACATAAACTACTCTGGAGGAGTTCAAATATCCCTCAGGCGAACGCTTCCATCCCCAGGTTGGTAACACTATAGCTGAGTATTGTTTTATTTGCCATTTTTCAAAAGAGGGAGAAACATACCCAAGCCATTATCCAGCCTACCAATAATACATTTCAAGAAAACAACCGCAACTCCCAATCCTTTCTTCTGAGGGCAGGATGTTGTAGGGCTATTGTTCCTTCTCAGGCCACTCTTCAACCTACAGAAACTGGTCTGGGCTACAGTCAGATTACAGGGGGTATCAGGAGGCCTTTGAGAGTCAGGAAGAAAGTCTTACAGACAGAAGCCCAGCTCTAGCAAAGAGGGAAAGATCACTGCCTTTGAAGCTGGATACATATGTGGCCTTTAATTTGAGTGCTGGTTGGTTGTCGTTGGGCAAATGACTGAAACTCCTTGATGCTTATTTTCTTTATCTTAAAAACATAAAAAATAAATGAGGATAAGATGATGATGACCATCATAGGGTTGTTTTAACGCTGGGATGCAGTGATGTGTGTGCAAGCTCCTGGCACAGCAACTTAATACCAGTCTCCTCTGTCCTGTCTTGCATCTGCTGAGGATGAAGAAGGAGAGCAGTTGAGTGTGGCCCTGCCTGGCTGGGGGCCCTTCCTCTATAGTTATCTTCTTTATAAGCCATTTATAGTCTTGGTATAATTTTAAGGAAAAAAAATCAAGGCGCTACTTTGCATTTAAAATTCATTTTTGAAACATACTGGCAGCAAACGCCACACTATTGCAGTTAGGGAAGACAGGAGAGCAAATGTCAGGTCTTGGCAAAGTGGGGTGGGGAATTTTTTGAGTGTGACATTTGAATAAAGAAATCTAAACTAGGAAAAAAAAAAGTTTTCCCCGATCTTATCATGGTACAATGAAGAGTTGTATAAAAACTGTTTGTCCCTGCTGCATGTTTACTTACCCATGGGCAGGATATCTCACGGGCCAAAAGTTCAAACTACTGCTAGCTCCCAAGCAATGTGTGAACTTAAAATGAACTGGCTTCAGAAGAGGCTCGAAAAATGATTTGATCCACAAAGGTTCTCACCTCCCAAATGTTCTACCAATACTTGTCATGGTCTTTGGTGTAGTATTAAATATATACAATGATGGAATTAAGGCATAGTAACAACTTCACACACACACACACACACACACACACACACACACACACACACACACACACATTTTCCAGATATTTCCTTGCGAATGACCATCTTATTCCATTACATCAAGCATCTAGGCTTAGCCATGCTTTATAATGATAAAACGGAGCTCTTCTACCAACTCCAAACAGAGGAATGACAGAAGATTTAGCATGTTTTTCTTAATGTTGATTGAGTTTTCCTACTTATTGCTGTAGCAACTATGAACATCTTCAGGTTGGGAATCAGACCTTACCAATAAACATTTGAAGCGCCAATATAGTTCCTGGCTGAAAATGTCTTTTAGATGTAATTTATCTAGTTCCTTAGGTATCTGAGATACTGTTAAAATGCAATTTAGCGTGGTAGTAAGAATACGGCTTTAATGGCTAACGTAGTTGAGACCCCACCTCTGCTCAAACTAGCTGGGCAATTTTGGTCAATCTACTTCTCTGTGTTTCGGATTCTTGATCTGCAAAATAAGATAATAGTAATGAATAGACTAATTTTCAGGATTAAATGAGTGGATGCAATGTTAAGTCCTTTACATGACACACATGATTTGCTATGCTTTTAATTATGATTCTCTTCAGGTTTACCATCTCTTGCTCACCTGCTTCCCACCCAGTTTCTCTGTCTCTCTCACATCTTCCTCCAGTGAGAGCATTCGTTCCAGGGAGCTTGGAAGCCAGCTGTCAGTTCTCTGCCATAATCTTTTCACAATGGCATTTGACCCATTGGGGTTTCAGATCTCCATATGTATATTCCAAAACATTATTGCTCAATGAGCCTCCACTGAGGCCTGTTCTTCTAACCCTACTGACCATGATTTTTTAGCTGTATTCGTGGGGTTTTTTTGTTGTTGTTTTTTTGTTTGTTTGTTTTAGTAGAGGGGGAGGGGAGAGGGAAGGGAAGAGGGAGTCTGGTTCATGTTATTAAAAAAAAAATTAAATTTTGCTCCCAGGGTCTAAGTTAGATCTTTGGGTTGGCTCAGCCTTCCTCTTCCAGAAGCCTACTCTGGCTAATGTCCTCTAAAGTGTTTTTCCTGTTGTTTATTCCAGAAATAGTTCAGGATGACGATATTGACATTTGGGCTAAGGCATATACGAGGCTCTTCAATTAGACACAGGCTCAGCCTCTCATTTGCTCAGTGGCTCATATTCTCCACTGATCCAGGAGGGGGATATTTGGGTTCACACCACAGTCTGCCCTCAGTGGGGTTATTTGTGGGTCTCCGCACCATCCTAGATTTATTTCTCTGCTACTGGGATGGATTGTGGTTGTGCTTGTGGGCTGCCATGCTTGCAAGCCTGTGCTGTTTCTGGAGTTGCCATTTTTACCTACTGAGGGGAGGACATTTAATTTGAGTAAATATGTTAGAAAACTTGTTTCACAACCTGGTCAACACACCCATTAACCATGGCTGGAAGTTTCCTGAAGGCAGGGCCTGTTTGCCTCTCTGAATACACACAGTGTTTAGACACAGAACTGAACACAATGTCTGGCTCTCATGGTAGGTGCCTAGGGGATGTTAACTAAATTGAACTGAACTAGGCCTCAAAGGATGAGTAGGATTTTAGCTGGTAGAGCTGGAGAGCTAGGGGCATTCCAGGGAGAGGATCCACACAAAAGAGGAGACGAGTGGAAAGCAGGAATTGTGAAGGGTGAACAGCAATTAGACCGTAATCTGGTTACACTGGAGGGTACTTGGAGGACAGACAGATGGCAGAGCACCGTGAATACCTTAGGATAGTGTTGTCTACCTTGGCTTCAGCTTAGGATCACCTGGACTCCTTTAAAAACATACTACCTCCTGGCTCACCCCAGTTCAACTGAAATTGAATCTTCATGGTGGGGCCTGGGGGAGCACTCTGGGGAAGGGTTGAGAGCCACTGTCTAGGACTTCCAGGGACACTTAACAGGATGTAGGGAGAGCCCCACACCAGAAGACCTCTTGTACTGTAGATTGCTAACAATCTTGAGAAAATGGCAAAATCTGCCTTTAAGTCTTCTGAGCTAGAGTTTAGAATTTTAGAGTAAAACTAGAAAGAATTGGGTAATGATGGAAAGAGATCTGTTTATGACACAGAGTTAACAGACAGGACTAGTAACAATCTGAGCAGGCAGTGCTAAAGACTTACTAAGATTTCATCTCCCTCCCTTTCCCTTAATTCTAACTAACCTTTGTACTCTGAAAATCGCTGATTTCCAAAAAGCTGGCAAACTGACGAATCTCAGTTTTAAATGTAGTTCGGACTTTACCCTCTATCTAGGTCACAGCTAAAGCTGCCATATGTACCAGGAATGAGAACTTTGTAAGTTAATCAGGGCACGGTTTATATTTCCAGCATTCAAAATAAATCATTCCGTTTGCCTGTCATATTCTGACTTTTTGAAAATCATTTCTATCTGTGAGTAGGTGGCACGAGGTATTCATTTCATAAGTAGGTTTGGATTCGGCAGGTCTTCAAGTTCACAGCAGGGATGCAGTCTCCAGTTTTTCTCATATTTGTACCAGTTGTTAAGCCATAGGTTTTAAACTAACAAATGATTACCCTTGATCTTAAGAGTACTGGGTATACCCAAGTCCAAAATCAGAATTTTAAAGCAATATTAAAACAAAACAAAATCCCTTTTCATGTAATGATTGGCTCATTGGTTTTTCCTTCCATAAGTCAATATCTGATGCTTTGATTTTCTTAAGTCATGTATATTTATAGAGCCACATACACCTGTTAGACACACATTGAGTTTTCAAGAGAGAAAAACACACTTGCATATGTTTCCCTGCCCTAACTCAGTTCACATCCAGACTGGCTTCTAGAAGAAAGGAAATTTATAGTGTGGAAAGTTGCAGCATTTGCAGGAACTATGGGAATCTCAGCACATAGTCTTAGATAAATTTTACAAGTATTGGCCCAAGTAACCCACAAGGCAGTGATCTGGATCTGTTTACCAAGTTAACTGCCAAGTCACAAATAATAGCTTTTTCCCTTAACTTGGAATGAACAACATAGTACTGAAGTGTTTCCTTGTGAATACCTCTCCATATGCGTCATGACAAAATACTGTATAGATCAGTTTACATTAGATTGTTTAATTAAATTTAAAATTCTTTAAGCTGGAGGAATTTGCCCTAAAACTGTTCTGCACGGCCAACAATTTGATGTTGAAAAAACCAGCCTCCATGTTAACATGTCGGCTTGAATACTCTTATTTTCCACACTGGAAACTTACCATGAGCAATTCTTTTCAGAGGTTAGCTTTTAGTTATCAAAATGGGTGATGTCTATATCAAAGATTGTAATATAATTTGAGGTGGCAGTCCCCCTTCCAGGAATCCCATTTTATGGTTTGATTGTGTTTCTCAATATATGATCTGTAGCTGAACTCCAAATACTGACTACTGGGATTACCAGCCAAGTTAATATTAACATTATTGAAAAGAGTCGGTTAATGTGAAAAGGAAAAGTCAAAGGTGTTAAATTAGCAGTTTGTTAGGGAGCAGTACTTGCTGGTCTTTGGAGTGTGTGAATTTCATCAATTCTTCTGGCTGAGACAGGGAGTAACATCCACAGCTGACACACAGTCTGTCTGGGTGAGTTCTCCCCTCCTGTTCACTCTTTCCCCCAGCGTCCTAGTCTCAGAATGTTGCCACTTTTTATTCTTGTTGAACAGGTGAGGAAAGTAGTTTCTCCTGTTTGCTTATTGCCTGGGTCAGTTGGAGTTTTTCACAAGGAGCATTGGTAAGAAAAGAAAACAAACAAAAGTAAACAGGAGAGGTTAGAGTCCAAGATTCTGTTCCGAATTTCAATCAGGACTAGCCACAGGGTAAATTGGCCAGCAGGGCTTAAGAGGTACTTGCGCCAGCCTGCAGTTCTCTCTCTTTGCCTCTGGAAAAGCATGGCCGAGACCTGCTTTTAAAGCCCATCAGATAAACCCCTCTTGGTCCTTCTACTTAATTTCAACTAATGGCATGAGCCCTGAGTGGTATTCTCTTAAGTAACTAATGGGAGAAGAAATGTCTCCCTGGAGGCTTCTTCCATGTTACAAAACACCAGAGGCGAAGGGTGGGTGCACACTCTCAAAAGCTCAGCTAGAGACCCCCACCTAGTTCTTCCTGGCTAATCAGGAATGGTAACTCCAGCCTGACTGTGGGCTTCTTCCCAGCATCCTTGTTCACAGGCACCTCCCTGGTCAGGGTTTTGATTGCCACGCAATGTTCTTGTTTGGTGTAGCATTTTTACTAGAAGAAGAAAGTTTCAGAAACCACATTGGCCTCTGTGTAGCTCCCGTCTTTCTAAACCCTTCTAGAATTGTGGTAGTTTCCTGAGGGACCCTCTTTGTTTTGTTTTGTAACTTCATTCTACACTCACAAGGCAACTTCCCATCCAAATTAAACATTTGAAGTGGGAAAACTTTGTAGGGCCTTCAGAAAAACAGTTTTTTTTTTTCAAGGTGTTCTGTAAATATGGGATTATTACCGATCCTTGTGCCAAAGTCATGTTAAATAAAACAGTTTCAGATATGTACTTCTGACCCAAAGCCCTCTTTCATCACAATTAGGTCCTTAATCTGTTCTAGGAGTATTGCCATAATATTATCACTCTAATTACAGCCCCTAAAAATGTGAAATATGTTATATAACTCAGAGCTCGTTTGGACTTCTTACAGTCATGCTTATATGGCAAGACAAACAACTTTCATTCCAGCAGTGAAGGGGAAGAGTCACACATACAGTAACTATTTCAATTTTTTTTAAGTAACATTTGAAATACCCATTGATATCTTTTTAATATATTATGTTACAAATGTTTTAACTTACAAGAGCAGTATTATAGTATACCCCTAGAGATAAGGCCATTGTTGCCTATAAGGTATTATGGTAAGTAATAGAAACATCCACCAAGCTTCTTCATTAGCAGCAAAAATGAGTTCTTGGTTGTGTGTTTGGGCAGTGGGGATGTGGTAGAGGTGGAAGGGGAGATGGAGCAGGGTTTTAGGCAACTGAGATGATGTATCAGAGAAAGTAAGGTGAAAAGGGGGTTTCTGTTACTTCTGATTTTTCCCCTAGATTTCCCTTATGGAACTCCAGATGCAAGGAATCAGAAAGGAGTTTCTCTTCATCCATGAATCATTATAATGTATCAATTTGTTCTGAAAACATGAGTGTTTCTGTGATTGAAATAGTGGCTGATTGTTTAGGAGTCTCCTATTTATTTTTGTGGCAACCATCTCAAAGCGGATGCCGAATTCTGAATGGGGAAGATCTTTCTGCATAGGAGAGTCATGAGTATCTGGCCCACTGGCTGGGGTGTCCTGAGCATAGCAATAATGAGTGACATCATGCTCTCTGTCCTTGTTAGGATTTCATGCCAACCACCTTGGATGGGAGGCCAAGATACATTTCTAATCCTGGTCACCAACTATGCAAATTCAATTCAATTCTGTATTGTAAAAGTACGCACTGGGGACTGTGTTCAAACCCTGGTTTAGAGAACTAAGAAGATTACAAGAGAAGAGTAACTTGGTGCTTAGTGGGTACAGAATGTTTGTTGAATGAATGAATGAATGAAAAAGTCTGGGCTTGGCCCTTACATTCTTATTTAGTAAGGAAGATCTAGCTATGTGAAATAATTAAAGAGTGCCTTAAGTCCCAGTGATCTGTTAGAGAAAGGAGATATCAATATTGGCTTAGGGTAATCAGGGCAGGAATTAGTGAGAAGACTAGCAAAGGCCTTATGCTGAGCTCATCTGGTGCTTTGGGGGCTTTGATTCAAGTATGAGCACTTAATTTTTGGCTGGGGACATTCATGTAATAAATACGCTTGTATTTAACTGTGATGTGGTCCCATTTTTGCACTGTGCTCAGATTTCTCTCTTCACCATCTTGCTCTTGAGTTGAGAGAGTTGCTAACTTAGCATGCTGTTATTAAATTTAGGATTTATGTCTTTTAGCATTTTAAATGCAAAGTCCTGTAGAAACCTGGAATGCTCAATAGCTCCTAATAACAGTAGGAATGCTGTGAGGTCACCACACACGAAGCTTTAATTTATGCTAATTTAATTAAAGGTAGTTGGCAAATAAATAAATTAGGGAAAGTGCACTGAGTTCCTCTTAGCTCTGGATGAGCCCAGTATTGGAGCTGTGGATCCACTCTGTGCCCAGGGGCCCTCAGCTCCGCTCTGCCTCTCCAAGCAGGAGAATCTGTCACAGGGAAGGCTTCACTCCACGTGGTGTGTGATTCTAGTGTATGTTACATGTTTGTATCTTCTTATTCTATATACTTCGTTATGTATAGTATATGTTCTCATATTTTATTTTACAGAGCAGTATACATAAAACCATATATGCTATATTCTACAGGTGAGTTAAAGAGCATTTTTTAAGCTCCGGGTTGTGTTCAATTAGTGGATCACAAAATTCATGTAGTGTGTCTCCATGGGCATTTTTACTTTAATGAAACAGAGTAGGGTAGACAACCTAGGGTATACCACATATAGCAAAAATAGGAATTCCATTGGGGAACATTTAATTTGAGTTACTTATGTGTATGTACACATATATAGTATTTACATACATACATACACCCTCATGTGTGAATAAGTTGGCCATGTATGTGTCTACATGTTTATTGACTGGGTCATCAGTACTGCATGTTGTGGTTAAAAATAAAACACTGATTTAAGGGCTGTTAAAGCAATTTTGACCGTCCTCTTTGACATATACAGAATTTTGCCTGACTTATTTATCCCTCAGTCCTACCTAAGACAGGCTAGCGCCAGGTTCATGGGTTGGTGGAGATGTTTAGGCTAGTAATATTGCAGGAGCTTCTCAGGCTCCAGTCAGTAGGATCTGCATGTTGTTTTGTTTCTTCTCTCTCCTCCCTCTGGTATCAAGGGATATCCACTGTGCTATGGAAAATGAAGCATATGGCTGGGCATGGTCACTCTCGCCTGTAATCCCAGCACTTTGGGAGGCTGAAGCGGGATGATCACTTGGGGTCAGGAGTTCGCAACCAGCCTGGCCAACATGGTGAAGCCCTGTCTTCACTAAAAATACAGAAATTAGCTGGGCATGGTGGCACATGCCTGTAATCCCAGCTGCTTGGGAGGCTGAGGCACAAGAATCATTTCAGCCTGGGAGGCAGTTGTTGTTGCAGTGAGCCGAGATCATACCACTGCACTCCAGCCCAGAGCAGAACTCTGTCTCAAATAAAAAAAAAAGAAGAAGAAAGAAAATGAAATTGAAGCATGTTAGGCTGTAGGTCTTAACTTACAGTGTGGGGCCCTGGTAGAGGGAACTGAGTCAGCAGGTGAGAGATCAAAACAGCATCTCCTGGGGGACAAAGACAATGGCTGGAAGGAGGCCTGAGTCACAGACATCCTCAGCTGTCATGGGAAGATGGTATCTGATGGTAAATGAAATAACTCCCTTTCTTCCAGAGAGGCCAGTGCCCCTGCTTACCCAGTGGGATGGCTGGGATTCATTTCTGGTGGCAGTACTGGATGAGAACCATAAGAGCAGACCTGTTTCCTAACAGATCAGCTGCCATCCTTTGTTCAGAGTAAATCAGCTGCTCCAAGTTGGCTGAGCAGCCAGCCTCCTGTCTCCACCAGACTCAGCATGCTCTAGCCGTTGGATATAGGCTCTGGGGCCTGCCCTACCTCTAGGGCTAGAGATCATTTCCCCCAACAATATGCAGTGACACCTAGCTCCACATGACAGTGTTTCTCAATGGCCCTCAGAACCATTGCTTCTCAACAAAATCACCTCCTGAAGTTGAATCTCTGGGCTGAGGCCCAGGTGATTTTAATAAACCTTGTAGGGGCTGCTTCTGCATGTTCAAGTTTGAGAGTCTCCACTTTGGGGTTTCCTCGATGTACACGTCACATTGAAAAATGGAAAAATTTAAGCATGTGGCATTTTTCTAATTAAGACACGTTAAGATGGCTTAATTTTGGGTTCTTCCTGGTAAGAGTTTACATAGCTGGTTGAAACTTTAAAAGTCAGTGGGGGAGGCGGAGTGTCAACTGTGTAGCTACAGCAGCAACATGATAGCGCTGCCCTTAGGGTCTACACATGGGCAAGACCCCTTCAGGAATCCTCTTGAAAATACCATCTTATAAGCAAGAACTTAGAGCACTTTAATAGCCAGGGTTCCCTTGGATGGGATTCAAGACGGACTTCACATTCTCTGTTTATTTCCAGTGTAGTCATTGAGTGATCATTGGTAGGACAGCCCTATTTCCACTTTCATCTACCAGTTCACAGGCAGCTCTTAAAATCTCATCATGCACAGGAGGACACTGGGCTTTCCTCAACTTAGTGGGGAAGGCCATGATCAGCCTGCTCTCTGTCCCTTCTCCTGAAGTGAATTCTTTTTAGGTCAGGAGAGGTGTATCTGATATTCGAGAAATGATTGAGGCAGGAATCCAATGGCATCTTGTTCCTGGAGACCCAGCCTTCCTGGCCATTTTTATCCCTACTTAGAGAAGTTTTGAGGCACAGGATTAAGAGCAGGCTGGGCCAGGTGAGTCAAAGGCTTTCATTGAACTGCCCTCCTTGTCTGATACCTCCTTGCTAAACTCATTAGAAAAAGAGTACAGGAAATCTCATCTCCAGTTGGCCAAGGGA
The DNA here is from genome assembly GCF_000001405.40 of Homo sapiens. Classification (NCBI taxonomy): domain Eukaryota; kingdom Metazoa; phylum Chordata; class Mammalia; order Primates; family Hominidae; genus Homo; species Homo sapiens. The sequence goes on from NC_000002.12 coordinate 46,047,300, forward strand.
ACCCGAGGAACTTGAATGGACAAGATCCCGTTAAGGGCTGATAAACACAACTGATGCCTGGTGATGAAAGTCTTCTTTTATACAGCAATGAAGACAGGTGGCTGGAACAAGAGACAGAAAAAACACATCGTGGAAGACATTGTTCTGGGAGGTGATTGTACCCTCTGCCCTCCCAGCAGGCTGTGAGCTCGCAGTGCTGTGTGGTCAGTGGAAGGAGGCCTTTACTTGGCACATCCTGTGTAACTTGAGGAGTTGGAGATCACGGTAAAACTCAAACCTATTAGTTACATGTTAGGTATTGAATGTTTGAAAAGCTGCATTTCAAAACACTGAATTTGATCAGGACACACTCTGGACAATGTCATTTGTTGAAAGCTTCAAATCAAAGTGGTTCCCATTTCCCCTCCCCTTATTTACTTAACTCATTTATTTTTTAGTAAGAATGCTACATAACTCAAAAGTGAATACTTGGAAAAAAGATTTTTTCAATAGGGAGGATATCTTGGCTTAAAATAAATACCATCAAAGCATTTCCACTGCTTACTAACCTTTGACTTGCATACAGGAAGTTTTCTGTCAAGTACCAGAAAATCCTGGAAAATTGAATTTGGTTTTAAAATGCAATTCTCCCTTGGCTTTAGAAGGACCAGCTGGGTAGCTCATTAAATGTAAAAAGTACTTTGAAAATTGGAAGACTAACTCACATATTAATTATCATCAATAGTTATCAAACCAGTGTATTTTAATTTAACTCACCTACTTCTAAACAGCGTGTCAAGGACTCCACAAATGAGCCTGCCTGCCACCCCTCCCACCCCCTGCCCCTTCCATAGTAAGGTTTAGTGACTTGCTTATGGGCACTTAGGGGAAAAGGAGAACTAAGTTCTGTTTTCTGTTCTTTCTCTGACTAGCCATAGGACCTTAGGGCAGGTACATGATCTCTTTGAGCCTTATTTTCCTTATCTGTGACATGGAGACAGTACTCCCTCCCAGCTTCATTCTCAGAACTGTCCTGAGGCTTCAGCTACAGCCTATTGAAAAGTCTCAAGGGTATTAACAAAATGGAAATGTCCTATCTTCATGTTCTTTTGTATTCCAGCCCCCATCAATTTCCCATGTCCAGAGATTCTTTACAGCCAACAGGGATCCATATGGGGTTCACTGGGCTCAATGTCCCACCAGAGCCCCTCTGCCAGTGCCTCCTACCGAGCAGATGACTTTCTAAGCAAGGTGCTCGGGTCTTGTCACCGAGGGGTGGACGTGCCCAGTGTCGGGGTCTGTCCAGTGGTCCTTGATTCCCCTTTGTCCACGCACTTGGCCTTTCTCCAGGGGGAGACGGATGATAGCTGGAAGTGATCTACTCTGCTTATGGGTTCTGGCCAGTTCTCTCTCTGTTTAGGGGTGAACCAGTGTCTGACAGGTGAACTTTTCCTTAGGGTAGGAAATACATTGGCCTTTAAATGCAAAAGGACACCAGGTCATTGAGCTCAGAACCTTCACCAGCTCTGGAAATATTGTTCCTCTTGCAGGACTCAACTCAGTGTGACTCTTGCCCTCCTCCTTTCTCCTTCCCAGACAGAATGCACTCTGCACTTTCCTATAGCTCTGTATGGGGCACCAGTCATGTGTTGTAATAGTTGGCCTGGAGTGTAGAGACTCGCCAGTAATGCCTCCATCTGACCTACACAGGAGGAACTCCAAAAAACTTTTATAAGCAATTTAGTTAGGCTCTTCTCTGTAGTCTAGAGTCCCAGGGCCTTCCTTGGAGTCCCGTGATGTCTCTTACCTTCATAGTCAGAATTGAAAGGCAGGAAGGAGATACAAGGTCTGTCTTTCCCCTTCTTGACTGAGCTTGGGGCAAGATTGTCCGGGCCCATTTTTCCTAGACGTTTCCTTAGCGCAACCCTCATCCTATTTGATGGTTTCCAGGGACCTCAGGGTTTCTGCTTAGAAGCTTCCCACCTGTCAGTATTGCCGAGTGGGCTTACAGCCTGATAGAAGCCCCCACCTCACTGGATTAGTGCTGCCCTGGTTTCTTCCCAGTCCTGACAATGCACATAGCCCAGCTCTCTCTCATGCCCACAGATACTTTAAGCTTCTATTGACTTAAAGTGGCCTGAGATAGGGCAACAGGAGATGGGACAACCTATCCCAGTTGGTGCAAAGCCCTTTACACGCACATCTTGCAATTAACTGTGAGCCTAGACTGGAGTCCAGCCCTTGGGCAGCCAAGGTAGTTTCTGCCTGATTGTTCCTAAGCAGACTCTGGTCAAGGGGGAAGCAGCTGCAGGTGTAATACCCGCTGCAGGAAATACCTTCTAGTATCCTTGTAGCTGTGGGAAAATATTCTCACTTGAATTCATGAAGGTCACCAGAGGGGCTTCCCTCTGCTTTCCACTCTGCATTCTCGTAAATCCCACCTCTTCTAGAAAGCCTGCCTCAGTTTCCCATCATGCGTTTCCTTCTGCCCAGTTCCTTGTGTTACACATCAGTTTAGCTCTTTCTGATACACCATTTTGTGTTCTGCAGTTGATTTCATGTAATTTACATTTTCCCATCTTGACTAAGACCCTGAGGCAAACCCGAGGCAGGTCCTTCTGTCCATCAAATCCAACACAGTACTGGTCCTGGTGAGTCCTCTGAGAGGTACCCCCAGCATGGTCACCATGGCCAGTGTAGAAGGCTGGGGGTAAAAGCTGGGCCCACCGACTGATGGGGAAACCTAAAGTTCTTGCAGAATTGGAGGCTTGGCACTCCCTCCACTGGCTCCCATTGCCCGCCCTGCTGCCTGGTCCCCAGGGGTAGGGTGGCTTAGCTGGGCTCATGGCCTGTGATGCACATTCCCAGATCTCTGAAGTCATTTCCCTGAAATCACATTTACCGTTCACAAGAAAAAGGCCAAAGCTGGACAAAGGCACTGCTGCCAAGACTCGAGCACTGGTAATTTCTTATGAGCCCTTTGTGATGGTAGAGTTTATGAAATGTAAGTAAACAGGCTTCCTTCTAATCCCTGAGCCGTGAGAAGCTGTCAGGGTTTATTTGCCGAGCCGTCCCTGCATGCCTGTGCATGGCACACCTAGGCTCCAGTGTTCCGCTCGTTAAAAGGTGTCTAATTTCTGTAATCACCTTGGAGTTTAATGGGTTTAAGCCATGTGGGTTGCAGTGGAGAGAAAACATTATTTCTAGTCTTTTGGCTTCCTTTCCTGCCTTCCACACCTCTTCTCTCTCCTTGTCCCTCCCTTGTGAGCTGAATGGATTATAAAATATTAGCTGTGACCTTGTGGGGTGGGAAGGAAGAAAGGTTTCTGTTTCCCGCTCTGTCCTGCCTTCCCAGCCAGCACTGGCCCCTTAATGAGGTTCTAAAGGTAAAGGTATCTGGGACAATTTCAGGACACTGCCACCTGTGGCCTGCAAAGAGCATGACTTGATGGACCTTTGATTTCTTTTTTCCCCCCCAGCCACGTCCTGGGAATAATTTAGGAGCAAGCCAACACATTTGGAGGCATCTTCTCTCATTTCCTTCATTCTTGTCAAAGTCTCACTCTTTTCTAGAAAAGAAATCATGGTCTTTCTCAGTGCCCACAATGGGCAGAAACATCTCTGAAGCCATCACCTGAGGAGTCTTAAAAGGCCCAGTTCTTTGTGGTCCTCCCTTCCTTTCACTTCACCTCACTGTCATCACTTCCTTTATCTCTCCCACTCCCTCACCCCCAAATGAGAGAGGGAAAGGAAGAAGAAAGACAATATGTGCATCGTGTCAGGTGAGAGGAATTAGCTTCCTCCATGGATTCTGCTTTCATAGTCAAGCCACAAATAACTACTGAGATGACTTCAGTTCCTCCCGCAAGAGTAAGCTGATAACAAATCCTCTTTCCCACTGCAAGTCTCAAAACTCCTTCAACTTTCAGCTCATGTTATTTAATGTTGAAATCTGACCTTCCCAGAGCACCACAAGTGGTAGCCTGGGTAGTGGGCCCCTGGGCTGGTGGTTTCTGGTGGCAAGAAGCTGTCCACATGCCTCAGTGCACCATACACATGCTGTCACCTTCTCTCTGATCTGTGACTGTGAAGGTGGGGAGCTGTGGGTAGGGCAAATGTGATTTTCTCACTTAAACAGATGAGGAAACTGAGGTTCAAAGAAGTTATATGGCACATGGCACAGCTGATCTCCCTGGTGCAAGAGAGTGCCCTTGCCATTCTTCTCCCAAGCTGCTGATTTTAAGGTGGCTCTGCTCTCCTTTGGGGAACCTGGAAGACATTTCCTGAATCTAGCACCCGCTTTGAAGGCATGCTGCATCTCAGTTGTTCATGGGCCATTTCCTATTTTCTTTGGGGCTTTTCCACTTACAGGTATTGTTTTCTCTACTTTATTCCCCCTGCTGTTTTTACCTTAGTGAAATAAAGTGAGAAACAAATCCTCAATGATGCTATATTAGTCTGTTCTCACACCGCTATAAAGAAGTACCTGAGACTGGGTAATTTATAAAGAAAAGAGGTTTAATTGTCTCAAAGTTCCACGCGGCTGGGGACGCTTCAGGAAAGTTACAATCATGGCGGAAGGCACCTCTTCAGAGGGCAGCAGAGAGAGAAGAAGTGCACGAGAGCAGGGAAAACTGCCTTATGAAGCCATCAGATCTCGTGAGAAGTCACTATCACAAGAACAGCATGGGGAAAACCGCCCCCATGATCCAGTCCCCTCCCACCTGGTTCCTCCATCAACACCTGGGGATTACAATTCAAGATGAGATCTGGGTAGGGACACAAAGCCTAACCATATCAGGTGCTTTTCAGTGCATGGGAAGGGAGGAGAAAAGCCATATAATCTAAGATTGTGTCACTGTCAACACAGTCCCTTCTTCCTTCCAGTAGTTGAGTCTACCTAAGATTTGAACCACTTTCAAAAGGTAGTGTGTGCAGAGAACACCATCTGATATGTAGAAAATACTAGTCAATACACATGCAAAAGAAGCTACTAGAACTAATAAAAGAGTAGAGCAAGGCCACAGGAGACAAGATCAATATACAAAATCAATTACAGTTCTTTATACTAGCAATGAAGAATCCAAAGGCAAAATTAAGAAAACAGTTCCATTCGCAAAGACATCAAAAAGACTTAATTGCTCAGGAATAAATTTGACAAAAGAAGCTGAAGACTTTTATACTAAAAAGTACAAAACATTCCTGAGGGAAATTAAGGAAGATCAACATAAATGGAAAAAACATTCCATGTTTGTGGAGAAGACACAGTATTATTAAAATGGCAGTTCTCCCCAAATTGATCTCTACATTCAATGCAGTCCCTAGTAAAATCCCAGCAGAGTTCTTGGCAAAAATTGACAAGCCGATCTTAAAATTCATATGAAATTGAATAAGATATGCAAAGGGCTCAGAAGAGCCAATGCAACCTTGAAAAAGAACACAGTTGGAGGACTTAAATTCCTGGTTCTAAAACATACTGTAAAGCTACATAATCACAGTAGTGTGGTACTGGAATAAGCACAGGACATATAGGTCAACAGAACAGAGTTGAGAGTTCAGAAATGAACACTTAACCTTTATCATCAATTGATTTCCAAGAAGAGTACCAAGACCATTCAATGGGAAAAGGATGGTTTTCCATAAATGGTACTGAGACATTTAGTCTTTGCTCTCACACCATACACAAAAGTGAACTCAAAGTGGATTATAAACCTAAACGTAAGAGCCGGTCACCCAACTGCCTGTGAACTTACGGATGAGAAAGCTGAAGGCCAAGGGAACCAGCAGCAGAAAGATGGGCAGGAAGATAAGATTATTGTATTGTCAAAGACTTCAGTAATTTCAAAGAAATAACTGAATGTGAGAGAGAAAACCACATAAACATGGGGAGAAGCCCCACTCTGGGGAGAAAGCTGTTTGGATTCCACTAGACATTTGCAGCCTAGGAAATTAGGACCTGGAAATTTAAACCTAGAAAAATCCCAGGAAAGTGACCTTATTATGTTATAAGGGAGCTTACTTTTTAATAAAAAAAAGTTACTCCCCCCCGATTATTTATTGTGGTAAAATATAGGTAAAATTTACCATCTTAACCAGTTTTAAGCCTACAGTTCTGCGGCATTAAATACATTCATAAAGTTATGCATCCGTCACCACTATCCATCTCCATAACGCGTTTCATCTTGTAAAACGAAAACTTTATGCCCATTAAGCAGTAAACTCCTCATTACCTACCTCCTTCAGCCCCTGACAACCACCATGCCACTGTTGATCTCTATGAATTTGACCATTCTAGGTACCTCATGTGAGCGGAGTCATACAGTATCTATCTTTTTGTGTCTGGCCTATTTCACTTAGCACCGTGTCCTCGAGGTTCACCCATGTTGTGGCATGTGTCATAATTTCCTTTCATCTTAAGGCTGAATAATACTCCATTGTATATACATACGACATTTTGCTTCTCCATTTATCCTGTGGGTGGACACGTGGGTGGACACGTGGGTTGCTTCTGCATTTTTGCAATTGCGAGTAATGCTGCTGTGAACATGGGCTTACAAATATCTCTTCAAGACCCTGTTTTCAATTCTTTTTGCTATATTCCCAGAAGCAGAATTGCTGACTCATATAGTAGTTCTCCTTTTAATTTTTTTAGGAGCCGCCATACTGTTTTCCACCGCAGCTGTACCATTTGACATTCCTACCAACAAAAACAGCTACTTCTTATTTCAGAGTAGCCCTGTGCATAGGTCCTTACTGCTCTCTCACAATCTCTTAGTGAGATAAGAGAATTAGTTACTATTGTCCTCATGTAGGCTAACACTTATTTTGTGCTTTTTATATAGCAGGCTGTGTCCCTGGCACTTTAGAAATGATTAACTGATTGAATTCTCACAATAGCCCTAGGAGGCTGTTACTGTTATTACTTCTGTATTACAGATAAGAAAATGGAGGCAAAAAGTTATTTTGTCACTTGCAGCTAGTGAGATGGGCAGTGTGGCTATGGGAGTGACCTCCCCATGCTGTGCACCACCTCTTCCCACTTGCATTTGATAACTGAGGAAACTAACACGCAGGACATTAAGTGATTCCTTCAAGGTTATGCAGGAAGTTAAGCATCAGAGCCAGGGTCTCTTGACACCTCTACTATTTTTTTTCTACTATGTCAGAATACCCCCTCAGCCTCTGCTCACTAGGAGTGCATCTCCACATATCTAAAGTGTTTGGTAGAGAAGAATTACAGGAGAACAAAAAATCTTCCATTCTTAGGACAACTCATGTCCAAATTTAGAATAACTGCAACCCCAACCATACACACAGAATCTCAGGGCTTGAAGGTGTCTCTCAGAAATCCTCTAGTTCTGATAGGGACAGGAGGCAGGGAAATTCGGGGCAGAAGAGGGCAGGTCCCCAGCAAGGGCCCTACCCTCAAGCCTAATACCGTGGCCCAAAGTGAGAACAAACATCCCTGTTTTACCACTCCAATGTTGCCTTTTCCAAAACCACCCATGGCCCGCCCCACCCCCCATCCTGTGCCTATAAAAACCCCAGAACTCAGACAGCAGAGAGAAGAAGCAGCTGTGCATCAGAGACTATGGGCGGACATTGGAGAGAAGCAGCTTGACTTTAGAGGGACAGCTTGACAGCGTAGCTTCAGAAAGGAGTCTGGCCATCCCGGGGAAGATCACTTCCCACTCCATCCCCTTTTCAGCTCCCCTTCCCACTCAGAGTCACTTTTACCCTCAATAAAATCCCCCACATTTACCATCTCTAATTCGTTCGTGATCACATTCCTCCTGGACGCCGGACAATACAAGTGCCAGGTATGCAGGCGCAAAAGGCCGTCACACTGACCCTCCACTGAGCTGTTCATACTTAAATCACCATGGATGGCAAAACTAAAAGGACACTATTATACTGCTTCTGGGGCTTCAGGGATCACAGCCACCACCTTAGATGCTGCCACGGGGCCCTCACAGAGATTTGCTCCTGCTGGCGACCAAAAGTGCTCGCCCTGGCTCCTGCACCTGCTCACCTGTGCTCCCCATCCCACAAGGGTGGAACTCAGCGGGACCAGGTGAGTGGAGTCTGCCCCTGCCAGCACCGAAGCGGCTGGCTAGTTCTAGCGCCCGTGAACTCTAGTTCCCTCCCATGAAGGGGTCAGTGAAATACCCTGGTTCAATTCAATCTCTCAGTCAGACTGAAATTCATCAAAGCTAGTTATCTGGCTTGTGTATTTTCTGCAATAGGATACCCTTTGTCTATAACTTTGATTCTTTTATACCCCTACCAGATAGAAAATTCTTCTTTTTGAGCCACCATTGGCATTGGCCTTGCTGTGACTTCCATTCTCAGTCCTGGATCTGCCCTTTGGAAAAATGCTAAGTCTAATTTTTTTTTTTTGAGGAGGGTCTTGCTCTGTTGCCCTGTTGGCTGGAATGCAGTGGCAAGATCACCGCTCACTGTAGCCTCAACCACCTGGGCTCAAGTGATGCTCCCACCTCAGCCTCCCTAGTAGCTGGGACCACAGGTGCACACCACCACGCCTAGCTAATTTGTATAGTTTTGTTAGAGATGGGGTTTTGCCATGTTGCCCAAGCTGGTCTTGAACTCCTGGGCTCAAATGATCTGCCCGCCTTGGCCTCCCAAAGTGCTGGGATTACAGGTGTGAGTCATAGCGCCCGGCCAGTAAGTCTAATTTTTGCATGCCAACCCATTGTGGATAAAAAATACAGGACTTCAGGGGTCCATTTTTCTGGGTTTGAATCCTGGCTCTACCACCAACAGGCTCTATAACCTTAGGCCATAATTTTCTCATCTGTAAAATGGAAGCAAGCTGTTTCGAGGACTGAATCAAGTATACCCAGTGAGTAGGAGCTCCATCAGCTGTTCACTGTTGCCATTTGTGGAAACAATAATTGCATTTGATCTTGATCTTACTTCTTCACGGTTAATGTTCTTGAACCTTTTTTTTTTTTTTCCATTTCATCCTTTGGCTTTCAGGCCCATCAGTTTCAGATCTCTCTCCTCCAGGTGTGCTTTGTCTTCAAATGTCTGTCCCAAAAGACAGAAGCCAGAACCAACCTCAGTACCTCTGGCCCGTTTGCCCCTGCTGTGAGCTAAGCATACAGTAACTTATATGGGATTAAGTTTTCCTAACAGGGGCTTTCCAATAAGCTGTTCCTGTCCTATATGTTATTTGCAGTGATTGTATGGTACTTTCCCCAAATCCTTTCATCTTTTCTTTCTTAAAAGGTATTGCGTTGATTAAGATAAAAATTGTCAGCAATTAGCGAATTAAGATGTTTCCAGAATTTAGATCTTTTCCTCTTGAATGTCTTTTCATTACAAGCTTTACTCTGCCTCATGAGTAATTATTTATCTATCTAAAAATATGTGTTGGATACTAGTCAAGCCTAGAGTTAGATTTTGCCATCATCATGTCATCCTTCCAGCAGGTGGTAGCAGGGCTGAAATTCTCTTCTCTTATTCTTAAAGAGAGCCTTCAAACTTTTCTTTTTTTAAGTAGTGAATCATGGTTCTAATATTAATGAGAAAATTCAAGTATATAAAACAGATGAAAGCACTTCTGCTCTGACTGATAGGGGAAACTTGGACCTGTTTGGATCACTATTGCTACAAAAGAAATCACCCCAAAACTCAGAGGCTCAGCTGGTTGGTTCTGGCTCAGGGCCTCTTGTGTGGCTACAGAGGGTTTGAACAGTGGGGATGGAGGGGGTGGAAACAACTGAGGGCTGGCTGGGCATCTCTCTCTCTCTATGGAGTCTCAGAGCTTCTCTATGTGGTCTCTGTGTATGGCCTGACTCGGGCTTCCTCATAGCATGGTGGCCTCAGGGCAGTCAAGCTGCTCACGTGGTGGCTGAAGTGTTCAGGAGAGAATATTCCAGTGAATGATGTGGAAGATCCACTGTCTTCATGACGTACTCTCAGAAGTCACATAGCATTGCTTCTGCAAAAATAATCCCACCTGGTGTCAAGGGGCGTGTGGAATGGGAAACATTCCTGTAACGATCTTGAGAAAATTTGTTCTTCTTCCCACCTATTCCCCCAAATTTAGGGCTCTTTAATACATAGTTGAAAGTTATTGGTATAAAGTATTGGAAACAGAGGGAACCAGGATAAGAAAAAATATTCTCTTCAACTTTTTTTTTTTTTTGAGTCGGAGTTTTGCTGTGTCACCCAGGCTGGAGTGCAGTGGCACAATCTCAGTTCACTGCAACCTCCACCTCCCAGGTTCAAGCTATCATCCTGCTTCAGCCTCCCGAGTAGCTGGGATTACAGGCGCCACCACCATGCCCGGCTGATTTTTGTATTTTTAGTAGACACGGGGTTTCGCCACGTTGGCCAGGCTGGTCTCGAACTCCTGACCTCAGGTAATCCACCCGGCTCAGCCTTCAAATTTTTTTTAATGTACTGAATGTCTATATGACCTTGTATTTTTGTTTGTTTATTTTAATTTGTATTTTTTCTCAAGCATTCAGGCGTCAGTTTGTTCCTTCACAAAAATGGAGATCAGGACATAGCCACCTGTCTCCCTCACCAAGCTGTTGTGAGGATCAGATAAGCAACAACTTGTGAAAAGATCTGAGTATAAATACCACTGTTAGGGCCATCCACAGTGATTCTTTCTACACTAACTGAAGTGAAGGAAAGGCAAAAGCCACTTGCCGGCCACAAAGAGAATGCGAACCTTGGTCAGACCTCAGGAGTTACCTCCTAATTCAGTTTCCTTTCCTCTGCCCTCACTTTCCAATTTGCAACAGTGAAGTAATGGGCAAATTCATAGTTTCCTCTGCACTTTGTAGTTAGAGCTGGAAGGAACCTCAGGGACCATCTAGTTCTGTTCCCATTCGGTAAAGTGGCCTGCATAGGTGCACACAGACGTTAGACAAGGCTGCACGGAGGACTGAGTTTTGCTGCTTCTGCAGACTTGAGGCTTCCCTCTTGGCAGGACACAAACATCCAGGGCTTGGTGGCCCATGGCAGGTCAGGACAAGAGGAGGCTAACTGGCCACACCACCCATCCAGCCTCTGGAAAGCTGGGACAGGACTGGCTGGGATCCAGATGCTCATTGTGTGGGGATGAAACGTCATGTTCCCAAAGGAACTGGCTCATTGTTTAAACTGCCAAATATTTATTTAATCAACCAAACTTCAACTAAAGAAGAAAAAGGGTCTGAATTTTAAATCCCATAAACCTGGCTTGGAGAAACAGGCAGTGGAGAAGGGGAGATGAGAGTCGTTTCAAATCAGAAAGTTGTGGTAAAGATGTGAACGCCAGACTCATTCTGCATATCACCTGGTGGCGGAGTGTCGGACTACTCACCATCAAGACAGGCCTCGACACTTCCAGTCTTCCAGATGTCCCAAATGCTGTGGTTTCACTCACATTGAATTGATTGATTGATTGACTGATTGAGACAGGGTCTTGCTCTGTCACCCAGGCTGGAGCACAGTGGCATGAACACGGCTCACTGCAGCCTCAACCTCCTAGGTTCAAGTGATTCTCCCGGCTTAGCTTCCTAAGGAACTGGGACCACAGGCGGGTGCCACCACACACTCAGCTAATTTTTAAAATTTTTGTTGCTATGGGATCTTGCCGTGTGGCCCAGGCTGGTCTCAAACTCCTGGGCTCAAGTGATCCTCTTGCCTTCACCTTGTGAAGTGCTTGGATTACAGGCATGAGCTACTATGCCCCACTAAAAGTGTCATTTTAAGTAATAGAATAAAAGATCATTCAGGCTGGTTGCAGTGGCTCATGCCTGTAACGTGGCAAGACCGTGTCTCCACAAAAAAATTTAAAAATTAGCTGAGCTTTGTGGTGCTTGTTTGTGGTCCCAGCTACTTGGGAGGCTGAGCCATGAGGATCACTAGCCATGAGCCCAGGAGGTTAAGGCTACAGTGAGCCATGAGCCCAGGAGGTTAAGGCTACAGTGAGCCATGATCGCGCCGTTGCACTCCAGCCTGGATGACAGAGTGAGACCTCAACCCTTGACCCTCCAAAAATCACTTTTAGATCAAATAAAATAGTATTAATGCCTATTTATTTGCACTTTGTTTTCCTTTAGCCAAACAAATTATCTTCTGCAATCACTACATACAGTGGCCTCAGCCCATAAGTCATTACATTAACCAGGGATGATTCTTGTCACTCCTTTAAGTAACCAGCAGCAGTGACTGGTCAATCTTTATGGCACAAGTACTTCAGTAGTCTCTTTCCAGAATCTTATTCAGAAAAACTCAGGCCATTAGGATTTATCTCACATTTGCAGAGATTAGTTATTTTTCTAATATTCTAAGCAGATTTGAGAGGCGGTTTATTATTTTAGTTATTGCCTACCATGCTTGCACTTCTCAACATTCTCAAAACCCAGAAGCCAGATGCCTAGAGTGTCAGCTGCTTGGCAGGCTGAGGGGGATCACCTGAGCCCAGGAGCTCAAGGCTGTAATGAGCTATGAGTGAACCTGTGAATAGCCGCTACACTCCAGCCTGAGCAATATAGTGAGACCCCTGTCTCTTTAAAACAACAACAACAACAACAGTGCCTGGTTTGGGCCATTTGCTTACTACTTGTAATTTGCTTATTTCAGCATTTGAATTATTTTTGAAATAAACTTAACTTCAAAGGATATTGCACATTCTAGAGATTATCCAGGAGCACTTCTTACTACTAATTTGACATTTTCTTATTGCTTTGTGCTCAAGGTCATGTGTTTGCATTATTGCCACATATATGGGAAAAATTAAAACCAAATAAAATTAAAAGAACTTTAAAGGACTAAAGAAAAAATAGTAAATAAATTCAATGTGAATTATTCTGTATTTTATTAACCTCAGTGTATATCTTTGGCTTTGAATTGCTTACTAGTTGGGAGAAGAGTCTTTTTGCCATATCTTTTCTCTAGGGAACATAACTATTTCAGTTTAGGGATGCATTTTCAGCCCCCCAAAGCTGAAGTTAAGCAAATGTATGATTGAGGTAGCAAGTTCATGTCTAATCTCCATACGTCAGGTCAGACAGCCCTTCCTCCTGGGCACTGCCCGGGCAGCCCAAGAACCTGCACAAGAGAGAAGACCCTGCCCATGGTTTTACAATACCTTCGTGATGACACCGGAGGCAGGCAAAGCAGTGAGGGTTAAGTGAGTTGTCTGGGAGCTCTCCTGCTCCTGGGCACCACACACACTCATCAACACGGAGCTGTCATCCAGAAGGAGAGGGGAAAGACCAGAGAAGGAAAACAGTACCCAATCTTGTTAGCTCCCAAAGCAGTCCTTCCCTCCAGGACCACTGAGTTCCAGTGGGAAAAGGGTCCCGGAAGAGTTCTGTGTGATTATAAGACACCCCTCCTCCCCTTCCCGTTGCTGTATGCACCTGTGCGTCCATCCCACTCACCCAAAGAAATTGTCTAGTTCTGTCAATCTTATAGTCAGATTTTTTTCTCTCTCCTTTTTTTTTTTTTTGTTTTTTTGTTTTTTGTTTTTGAGACAGAGTCTCACTGTGTCACCCAGGCTGTAGTGCAGTGGCACGATATCAGCTCATTGCAACCTCTGCCTCCTAGGTTCAAGTGATTCTCCTGCCTCAGCCTCCTGAGTAGCTGGGACCGCAGGCGCACGCCACCACACCTGGCTCATTTTTGTAATTTTAGTAGAGACAGGGTTTTGTCATGTTGGCTAGGCTGGTCTTGAACTCCCGACCTCAAGTGATTCGCCCACCTCCACCTCCCAAAGTGCTGGGATTACAGGAGTGAGCAACTGCGTCCGGCCAGATTTTTTGTCTTTAATGATTTTCTTTTCTTCTTTTTTTTCCTTTTTTTTTTTTTTTTTTTTTTGAGACAGGGTCTTACTCCTATTACCCAGGCTGGAATGCAGTGGCATGATCAGGGCTCGCTGCAGCCTCAAATGCCCAGGCTCAGGTGATTCACCCACCTCAGCCCCCTGAGTAGCTGGGACTACAGGTGTGCCCCACCATGCCCAGCTAATTTTTGTATTCTTTATAGAGATGGGGTTTTACCATGTTGCTCAGGCTGGTCTCAAAACTCCTGGGCTCGAGCAATCTGCCTGCCTCAGCCTCCCAAAGGGTTGGGGTTACAGGCGTGAGCCATGGTGCCTGGCCTTTAACAATTTTTTATTCTTTTTTTTCCCCCCTATAATTTAGTTATCGTTGTTTTCTCTGGGTGAGAGAAGAACCATTTCTCTCAAGTCCGTTGTTACTGTGCTGGGGCCAATGACCTAGAGCAGTCATTTCTGGCTATTTTAGTAATAGAATCCTTCCTTAATATGAATCCTGCAGAGAAGCTCAATATATAAACTTATGAAAGAGGAATCCTCCCTTTACTGAAGTGAGCTGGGGGCCAACCCCCAAGCCACCTCCTTGGTATCTGTAAGGATTCCCGGAGTAGCATTTTAAATCCCCTAGTTCCTGGGAGAAATCAGGACTGGAAATCAAAGTACCCTGGAGATGAGCACGGTGTTTGCTTTCCTGAAGACCCATTCAGCATCTCGCTGTCACTCATGCATACGTTAAGTATTTCTTTTCTTTTCTTTTCTTTTCTTTTCTTTTTCTTTTTTTTTTTTTTTTTTGCAACAGTCTCGTTCTGTCGCCCAGGAGGAGTGCAGTGGCACAATCTCGGCTCACTACAACCTCCGCCTCCCGGGTTCGGGTTCAAGAGATCCTAGTGTGTCAGCCTCCCAAGTAGCTGGGATTACAGGCAAGTGCCACCACGCCCGGCTAATTTTGTACTTTTAGTAGAGACAGGGTTTCGCCATGTTGGTCAGGCTGGTCTCAAACTCCTAACCTTAGGTGATCCACCTGCTTCAGCCTCCCAAAGTGCTGGGATTACAGGCGTGAGCCACCACACCCAGCCTCATGCATACATTAAGTATTTCTTGCCCTCCTGCTGGATATAAAGCCCTGTGTCAGATGCTGGGGGCATGGGAATGAATACGATAGACATGTCCCCTACTCTTTTGTTGAGGATAGGGTTTTAGCCTTTCAGAAACAAAATCTGGCCCGGTGCATGAGGTCGTTTGTGTGTTCTGGTGACAGGTCATCCCTGTGGGTGCTCCCTGGGCAGATATGTCCTACTCAAATTAGTCAGACTCTCTTTCAAAGTGTGCCCCTTAGGAAGCCATGAGAAGCCCAGTGTGCCAAGAACACTCTTTTGTGATTCTAAAACCATCCCCGGGGATTAGGACTAGACACAAACTATGAAGACTAATAGGTAAATAGGAGAGTTCGACAGAGTGATACCTAAGGGGCTCTTTGCAATGCAGTAACAATCTGCTTTCTGTGTTTATGCATTGACCAACCCTCCCCCACTTCACCCCCAATATTCTTTTAAGTAGGAGTTGAAGGGTATAAAAGCTCAGCCTTTTTTTTTTTTTTTTTTTTTTTTTGAGATGGTCTCGCTCAGTGGCCCAGGCTGGAGTGCAGTGGCACCATCTCAGCTCACTGCAACCTCCGCCTCCGGGGTTCAAGCGATTCTCCTGCCTCAGCCTCCTGAGTAGTTACAGTGGAGACGTTGTTTCGCTATGTTGGCCAGGCTGGTCTCAAACTCCTGGGCTCAAGTGATCCTCCCACCTCAGCTTCCCAAAATGCTGGGATTACAGGCATGGGCCACTGCGCCCGGCCTCAGCTTATTAATGTAGGTTTTCCTACACTTAAATCAATTACATACAAATCTTCCAGTTTTCTCATTTTAAGTGCATTCTTAGAAATCACGAAAGAAAGCAGAGTGGGCAAGCTGATCATTTTATTCTCCATCTGCAGTCAACTTGCTAAGTAGCTTGCAGTTAACAGCTTTTGCCACGAGAGGGCGATGATTGTTGGAAAGGCAGAGCTGAGTGGGCCAAGGTTGGACCCTGGGGATGTTGATGAAATAGCAACTGGTTATTATGTTCCGTTGATCCAGGGCCAGAAAGAGGAGACAAAGGACCTAAAATGCTTTAGGCTTAGATAGCTAGGTGATATTCTAGGAGGAGAAAATTTGGAACTGCTTCAGTTTCCAGCATTGTGTTATACTTTTATGTGTAAGAGCCTGAAGTTGAACAGAAAAAAAAAAAAAAAGTCGGGGCGGAGCTGTCTTTTCTTTTAAAAATAGACGCATGGAAGCATGTGTTTGTTTGTTCCTACTTGGTGTTTTTGTTTTATTTATAAAATGAAAACAGCTGAAATAATTTCTGGATTGTTCTGAACTTTTGAGCACAGACTCCCAGATGGTTTCTGTGGTCTGGGCCCTCAAAAACCCACCTGATGGGGGATGGCGCCCATCTTTGGAAAAAGCTATTTGAGGCTCTGTGAAGCAGCTCGAGTTTGTTTGTTTTCCCTTGTATTTGAAAATGGAAGTCAAGCATGCTCCCAGGGCAGAGAATTCCGCAACTGTGACCATCTTGCAAGGGGCAGGAAAAGATTTACAGTGTTTTGCTAGACCAATCGCCACTTCCTTCTGGGGTAAAAATCCTTACCAGCAACTCCTTACCAGCGACTCCTCTTCTGGCTAAATTGGAGTAGCATTTTCCTATCAAAGTCATTTAAGATACAGATTATTCAATAACCTGAGAGAAGGGTGGAGTATTCATTTCTAATGACTTCACAGAATTCCAGTCCTCTCTGAGCCCGAAGAGTTGTTGACTATCATCAGGTGTTAGGCCTCACATCTTTCATTTGCTAACAGTATTTTACTGTCTATGAAAATGGTTAACTGGTCGGGCACAGTGGCTCACACCTGTAATCCCAGCACTTTGGGAGGCCGAGGTGGGCGGATCACTTGAGGTCAGGAGTTCAAGACCAGCCTGGCCAACATGGTGAAACCCTGTATCTACTAAAAATACAAAAATTAGCCAGGCATGGTGACACGTGCCTGTAATCCCAGCTACTCAGGAGGCTGAGGCAGGAGAATCGCTTGAACCTGGGAGGTGGAGGTTGAAGTGAGCCAAGATCATACCACTGCATTCCACCTGGGTGACAGAGTGAGACTCTGTCTCAAAAAAAAAAAAAAAAAAAAAAGAAAAAGAAAATTGTTAACTGCCCTTAAAAATATAGTCGTTCTCCTTCGACACTCAAAAGTTCTCTATTTGCAAATGAAGTTCATATGAATTTGTTAATGATTCACTTCTCAGTAATTGGCAATCCCAAATTAATCAGATTTCCTTGCACTAATGGTTTCTTTAATAAATGATATTAGATGGTAATAGAAAGGACAGTCTTGGCAATAACTGCTTAAATCATAGCATGAGGGATTTAGATTTTCATCAGCAGCTTGCACCAGAAGCAGAGTCTGACTGAATATTATCTCCTTTGTAGATTAGATAGAAGAAGAATTAGGGAGATACAAAGAAGCATTTTCTAAGCATAGTTAGACTCTGATTTTGGTGACAGTACGAACTAGGGAAGTTGGAAAATGCCTCATTGGCCTAAAACTGGTAACATATAATAAACTAGGACTGGAGGCAAAATTACAGAAGTTTTTTTGGTAATTCTCTTGGGCTCTTTCTGGGGGATTCTTAGTCTTATAGAATTTTGCTACTTGATGCTCATCCATGGCCTGTGGAATGTATCGTCCTTTCATGTGGGTGTGGGGAGAAAAGGACTGGGGCAGTGGGAAAGGGGAGGCCCCATTGTTGCCAACACCAAGCCCAAGCTTTCTGTAGATGTGGCTCCCCATTTTCAACTAGAAGAAGAGAAATTTTTCATGTTCTAGCTTGAGAAGCCATGCTCTTAAGTTATTTGACCCTGTACATCCTCGACCCTTCAAAATATTTAAATTATTCCACACTTCAGCGCTGGCATCACAGATTATACGATAATAATTTACCAAGCTTCTTTTCTGCAAACAGGTAAAGGAGGAGGAGACATGGGTGGTAATGTAATTTCTGGATAGTTTAAACCTAAAAGCCTGCTATTAAGAGAAAAGGGGAAAATGACTGTTCAAGACCTGTATCTTGAAAGAATGCTGTTTATCTAGTATTCAGGGGCCAGGGAGTGTGTCTGTGGGTAAACTAAGCAATTCCTCCAAGAATTCTGACGGGAAACAGTTTTGGGGTTTGTCATAGTTTCTAATATTCTCTTAAAATAATCTGTTTCCCAACAAGTAAAAGCAGACGTCATTTCACGTAAAGAATTTCTCTGACTCCACCAGTAGCCCTTCCATCTTCTCATTTGTCCGGTTAAGCTTGAGTCAGAAAAAGAACACAACAATTTTGGTAAAAAATTTGTTGTTCTTCTCATCTGAATAGCCAAAAGTTATTGGTGTGTAAGGACCACAGTTCAGATAAGAGCTACTGTAACTAAATTTAGAGAAATTACTTTTCAGATCGACTTTCCTGTTCTAAAATTACATACTTCTGGTTGGTCTTTGCTTTATCTTCCTAATCAAGATCTGAGGTCACTGGAGGTCAGAAACATATGGCAAAAAGGAATTTAAATATTTTCCAATTAAAAAATTATCCTAAAATATCTTTATTATATTTCCAAGCCATAAATGATCACAGGTGCTTTGAGCCATGGTACTGATCCCAGGAAAGTGTTTGCAAACGTTTAAAAAATAGAATGGATCAGTTGATTCATGCTTTAGCTGATGGCACGGTCTCTTGGGAAGCTAACCCACTCTTGCCTCTTGCCCATGGGGCCAGGGGAACACTGCTGTTTAATTTGTCTTAAATACCTCTTCTGAGACTGTATTGGTCCCCGACCACCCATTTGCAAAGATCCAGCATCCGTCAAGACTATTTAACAGACGTTCCAAAAAGCTGGATGCTGACAGTCCAACTGTCATTTTAACCTTGGCATCTCCCATGACAGAGTGTGGAGCAGCAGGCTGTGACCTAGAGGAAAGACACAGAAGTGGTGAGGGGTTGCAGGGGCTGTAGCGTGGTGAGATGGCCCTGTACAATATCAGGTGAAGGGGAAGCATTTATAAACTTCCTTTGTTTTGATGTATCTGTTTTTCCCCCTATTTCTGCCTATACACCTACTTGAGCACTGGCTTGGCTAAAGTTACCCCCAAGAAAATGTTGAAGTAATGAGTCACCTACCTCACTTCATTTTTTTGAGACCTCACTTTCTTTCCTTCCTTTCTTTCCCTCCGAATTTATGAATGAAAATAGATAGGTAGAGGTTGAATTGGCTAAGGCTGTCTGTTGCTTTTTGATTTTCCCATCTCCAGGGGAAGAGGGCAGGGAACGATCCACTCCAATTAGGAATCCTAGACTTATATTCATTTAACAACTTTATATTATCCAGAACATTTTGTACAAATACATTGTAGAAATAAGTTATTTCTAGTGCTTGGGGCATAGTCTGTGAACTGATTTGTCTGTATATCTCGTAAATTTTCCATTTAGATGATCAGAGCAGGACAGAAGTTTCTCGCTGTGCTCTTAGGCTACAGGCAACTGTTGTCACTGGCTGACCCTTGGTTATAAGTACGTGGGAACTATGTCCTGGGCTTCACAGACAGGAGGAGAAGAGTTAGTTCTGTGGTGAGCTGTGTCTTTGGGGTGGTGGGAAGTCAACCCCAAAGAATGATTCTTATCATTGCTTCTTTTTTAACTAAGTTGGCAGAGTTTTATCTTCTCCATAGATACGTGGTAAAGGAAACTCATTTGAACCATTTGAACTGGTGGTTAATCTGAGTAATATGGAATATGTTCAAAGTGATGACATTGTATTACTTCTGTGCATGGACAGGAACTAGAACGGCTAATAAAATTGTTGTCAGGTAGAAGTTCTGAAGAGCCTGACATGATAAAAAGATAAGGATCATTTTAACCAGCACATTTGCTAAATAGGTAGTTGTTACTGCTGTGCCAAAAATTTCTTTCTATTCTTAAATTATTTAAAACATTATCTACCTTTGCATTGGCTATTAATTGGCCAAGCAATGCATTCCTTTCTACAGATAAATGTTCAGCCTGGTCCTATACAAGATATCACCATATCCTATTTGAACAAGTGCCAAATGAATGACGTGCATTATATATACTGAGTCTTCATCCATCAAAATAATTTTATTTAAACAGTTTGGATTAATAGGAAAAGAATGGTACTTAAAGTAGTGGTTCAGAGTCACAATAAACAGCCTGAGGTGACATCTGAGAGGCAGTTTTGGCGCTACCTGGAAGGCAGAGGTGACAGGAGTACCTGTTAGCCGAAGGCAGTGAGTTTTATGCTGTGGCCTGGCCTTTGCTCCCTGCAGTCTTTCTCGTCTCTTCCACATGTTTGGTGCGTATTCAGGTTTGGGCCCAGCCTACGTGGTGCAAAATGAAACACCATGTGTAATTTCAAGGGTGGACACATCTTAGAGTTCTGAGCAAAAGAAGAATGAGCACTTTATGTGTTGCAGGAACGCTGCTTGCATCTAGTAGATGCTCACAATGTATCTGCTGAACATTGAATGGCATTCATGAAATTAACGCATAAAACTTCCCGTTAGTTTAAAGCAGAGCCTGGGGGTCTACAGTGGAGGGCTTGCCCATCCTTATCAAGCTAGACAACTTGGTAATAACTACTTAGCTAACTCTCCTAACGCTACAGACCAAGAATATAACGCAAGGTAGGGGTACAGTAAAAGTCATGTGAATCTGGAATGCCGGTATTCCAGGCATTTGTTGTGGGTTTCCTGGCATTAGATTGTTCATGGGTCAGTATTGCAAGAGAATGCACATTTTTTACATCATACTCTCGTTGAAGGCAGGGTTTCCTTACTGGCTTACTGATTATATCACTCGCGAAGGGATTAGTCAGAAGGCAATGGAAACATCTTTCGTTTTCATTGTTCAGAGAGAGACTGGGGGTTTGTCTGCACTTTTACATTATCAGTGGGTAGAATCTCCCTTTGAGATTCTTAACAGAGGGTCATGAATTAGTATAAACCTTAGCTGGTCTGTATCCAGGATGAAAAAAATAATCTATTTTGGTGAGCCACTTGAGTCATAGGCTATCTAACTTACGAGCATGCCTACTCTGTTAGGTCCAGTAAAGGATTCAGAAAGAGACTTCAGGAGCTGCCCTGGGAAACAAGACAATAAAACAGTGTTGAATTAGGTTTTCTAGAGTAATGGTGCTCACCCACCTTGGTAGTTCAGACAATCATAGCAGAGCAGAACCAAAATGATATTAAATATATTAATTGATATATCTAATTAATCAGTCATTATTTATTGGTGTACCATTAGGTGCAAGGTATAATTCCTACTCATGAGGACTGAGAAAGACCAGTTGAAGAAGGGTAGAAAAATAATACCAACTTTAAAAAACTCTCTCTGATGTAACAATATAAGGCAATGGTAGAAGGTTGTCACATACAGAATAAGATCAATCATCAGATGTGTAGTTTAAGGATTGCCGTGAATTCAGAAGCAGAAGAATTCTCCAAGGGCTGTCTTCATTTGCAAAGGCATCACCAATGAGCAGGAGGATAGGAAATGCCTGGCATGTAGACGGGAGAGACTTGGAGCAGTTGCCCAAATGCCTCAGAAGTAACCAAGAGCAAGAAGTGGTTGTGATATTAAAAGAGATCAGCTCAAGTAGGGACTTGTGAGATACCAGATTGAAATTTAGATTACCACCAGACGACAGGAGCTGTGGTCCTTGTGACTCCAAGGGTGATCCCTAGACTAGCAGCATTGCATTACCTGGGAGCCTCTTAGAAATGCAGGATTTCCGGTCCCAACTTAGACCTGCAGAATCAGAATATTTGGGTGTGGAGTCCAGGAATTATGCTATAAAAACTGTCCAGTTGATTCTTCTGCATGCTCAAGTGTGGAAAGCACTGCTGCTTAGAACTGGGGCTTGGTTCCAAATGACAATGGAGATGCTTTGAAGAATCATTGAAGATGCTTTGAAGAGGAGAAGTGGCATGTCTTCTAGTGAGCAGACAGACCAGGGCATTTCAGAGACTTTCTTTTACGTGGTAGCCTCTGCTGTATTCTCACTTACCTGTTGCTCACCACCTGGAAAGTGAAATATCTCCAAATTGCCAGTCACTAACTATTGAAGTTGAAATTACATGACTGTTCTCTGAAGTGGTTTCTGAAGGCTGTCAGTAGGCCTTTTCTGGATTCTGATATGGTATGCGTCTAAAATATGTTTCTGTAAGTAAGGATTTTTTAAAGTATATACTTTGCAAAAAAAAATACTCCAATCAACAATAAGAACAACTATAGGGTACTTAGAGTTTAGAACATAAAAGTCATTCATATGTTTTCTAACCATTTAAAAAATCAGTTTCCTGTATTTTGATTCCATTCATTTATCTAGCACTTATCAGGAAATTCAGGTTTCCATGTTACACAGTTTATATGGGCCCTTATAAATCAGTATACCACTTTGATGGAAAAAATTTCCAAACTAAATCATTGCATAATCATTCATAGCAATAGCATCACTGTTATAATAAAATTAGCACAAATTTTAAAGTCTTGGTAAAAAGATTTTTGAATCTTATTTTAGTTTTTCTTGGCAACTTTGGTGTAACAGTTGGCTATAAGAAGGGCTATAAGATGTTAGGATTGCTATTCCTGCTTTAAATAGTTCCAGATTGGCAATTTTGGGGCAATTCTAGCGGTCACCTATTCCCTTATTTCCTAAGCTGGGAAGAATGGAATTTTCTTAAGGTTGAAATCCTAACCTGAATTTTACTGATAGAACCACAAAGTGGTACCTAGCCGACAGATTCACACATGGTGTTCACTTCTGCTGTTGAGTAGCACGTGGGTCCTGGTGCTAGTGTTTCTTTTCCTGCTCAGAGGACCTCTTCTCTCTTACTGATTTACAGTGACGTCCAGATGGTGGAGTTTGCTACAAAGCAGCCCACTGTATGAAAGACATGACATTGTATTCACCTGGACTCTAGGTTGACTCTAAAGAAGGCAAGGGTCCTTTGGTCACAGGGAGAACTGTTGTGTTCCTTCACGAGGTAGCAGAGACTTTGTGTTCTAGAGACTTGAGACCACCTCTATAAATATAACCAGAGCACAGGCTTCCTGTGTGGACCCTCAATACACATTTTTGAATGTTAGCCTCAAGCACCTTCATTTTTGATGTATAAAAAAATGGCATTTTATGGCTGGGCGCGGTGGCGCATGCCTGTAATCCCAGCACTTGTGGAGGCCAAGGAGGGTGGATCACGAGGTCAGGAGATCAAGACCATCCTGGCCAACATGGTGAAATCCTGTCTCTACTAAAAATACAAAAAATTAGCCAGGTGTGGTGACATGCACCTGTAGTCCCAGCTTTTCAGGAGGCTGAGGCAGGAGAATCGCTTGAACCCTGGAGGTGGAGGTTGCAGTGAGCTGAGATCATGCCACTGCACTCCAGCCTTAGCGACAGAGCAAGACTCCGTCTCAAAAAAAAAACAAAAACAAAAACAAAGGTGGCATTTTATTGACAGCTCTATTGAATGATGGTGAGGGTGACTCCTGGAGTAACAGAAAGAGCCCCTGGCTTTGGGACAGACACGGGGTCAAATTCTGGCTGTGCTACTTACTAGTTCCATGGCCTTGGGCAAGTCAACTCCTCTGAGCCTCTGTATCTTTGTGTCAAATGTGGATGTTAACATTTGCTTTCATAATTCTTGCATCAATGGAAAAGTAGCTTATATTTGACATATAGGAGGTGCTCAATAAATGATAGCCATGATTACTCTTTACTTGTTAATTATGTCCTCTCATTTGCCTTAGATTATCATTTTCTAAGCAAACAAAAAGGCCAAGATGGAGATGGTTTGCTCCAAACAGCTAGGTCTCATCACTGTTCTCTTAAGTAAACCAAATGCGTAGAGATGCCCATGTCCTCATGGCTTTCCTGCACCCAGAAAACCCACACCCTACTCATTTTGACACCTTCCCCCTAAATCTCCACTCTTCTATGGAAACTTCCAAATAATAAAATACCATCGAATAATGTTAACGTATTTCATTGGAGTTTCTCATCTCTCCAAAGAGATTGTAGCCTTTTTGAAGTCCTCTATAAATATGTACTAGTCAGCTGATTTGAAATTTGTTTATCATGGAGCCATAGGCTGCTACTGAATGAAGACTAGTGAATGAAAAATCAGAACTAATATTTTCCTGAGCAATTTTTAAGGGGTAGGCAGCTACAATAAAGACACCTTATTTTAGTTTTCCATGAAGTAGCTACTATTGAATCTCGATTTTACAAATAGGGAAACCAGCATTTCCTTTTGTCCAAGTTCATGCAGCTTGTTCACGCAGCTGAGCTAGGATTTTAACCCAGGCAGTCAGGATTCCAAGGCCAAGTTTGGACCCCTATACCACACCAATGAGAATGAAGGATGAGGAAAGCTATAGGAAACTTTAAAAACGTCCATGGAAGGAGTGCCCAAACAGGGACTGACTACAGTCAAATCATGAACTGTTTCAGTTAGGTTCCCAGGCATTTGTGACATTACCCACTCTGTTTAGATAACGAATTTATGTGTTTAGAGAGACCAGCCTCCTATCTGCATTGTCAGCCATCAGTCTAAATCAAAGCTTCCACCCAGTCCTGAATCTCTCCCTTACTTGGTCTAACCACCTTTCCAAGTATTTAGGAACAAAAGATTTGTGAACAGATTAAACACAGGCTGCTTTTGTTCCACTCCTACAGCTACCTATGCCTGCTTAATGCGGACTACAGGGTGTAGACTGGAGTCTGCGCTCGTGTATTTTAAACACACGCGGGAATTCAGCACCTTCCTCCGACAGCACAACAATGGTTCAACAATTCTTCACAGAAGACCCCGCGCTATTATAGCAAATATTTATAAGTTTATCTCACCACACTGCTCAGTGTTCAGAGTAAATCTGAATGGAAATATGGAGATCAAAGAATTTAATAATTTAAAAAACCCTTTCACGCTTTATCTGTCATCAAATGAAAGTATTAGTGAAGTGGTATGGAAATCCTCTTCAGCGTGCCTTCAGCCACCAGCTGTGCCACTTAAGATTTAAAACAATGTGATCAAGTGTTCAGAATCCATGGGATTGAGTTGTATGTTTACGTTAGTGTATTATTTCCAAGTTTCCAGTTTCCCCCGGATTAGCACATTTTAATTTCGGCTTTATTAAAGCAGTCAGAACATGAAAGGGGATTTAGCAGAGTGGAGATGTCAACCACGCTTTCTTGCCATCATGAAATGGTTTACTTGGTTCTGGGCAGCCATGCATATGAATCCAACAACATGTCTATAAGACTAAAAGTCAGCCAAGTGGGACAAGAAATGCAATTATGGAGTGAAACCACAGCTATCTAAACACGGTCGGGACCTTCAGGTCCTCAATTTGATTTCATATGACCCTACAGTTATGAAAACCCAACACAGCATAGTATCAACTAAACAGTAAATGCTTTAAATGCTAGGCATTCCTGGAGTGGCTCACATAAGCCCAGTATGGTGTTAGGCATTGTAGAGACATGGTCAGATACAGGAGACATGGCCCTGGGAACTCCATGAGATACCTCTTGTAGGAAGCCATGGTTTTGATGGGGGTGCACTTTGTCCATCAGTGTGCTGGGATAGAAGACTAAAAGCCACTGGTCCAAGAAATGACTCTTTAGTTAGATTTACCAACACATGAAATTATCAGAGAAAAATGCAGTAGAATCACCAAATGTTCATGTTAGAAGGCACCCCAGCAGCTGCCTAATCTGCTGGTTCCCAAACCCCACTCATCAGTAGGAAGTACCTGGGGAATTCAAAAATAAATGCACATTCCCAGGGCCCACCCCAGAATCAGAAGCTCTGATAGAGGGGCCTGGAAATCTGGATGCTTTAAAATGCTACCAAGGGGTTCTAAACGTCCACCAGCTCATCTGGTCCAGCCTCTCAGTGAACAAAGAGTATTTCTGTTCACAGCCTTGCAAAAGTGAACATCCAGCCGAGGCCAGCATCCCCCAGGTTGGAAGGAACTCATTGTAGAACAAGGCAGCACGGGTCCGATGTTGCACAGAGGATTGGAGTTACTAGAGGTTTTTCTTCTAGTGTAATCAAAGGAACCTTGCTGTAACTTCTACCCACTGGGCTTAGTTTGACCCTTTGCAGTGACACAGACCAAATCTCCTTCCAATGTGGAAATCCTTCAAATATTTTAAGAGTTTCTCTTCAGTTTGTCCTTTGTCTGATACTTATTTGCCCATTCATTCAGTTCAGACTGCCAGTCTCCTCTAACACTGGATTTACTGGGGCTGGCTGTTGCACTTCCCTCAGCTGCTTCTCGGAGGTCCTGGCTTCTCCTCGCCCTCCTGTTTGCCCTCAGTCAGCGTTCAGTGTAGTGCACAGTGTCTGACACCACACTGACCGTGTGGTCTGACCAGCAGAACCCAACAGGAGCAGCAGGAGCGGTTGCTTCCTGCATTCCAGGCTCTGTCCTGCTTCAACTGAAGACTGTTCTGAGACTAATCAGGGACCCAAACTGATGCAGACAGAAATCTCCGTGGCAGATCAGGAAGGGAAAATGTCAGTGTGGTTGAATTTACCAGGCATGAGTCACGTCCTGGTAAATGAATACATCTGGGGATGGAAGAGAGACACCGTCCTTCCAGTATTCCAAGTGGAGAAATACTGTTTCACTGGATACCTGAGTAACTGCTGCACAGACCACGCTATGCACGTATCATCAGGTCTGCAAGCTGAACAGATGCTCTCACGTGTCATCTCTTAGAGGTAGGATCAGTCCTGGCTGCTATACTCAAGCAGGAAAGGTAAGAGGGGGCAGCTTTTTTTCCCTCTCTTTGTGTAGTGTGAGCAACCTAAATATTTCCATCTAAGCAGGTTATGGTTCCTTCCCACAATTGAAGGGAAATATTGATGTGCCTGTTTATTGGGGGGTCAGCTTCCTGGCCTGATTTGCTTATCTTTAAAACAGTCACAAGAACTTTGCATATTCTTAGGAAAGAAAAGGGTAAGAAAAGAATCATTGTGTCTTGACAGCTGGTTGTAAAGTGAAGGAGTCAGTAAACAGGTTGGTGGTTTTATATACATGAGATTGAAAAAAGTTGCCTTGATTGTTTTTCCCTGAATCGGCTGGTCATTTTAATATCGATGTGGGCATGTTCTAATCCCCTGGTTAGTCAGCGAGATTTCTTTCTAAGTAGAATTAAGCAAGCAAACAAACAAACAAACAACAACAACCAAAAAAAAAAAAAAAAAAAGAAAAACACGGATAGAAAAAACAGCAGCAACAACAACAATAGCAGCAGGAGGAGCCACAATGAAATGGTTCAAGGATTGACCTACCCCAGGACTGCAGGTTTTATTTACTGCAGTATTCAGTACTTGAGCCTCCTGGAAATCAGAACTCCAGCATGACCTCTGTAGGTTTTGCTTTTTCTGTTGGTACAGGAACTGATAAGGTGACTCTTGAGTTTCTGGAATCAGAGTGGCAGCCACGAGGGCTGCGTAGGTTCTGTGTGAGGCCCAGCTCCAGCATCAGTGGTTGGAGACCAGGGAGACGCTTTGAGTTCTTCTTTACTGAGCTGCACGTGCACTGAGCCTGGACAGATGGGGATCTACAAGGGGTGTTTTGAGCACCAGCTGTTAGCCACCTATGTCCTGCCTGGGACACAGGAAGGTGTAAATGTGGGAAACAGGCAGAGTCTCATGCAGTCCCTACACCAGATCGTGGGGAATCGCCTGAGCTCACAAGAAGAGCATTGGTAGAGGGCAAGGCATTATGTGGGCTTTGGCTGGGTTGGGGAAATTGGATTAGAACAAGAATACTTTCATTTCTATGCTCAAAAATCTTTTTCTTTTTCTTGTTTTGAGACGGAGTCTCGCCCTGTCGCCCAGGCTGGAGTGCAGTGGCGTGATCTCGGCTCACTGCAAGCTCCGCCTCCTGGTTTCACGCCGTTCTCCTGCCTGAGCCTCCCGAGTAGCTGGGACTGTAGGCACGCACCACCACGCCCGGCTAACTTTTTGTATTTTTTAGTACAGACAGGGTTTCACCGTATTAGCCAGGATGGTCTTAATCTCCTCGTGATCCGCCCACCTCGGCCTCCCAAAGTGCTGGGATTACAGGCGTGAGCCACCGTGCCCGGCCCGCTCAAAAATCTTATAAGAAATATTTCATAGGTCCTAAACTTCGGCCGCAAACAGCTGGCTACTGGTGGCAACAGGTGCCAGTGAGCAACCTGTTGTTTGATTTCTATTTAAGTTATTTCTTGGCTGGATGTGGTGGCTCACACCTGTAATCCCAGCATTTTGGGAGGCCAAGGTGGGCAGATTGCTTGAGTCTAGGAGTTTGAGACCAGCCTGGGCCTGGGCAACATAACAAAACCCTCTCTCTACAAAAAAATATGAAAAATTAGGCAGGCATGGTCGCATCCACCTGTAGTCCCAGCTACTCAGGAGACTGAGGTGAGAGGACTGCTTGAGCCTGGGAGGCCAAGGCTGCAGTGAGCCAAAATCAAGCCACTGCACTCCAGCCTGGGCAACAGAGTGAGGCCCTGTCTCTAAATAAATAGATAAATTATTGATAGAATCAAAAAGGGATTTGACTAAGGCATCCTCTTGGCCAGAATGGGCAGACTGGAGCGTAAAACTTCTGCAAGATGATCAGGACACAGCATTGGGTAGAGGCCTGAAGCAAAGGTTCCTGAAGCCGTCCAGCTTTTCTGAAGTCCAGGTGAACAGCCAGGGACAGAGGACAGTAGCCAGAAGCCATGCCCCACGAATGGCAATTGATAGAGAAAGCAACCAGTGGGGCGAAACCAGGAGGAAGCCAGCATACTGGAAAGTGATGATTCAGCCTGGACATTGATGCTGGTCATGCAATGGAGGAAAAGAAAGAGTCTCTGCAAAACAGTACCACTGTGCTTTCTATTGGCTGGGTTCCCCTTCTAAAACCCTCCTGATTCTGTCATTTTCAAAGAGGAAACTAACAACACACCATTCCTGCTTAACTTTAGATGCTGCTATTGTTCGTGGCAGGAGATCGCTCTGGTGGTCAGCATTAACGAGATGTAGCCTAGCTGGGGGCTGCTCCATTTGTGCTGTCATATCATGTGATAAAAACTTCTTTTTCCTAAGATGTTGATGACCCCTGGAAAAGGAAAGTGTTCTCTGATCTATTGGACCAAAACTTTTCTTCTTTCCCGTGGCTTTCACACACAGATGGAAGTGAGTGGGACAGGGTGGCGGTAATTTGAGGTCATTCCCTGGGATAAGCAACTCTAATTAGAGGCAGGAAATGTTTATTTGAGTTTTATTGGGTGAGTCAGTTTGGCGCAGCTTTAGGTCACTCTAAACTTGGGGTATCCTGTTTAAGTCAAATAATCATAGTTTTAAGCAACTGGGAACAAATATCAGATATATGTGAATGAAATTTTTACTTTCTCAACCAGCAGACTATAGAGTGGAGTTTTTACCATTTGGCCAACTGTGATTGAATTAAGGCTTTTCTCCAAAAAAAAGGCATCTCCCCTTTTACCAAAAGTGGGATGGACTCTACCCTCTCTGGCTTATAGACAATCATTATAAGAAAGAACCATGTCTACAGGCAATGGAATATTATTTAACCTTAAAAAAAGAAAGAAATTTGGAACAATGTGAATGAAACAGGAGGATATTATGCTAAGTGAAATAACCCAGACACAGAAGGATAAATACTACGTGATACTACTCACCTGATGAATCTAAAATAGTCGAACTCATAGAAGCAGAGAGTAGAATAGGTTGGTGGTTTCCAGAGGCTGGTGGAGGGGGAATCGGGGAGGTGTTCACCAAAAGGCACAAAGTTTCAGTTATGAAGGATGATGATAAGTCCTAGTGATTTGCTGGGCAGCATAGTGCCAATTTCACAATACTGTATTGTATACTTAAACATTTGCTAAGACTGCAGATTTTATGTTTTCTCTCTGTCTCTTTCTCGTGCACACACACACACACACACACGCACGCGCACACCCAAAATAATAATAATAATAATAAAAAGAATGGACAGGAACTTTGGGAGGAGATGGATGTGTTTATGGAATAGATTGTGGTGATGGTTTCATGGGTGTATACTCATCTCCAAGCTTATCAAGTTGTATACATGAAATATGTACAGCTTTCTGTATGTCAACCAGACCTCAAAAAGTAGTTTTAAAAAAAGAAAATAATAAATATACAGCATTGCATTTAGAAAGAAAAGGAAAAAGAAAAGAACTAATCATGTGAAAACCTATTTTATATATTCCATCTTACAACTGGTGTGGATGGAATTGGCCTTTGCTATAGGAGTTTGATTGTGATAACTCTGAATTTGGAGAAAGACCACAAGAAGGTTATTACATACTTGTGTATGGCTTTGAACAATGGGAGTTAGCAGGGGGTGAAGGCCTAGTAGAATAAGGGCTGAAAACATGTGAAAATGACTTTTTAAACATCATTAAGGTGGTTATTTTTGTTATTATTACATAGGAACATTGACATCACTAAAAATAATTATTACTCAGATGAGACTCTTTCATTCTGTATGAATTGACAGGCAAGTCCCCAGTAAGAAAAAAAAATCCTTCTTTCTATTACCCACACTGACCTTCTAGAAATACAGAGTTGGAAGTTCTGGGACACTGACTAGACAAGGCTCTGCCTGTAGTTCACACATAGTCTGTCTACTTTAGAGCTGGAAAGTCCCACTCATCATTATTTACTGTTTTCATTTATTCTAATGATGGTTGTACTTTCTTTGTGGCTTAACATTCAGAAATGGGGAAATAAATTTGATTTGGTGAAGTTCTCCAAAGTGGCTGTATATTTATTGTGTTTCTACCAAGGAAGTGTAGTAGTGAGGAATGAGGATTGCTTGTTTATCTTTTTCAAAGACAATAAAACATTTTGGACAATGGAAATGGGGAAGAGAGAATAACTTCAGGCTGCCTTCTTCCAATCCACCTTGAACTCTGCTTCCAGAAGAGTTTTCCTTAAAATCAACTTGATGCCATTTTACAACTCCAGAAACTTCCAGGGGCCGGACGTGGTGTCTTATACCTGCAATCCCAGCACTATAAGAGGCTGAGGCAGGAGGATCACTTGAGGCCAGGAGTCAGGAGTTCAAAACCAACCCGGGCAACATAGCAAGACTCTTGTCTCTAAAAAAAAAAAAAAAAAAATTAGCTGGACATGGTGGCACATGCGTGTAGTCTCAACTACTCAGAAGGCTGAAGTGGGAGGGTCATTTGAGCCCAGGAGTTCAAGGCTGCAGTGAGCTATGATCATGCCACTGCACTATAGCCTGGGTGACAGAGCAGGACCCTGTCTTGAAAAAAAAAAAAAATAAGATTTTAGGGTTCTTTACTTCCCACCTATGTTCTCAGAAGCACTTTTCTGTCTCCTTCCTACCTATGTCCTGGATCTATGCACTGTTTCCTAAATGACAGTTTTTTTACTGAGCTCACACCTACCTTCCTCATTCCCACATGTGATTTTCGTCTCTGCTTACCTCTGCCCTTCAAGGTTGTGCTTCTAATTTGCCAGGCCTTCTCCTCCTCCCACTCACATTGTTCAAGATTTTACTCAAGTGTAGTCTTTGCCCCAGTTCAGCTTTATCTGAAACAAATTCCTATAGCAGTGGTCAGTTTCACACACCAGTTGTACTATAGAAAATATAGGAGTTTCTGGCCGGGCACGGTCGCTCACGCCTGTAATCCCGGCACTTTGGGAGGCCGAAGCAAGTGGATCACGAGGTCAGGAGATCAAAACCATCCTGGCCAACATGGTGAAACCGCATCTCTACTAAAAATACAAAAATTAGCAAGGTGTGGTGGCGTGTGCCTGTAGTCCCAGCTACCCGGGAGGCTGAGGCAGGAGAATTGCTTGAACCCGAAGGTGGAGACTGCAGTGAGCTGAGATCATGCCACTGCACTCCAGCCTGAGTGACAGAGCAAGACTCTGTCTCAAAAAAAAAAAAAAAAAGAAAATATAGGACTTTCCATAGGACTGTTTTGTGTAATGATCTTCTCTAAGTGATAAAGCCTGGATGAGCGATGATTATTCTCTAGGGGGTGCTAAGATACAATCCAGATGCATAGACTTCACAGTCTGATTGGATACAGGAGAGTTTAGCACATAATTATACAGCATTTTGTGTTGTTTTCCATGATTTCCTGTCTTCAGTTTCTAGCTCTTGAAAAACATAAGCCATGGCTTATATCATCTTCTATATCCCCCAGCCACCTACCCAAAATCTGGGCCCCCAGGAAAGACCTGTTGAATTGATAGGTTAGATGATATAGACATGGAGGGGAGAAGATGTTTCAGAGTGTGAAGTTAGGACCCACAATTTCCTTATATGGTACATTGGAGAAACTGCTCATGCTGTCACCAGCATATCAAGTATGGGCTGTTCCAAGCCTGGTCTTTAGTTGGTCATTTATGTGAAATCGATGTAAGAGCTATAAAATCTTTGCACGTATAAACAGCTGACAGGTGATGGAGAATCTGTGTGTCCAAAGAAACCTAACTGCTGCTAAGGAGAAGCCTCTGGCTATCCGTCACACCTTGAAAGGCAAACAGGGCAGGCCTAGTTTTCTCTTCAAAGACAGGAAAGATTAACGCTCTGGGAAAATGGAGCCCAATGGGAATTTCAAACACACGATGTGGTTCTTCCAGCCAGTAGGTCATTATGAACTATTCTTACCCTAAATGGCCATGACACATAATCTCTTTCCTAATTTTATTATTTTACTTGCTATCACAAGACCGTAACTTTTTAGACATTCAGGTGAGATTAAGGGAGGAGGAGGTGGAATAAGGCTTTTAAAATCTTTGATTACCTCAGAAAACGTATTTGCTTACTTTACCAGGAAGTTGATGTTTTGTTTTGTTTTGTTTTCTACCCATGCCAAGAGGGGATTAATGAGTAGCTGCTGGGTTTGCCAGCTTTCTTTTGATTTCATTTACGTAATTAAGCAGTTCTCAGAATGACTTGAGGTTCTCACCCTGCATCAAAACATGCTTCTCAAATGTGTTAGATTTGGAGGTCAGAAACAATGCAGACTCAGTAGAGTGAGGGGAAATGAAAATTTTACCTTGCTTTAAAACACCCTTAATGTGTAAAAAAAGAGTTGATCGTGCTTTGGGGTCATGAACATGGAGCTTTGTTGAGTAGAAAACAAGTTAAAACTAAAGTTCAAAATGGGCTAAAGTGAGAATAGCTCAAGATGAGGTTTTACAATAGAAATGATGTGGGGAAACCAACTCTGGATTACCTTTGAGTTTCTAGCAATCTGAACCATGTCCATGGTGGGTGTTCAAGAACTCAGGCATTTGACGCAGACATAATAGGAACCCACTATATGCCTGGCTCAGTTCTAGTTGCTGGACTACAGTAAGGAACTAAAGCCACAAAAATTCCTCCTCTCATGGTGCTCCCTGGAGTGAAGGTTGGATGAGCAGATTTTGTTTGAGCACCTCCTCAGGTATGGAGTTTGGAGCTAGTATTGCTTGGGATTGCTAGGAAGAATAAGTGTGTTCCTCAAGGAGCTGAACATCTCACTGGGAAGTGAAGACAACTATCCAAAGAACAAAAGAACCACTCAAGTCCATAACCAAATACTGGGGTGTTGATATAGACAGACCCTCTGAAATGGTGAGAGTGGGCACCCAGCTCCAGGTTCTGCAGACACAGGCTCACGGCAGCAGGCTGGCTTAACTAGCTAACTTAACTAAGCAGTAAGAATTTGCAGTTATGCATACACACACACACACACACACACACACACACATTTTTAGAGGCAGGGTTTCACCGTGTTGCCCAGGCTGGAGCACAGTGGTGCGATCACAACTCACTGAAGCCTTCACCTCCTGGGCTCAAGCAACCCTCCCACCTCAGCCTCCCAAGTAGCTGGAACTACAGGCGTGCACCACGATGCCTGGCTAACTTTTTAATTTTTTTGTATAGACAGGGTCTTGGTATGTTGTTTAGGCCTCAAGCCATCCTGCCACCTCAGCCTCCCAAAGTGCTGGGATCACAGGCATGAGCCACCACACCTGGCCTGCAGATATAAATATTTAGATCACTCTTTGCTTCTTATAGCCCCCTAACCTTTTTTGTTCTTCTATTCACATGGTGTTTGCTTTTAAAAGAGATTATAACAACTTCTCTTTCAGGTTAGTTCAATTCCCTTAAAAAACAGCAAGCCAGAGTTACCAACAGTTCCTGCCCTCATGAAGCACACAGACTACGGCGGGGAGGGGAGAAAGTTATAAATTAATTACACAAATAAAACCTCAGCTGTGCTGAATGCTACAACAGAGAGTGTAGCACGTCACAGGGGGATCTGACCTTGTCAGAGAAGTCAGGGGCAGCTTCCTGGGAGAAAAGATGGTTGTGCTGAGATCTGAAGGGTGAGGAGGGGAGAGAAGAAAACGTTCCAGGCAGAAAGAACAGTGTGAGTAAAGCCCTGGGGCAGAGGGAACAAGCGACAGCTGGAAAGGAGAAGACTGAGAAGATCACACAGACTTTGAAGCATATTAGAGAGTTTTCCGTTTATTCCTAGAGTAACAGGGAGACTTTAATAGAATCAAGCTATAGAGGCTGGGCACGGTGGCTCATGCTTGTAATCCCAGCATTCTGGGAGGCCAAGGTGAGTGGATCACTTGAAGTCAGGAGTTTGAGACCAGCCTGGGCAGCATGGCAAAACCCCATCTCTACTAAAAATACAAAAAATAGCTGGGCATGGTGGCATTTGCCTTACTCCCAGCTACTCGGGAGGCTGAGGCAGGAGAATCACTTGAACCTGGGAGGCGAGGTTGCAGTGAGCCAAGATCACACCATTACACTCCAGCCTGGGTGACAGAGCAAGACTCTCAAAAAAACTAAGCAGTGGACTTAGAGGAGGAAGCGGGGTGGGTTACAAGCAGATTTCTGTTTCGGCAAGGTCCCTCTACCTGGAGCGTGACCAGCATTTGCAATAAATGTGGGGAGCATCAGAAGCAAGGCATCTGCAAGAATCTAGACAAGGGATGATAGTTGCTTGGGCCATAATGGTGGGCATGATGGTGGTAGAGAGAGAGAGAAATGGACAAGTATACAGGGAAAAAGGTACAAAATGCAAAGATACGATAAGTAAATATGACAGGACTTGGTGAGGGCTGAGGGAGAGAGAGGTATTAAATGACTAAGGTTTCTGAAGGGTGAAGCTTTGCCCCGAGACCTAGAGAACTAGTTCATTGGGGTAGATCGTGAAGTCAATTTTGGACATATTGGGCTTGAGTGCCTTTGGGGCATCTGGATGGAGATGTCAGAACCGCAGTTGGATGAGTGGTCCGGAGCTTGTGAGTCATCTGCATAGAGGTGCCTTGGAAACTGGGCGTGGACAAGATCCTCAGCAAGCACTCAGTGAGGATGGGGAGCATCTGGAGCCCAGCCTCGTGGGATTCCAACACTTAACAGCTGGGAAGAGGCGAAGCCCATGAGAGAGGCAGAGAAAACCCTGCCAGAAATTTAGGGGGGAAGCCTGAAAGCCAAGGGAAACAAGTGTGTGTTGAAAGAGGATGTGGTCAGGGAAGAAAGCTGCAGAGAGGTCAAAGAAAATGAAGACTTACGATAATAACTGCTGGAATAGCATCTATAGCAACAGTCATAGCCAATCTTCATTTTGAGACAGGCATTTTAACATATAATTTAACCTTCATGAGAATTCTGTAAGGCAGCTTCTATTACTCAATCATCCTGATTTTTTTTTGAGACGGAGTTTCTCTCTGTCACCCAGGCTGGAGTGCAGTGGCGCAATCTCAGCTCACTGCAACTTCCACCTCCCGAGCTCAAATGATTCTCTTTCATGCCTCAGCCTCCTGAGTAGCTGGGATTACAGGCATGCGCCACCATGCCCAGCTAATTTTGTATTTTTTGTATAGACAGGGTTTCGCCATGTTGGCCAGGTTGATCTCGATCTCCTGGCCTCAAGTGATCTGCCTACCTCAGTCTCCCAAAGTTCTGGGATTACAGGCATGAGCCACTACGCCCGGCCCATCCTCATTTTTACAGATCAGAAAACTGAGCACAGAGAGCCAAAGGCATTTGCCTGAGTCATTTGCAGCCAGTGAGTGATAAAACCGATATGGGAAGGCCTCTTTCTCATCCCACAGCCCCTACTCTTAAAAACTGTGTCCAGTGTTGGTAGAATAAAAAGCATCCAGGGAGGATGATGGGGAGGGGAGATTTTTTCCCCTTCAGAGATTTGGAGTCTCCTAAACACAGTCAAGGAAATACTCCATTGTTGCTAAAGTCCGAGTCCAGGGCTGGTGACTGTGGAATGGGCACTTCAGTGGCTGTTTCAGGTGGTGTGGTTCAGTGTTCAGTGAATGATCCAGCTGTACTTCCCATGTGAAAGGCTTATCCTGGTGCTGCAGGGCAGAGGCTGTCAGAGTGTTGTCCCTGGCCTGCCAGCATTGCCCGGAAACTTGTTAGAGGATTCAGATTTTCAGACTCCGCCCCAGATCTTCTGAACCAGATATCTGAGTTGGGGGGCTCAGGAATCCATGTCCTAACAAGCTTCCATGTGATTCTAATGCACAAGTTTAAGAGTCTTTGTTCTTGGAAGGAATCCTTGAAATGACAAAAAAGGAGACCAGAATAATGTATAATCCTTATATTGCACAGATGCAAGATACCTAGGCAGAAACCAGATGGAGGAGAGTCAGTGCTTCTCAACCCTGGCCGCACATGGGAATCACCTGAGGAGCTTTCACAATTACTAAGGCCAGGCCCCCACCCTCAGAAATTCTGATTCCAGTGGTCTGGGGTTGGCGAGAGCATTTAATTTTTGAAATGAGGATTTGAGTGGAGAATGGATGATTGAATAAACAGTGGGCAAGGCAGCCCATGTACTTCTGATTACAAAATTGTACTCTGGGGAGAAAACGAGGTAGGCTTTGAAGGCGAAGGGCAAAGTAAATGGAAGAAAAGCTGGACTTAGGCCCTTTGTGAATACCGGTAAAGATGGAATAATTCTGGAGACTGGAGTGGGGGTGAAGGTAGTTTGAATTAGTAACAATTCTTAACTATGGACTTTATTTTCAAAGAGATGTCAATAGTAAGATAGATATGCTTTGTAAATAAAGAAGCTCATTGGTAAATGTTACTGAGACCTAATGGAAAATAATATGCTAACATCCTCCTGGAAGCTTCACTTAGACTATACCTATGTGTTAAAAATGTGAGCCGGGCACGGTGGCTCATGCCTATAATCCCAGCACTTTGGGAGGCCAAGGCGGGTGGATCACGAGGTCAGGAGATCAAGACCATCCTGGCCAACATGGTGAAACGCCATCTCTACTAAAAATAAAAAAATTAACTGGGCATGGTGGTGTGTGTCTGTAATCCCAGCTACTCAGGAGTCTGAGGCAGGAGAATCGCTTGAACCAGGGAGTCAGAAGTTGCAGTGAGCTGAGATCGCACCACTGCACTCCAGCCTAGCAACAGAGCGAGACTCCATCAAAAAAAAAAAAAAAAAAAAAAGAATGTGCTCTGCCTCTCTGGCCTTTTAAACCTCACCATTTACTTCGCTAACCTTCCTCTACAACTGATCTGGTCAGTTTACTGGCCCCTAAACTTGCTCACTCCGTTCCCATGTCCTGGCATTGGTTCCTGCTGCCCCCGACCTTCTTTTTCTCTCCAGGCCTAGCTGCATCTAAAATCCTCCATGGCCTCCCAAGTCAGAGAGCTCCTTTTTCTCTGAATCTTTTTAGCACCTGGTGTCTTTCATGCATTCGACTCTTATTTTGTTTTTTTATCATTTTGTCCATTTCCCATCTCCACCCCTGGATTGTAAGCTCCCCAGGACAGCAATGGCTTGTAATTATTTGCCCTCACCTAGCAGCTTAGCACCCTAGGAGCTTAGAATATAATAGTCAAGAAACGGTGCAAAGAGAATGTCAGTCCATCCTCTCCCCACATCATCATGGATTGCAGGTAAGAGGGGGCCACCTACAATAAGGTGTGACTGTGGTTTGGCCGTTCTGAGGGCTGCCTTGCAGGAGGAAACCATAGGGGATCCTGGAAGGAATATCCTCCAAAGTAAAAAGTGGCCCTCACAGTGCATGGGGGTTCACAGTCTTGATTCCACATTGCAATCTATTGGTCTCCTGGGACTGCCTCAACAAATTACTGCAAACTTGGTGCCTTAAAACAATAGAAATGTATTCTCTGGCAGTTCTGGAAGCCAAGAGTCTAGCATCACTGGGCCTACATGAAGGTGCTGGCTAGGCTGTTCTCCCTCCAGAGGTTCCGCTCCTTGCCTCTTCCAGCTTCTGGGGCTGTCTGCATCCTTTGGCTTGTGACTGTTTCACTCCAATCTCTGCCTCTGTGGCCACTTGGCCTCCTCCTCCCTGACTCAGGTCTTCCTCTACCTGCCTCTTATAAGGACACTTATGATTGTATTTAAGACCCACGCTGGTAATCCAGGATAACCTCCCTATCTCAGGATCCTTCACTTAATTACATCTGCAAAATCCGTTTTTTTTTTTTGTTTTTGTTTTTTTTTTTTTTTTTAGCCATATAAGGTAACATTCACACATTCAAGGGTTAGGACCTGGATATCTTCTAGAGGAGGATTGTTCAACCTACCACACATATAAAGACAACTGGAGCCCCAAAAGGGCAGAGACTTGTCCAAGATCACACTTCCAGATGACAACAAAAATCAAAGATCCAGGTCTCCTTTCTGTCCATTTAGGCTTCTTCCACTAGACCGAGGTGATGCCCACCGAAGGCGGACAGAGAAAAAGTAAAATTGTGCTTCATACCCTAATCTGTGTGCTTTATTCGTTTGTCTTCTTTATGGATCAGGTGCTACCAGGATTCACCCACCTTTGAGGCTTCTTCCCCCTTGAGTCTTGGTAACCTTACACTGAGCTCACACTAAGCTGGCCTGTGTGGGCAGCTGCAATCAAATGACCCAAATGGCATTTTCTTCTCTCCTTTCAGGACCGCCTCTTTTTCGTCATGGAATATGTAAATGGTGGAGACCTCATGTTTCAGATTCAGCGCTCCCGAAAATTCGACGAGCCTCGTTCACGGTTCTATGCTGCAGAGGTCACATCGGCCCTCATGTTCCTCCACCAGCATGGAGTCATCTACAGGTAGCCTCTTCTCTCCTCCTCTTTCCTGAAAGTGAAGAAAATAAAGGATGCTTCAGACACTTGAACTGACTTCAGCTCCTGCCCACTCGTCTCTTAGCAACCTGCTTTAGATTAGTTGTTTGTTCCAATTTGCTTACAGAAGACTTTTTTGGGGGCTGTTTATTCCTGTGAATGTTAGTATTTGAATGGCCCTGGGAGATTTGACCCACTGTTTGTGCCAGTTTTGATTTAAAGCTCAAGCATGACATTTTAAAGGCTTGGTGCCAGGTGACCTTGGTGTGACCTTCGTTTTTCTCTCTCTCCTCCACCCTCTTCCTTGAACATCAGGGCATTCTCTTTACGTGTTTCTTCTGTGCCATGAACTTCCTCCCCTTCCTAGTCTCTTGCCACTTCCTGAGTTTGTTTGGCTTAGTTTTCTCCAGCAGATAGAATCAGGGAAGGAGGAGTTGCTTGAGGGACTGGGGGTTTATGATCTTGGGTGGGGAACAAGGAATGGGAACTAGACAATATCCAACAGGAAGTTACTTTTTGCAGATCATCCAATCCTTTATTACTGCCCACTCCCCTTCCAAGAAACACACGCACGTCCACACACACATGCACGCGCACACTGATTTTCCATGAAGAGAACAAAACTACAAAGGCTCTTCTGTGAGGTCAGGAATTCTGGGAGGAGTAAATATTTATAATTAGCCACAAGGATACTCAAGTTCCTTAAGGTTTTCTCAATGGCTGTTAATTTCTTCACTTGGTCTTTGCTTCTTCTTTTTTTATTTTATTTTATTCTATTCTATTCTTTTTTTTTTTTTAATTGGGTAGAGGAGTAGCTGGCTTCGTTTCACCTAGAACTTGGTGAAACCAAGTATGGACATCATCTTGGTCTAGTGGAAGAAGCCTAAATGGACAGAAAGGAGACCTGGATCTTTGATTTTTGTTGCCAACTGGAAGTGTGGCATTGGACAAGTCTCTGCCCTTTTGGGGCTTCAGTTGCCTTATATAAAGGTTGGTAGGTTGAACAATCCTCCTCTGAAAGATATCCAGGTCCTAACCCTTGAATGTGTGAACGTTACTGACCTGCTCCTGGGAGCAGTGCCCTGGCCAGATGTTCTTCAAGGCATTCTGGTCAACCCCACTCCAGGCTTCCCTTCCTTCTGCCATCTCTTAGCTTCCTTAGTCAGTGATTTCCTAGAGCCCATATAATAAAGTCCATACTTCCTAGCCTGCCATTCATGGCCCTCTGCCATGGGAATCGACGCATTTGTTTTCTATTGCTGCATATCCAGTGACCACAAACGGAATGGTGTCAAATAGCATCCATCCATTATCTCACAGTTTCCATTGGGTCAGGAGTCCAGGCATGACTTACCTACATGCCCTGGTCAGTGTATCACGAAGCTGTGATTGAGGAATCAGCCAGGCTGCATTCTGTTCTGCAGTTTGGGCTCATCTTTCAAGCTCATGTGCTTGTGGGTAGAATTTTTTTCCTTGCAGCTTTAGTACTTATGTGGCTTGCTCCTTCAAGGCCAGCAGGAGAGCAAGTCTTTTCTGCCGTAAGTCTCTAACTTCAGGGAAGGTCTGGGCCTTCTTTTCAATGGCCCTAATCAGGCTTACCCAAGATAATGTCCCTTTTGATTAACTCAAAGTCAGATGATTAGGATCCTTAATTATATCTGCAAAATCCCTTTGCCATATAATGTCACATAACCCCAGTAGTGATATCACATCAGCTTTGCCATATTCTGTTGGTTAGAGGTAAGTCACAGGCTCCACCTTACTCAAGGGCAAAAGATTATGGGATTATACCAGAGCATGAGTTGGGGGTCACTTTAGGCTGTGTCTGCTACAGCTTCATATACCTTTCTCTCCTCACTTCCCACACCCCTTGTTTCGCACCCACAAAGTTTCTTAGCTTTTCTCAAACTCACCTGCCAATTTCCAACTTTGCTGTGCTTCTGCCCTCATTTGCACCTCCTCTGTCCAGCCCCAAAACCCCATGTAGCACTGCCTGCCTGGCCCCATCAGCCAGAGTGAGTCCCTCCGTCCCTCACACTTTCCTTTGTGAAGAAATCGCAATTTGAGACTTTCATTGCTGCACCTGCCCCTGTTCACCTTGTGGTAGGATTAGACATCTATATGGATCCTTCACTAAGTTTCAAACTCAAAGGGCCATTTCTTCTTTTTATTAAACCTTCAATCTTCCTTTATTCTTAATCTACATGCTCTTCTTGATTTGTGCATAATGAATATCAACCATTGACTTCAGTTAATGGTCTGAATGGCCTTAATCCCTATCCTCAAAGCAATTTACAAGCTACTTAGAGATGCAGGAGTTGGATACAATGCACGTACTTCAAGGCTGTGCATTGTTAGGTGCCAAGGACAAGAAGAAAAACGCCATTTCTTGAGATGCCTTCCCCATCTCTAATACAGTGAGTACAATCACCAACATTTTATTGCAGGGATACAGAGACTCAATTTAAGGAATGTGTCCAAAGCCATACTTGGTAAATGACAGACATAGGAGGTATAACTGACACACCAACTCATGCTGCACACCATGACACTTGGTACCCTGCCTTTTCAAGTCCAACTCTAAACTCCTTCACTAATCATTTTAGGTACTCCAAAACTTGACCTTCCCTTAGACATTTCTGCTTCCCTAAATGAATGCCTTCCTCTCACCAACCTGTGACCACTTTTGCCCTGTTGGCTTCTATGAGCCATTCTCTTCTCCCCACTTGCCTTCCCATTGTCCTAACCATTCTTATCACAGTGGCTGGCTCCTTCATCCTCTAAATGCTGGTTTTCCCCAGGGCCTTCCTCCCTCCTCATTCTTATTCTACATACTGGGCAATTTCAACCTTCGCATGGCTTCAGACAACTTCTACATGCCAATGACTCTTCACATATGTATATCCAGCATTCCTCTATATCTAGCCCCCCATTATTTCCAGAGCCCCACACAAGATCTCTTCCGTTAAACCTCTCCCCATCAATGTTGGACCTTCCCAGCCTTCTCCCTTCTTCCCTGGCTAGTTTGCAGTAGTTACTGTCTTCACTAGCTCACTGCCCCTTGGTTTTCTGCCCTCCAGTCTATCCATCCACCTCCCCTCAATGGCTGCCCACAATTCTTCTAAAACACAGACTGGTTGTTGCATGTTCCCCTTCTTAGCAGCCTTCAGCCCTTATAAGATAAAGTCCAAACCCCTTTGGGAACCAGACCCCTTCACGCCCTGGCCCCGGGGCTGCTGTGCATAGCTTTGTAGTTTGGGCCCAGCAGAAGTGAGGGGCACAGGCCGCGGGTTGGGGAAGGCATCCAGCCCCTCTCCACTTGCATGGGGAGCTTCAGCCCTCAGCAAGAGATGCTTTTCTGCCCAGAGGAGATGGAGTTTTATGCTTCTCACAAAGACACCCTACTGTTAACAGGGCCCCGATGGCCATGATGACCTTTTGGCCCTTATCCCTATTGCCACCCTTTAGGCACTCCAAATTACTTGCCATTATCCCCCAAATACCATTGCCTCTCACTTCTCTGAGACTTTGCCCCCATTGTCCCTAGGATTCCCTTGCTCCTAATCTGTGTCTGCATCAGTGGTTCCCAGATTGCATCCAAGATCTGACTGCCTCAGGGTCTCTGGTTTAAAAAAATACAGATCCTATAATACTTGGGGAGGGGAAATAGGTAAGGGGATGGGTGAAAACAGAATGGTCATGAGTAGGTGATTGCTGGAGATGGATGATGGGCACTTGGAGTTCACTATTCTGTCTACTTTTATGTATGTTTTGCCATAATAATCATAAACACAGATTCCAGAGTAATACTCCTGGAGCTATTGATTCAATAGACCTGATATATGGAGTTCAGGAATTTGTATTTTAAAAAAAGTGTTCTCTAGGTGATTGGGGGACCGTAGCTCAAGAGAATTTCATCCTCAGGACCTCTTCAAGCACTCCAGCTGTGAGCGGCCTCCCCTGACTCCCTCCCCTAGTGGGATCATGCCTCCCTGAGCAACATGACAGTCTCTTTATTGTGCATTTTGCTTGTTCCCTCTGCCACCCTTGGGTTTTTACTTATGATACCTCTTCTGTGATTGAGAACTCCACCTGAGAGTGCTTACCTAGTTGATCTAAGACAGTACCCTACTGGCAGTAGATGATCAATAAATATTTGTTCTTCTAGTCTCTCCTGCCCCAGAGTCTTCTAATCCAGTGGATTGCTACCTCACAGGTATATATTTCTCCAGTCTTTGTTTGAAGCATTTCTAGTATACAAGATATTTTTTTCTGTGACCCTAGAAAACACCCCATTTCCTCTTATCTTTTATTTTATGGATTTATGAGGACCCTGTGGTCTGTGTTCCCATGCTGCCTTTGTATCAAGCTGCAAAAGGCTCTGTGGGGAGGTCTATA
Source organism: Homo sapiens (assembly GCF_000001405.40). Taxonomy (NCBI): domain Eukaryota; kingdom Metazoa; phylum Chordata; class Mammalia; order Primates; family Hominidae; genus Homo; species Homo sapiens. The sequence goes on from NC_000002.12 coordinate 46,090,773, forward strand.
TGAGGTTGATGGAGAAGCTGTACATATGTGTTTCTGCCTGTTTGCTTCTGGCCATTCTGATCCAGGCAGAGACCATGTTTTATGTGATACAGGGAATTTATGTGGGAGACAGGCAAGACCAAATTTAGGAGGACAAGTGTCATTGCTTAAGTTGAGATAGAATTTTCCAGCCTTCCTGTTGGAATTGATATACAAACTAATTAGCAGCTAATTGGTTCATGTCCAAGAAGTAAGAGAAGTCATTTCTCTGGCTCACACTTGAAAGAGAGCCCAAACAGATAGACACAATCTCCTTTTCCTCTGGTTTCTTTTCCCCCTAGACAGCAGAGGGTGCTGTCTCTGTGTCCCCTGCTGGACACGGGGTGGGGGAAGCAGGGGGAGGGCTGGGTGGGGGTTCCTGTCCCTTGTGCTGTAGTAGAAGAATGCATTAGATCACCTGTTTCCACTTTTCCTAATTATGGCATTTAACCACCTGCCCTCCCCATACACTTGTAGGCACTGTGGGAGGTTTTTGAAGGGTGGGCTTTCCGTCCAAGGTTGATTCAGGGAAATTCCTCCTCCTCAACATGCTGCTCAGTGCTTATGCATGTTAGTCTCCGAGCTGCTCAACAGCAGCAGCTGACTTTCAGAGAATACTCCCTCTGTCCCCATGTCATGAAGGAGAAATTTTGTGATGATGCCTCAGACAGTGAGGGGAGTAGAGGGGCCTGGGAATGGAGTTGAAGGCTTGGCAGCCAGGAAGGTATCTTTTTATTCTTTTGTAATCCAGAAGCCAGGAGCGCTGTGCAGCAGAGGGTGGAGAAAGACGTAGATTCCATAGCCCTGACCAAGTGTCCCCATGTTTTCTGCCTGCATCCTCATCAATAAAGTAGGGATGATAGTTATACCTGTCTCACAAAGTCGTAGGGATTTCATGAGTGAATAGGTCTAAGTAATTTTAAATAAATACCACCTGCCACAGAGTAAGTACTCAGTAAATGTTAGCCAGTCACATACCTCGAATTTACATTACTAAGATACAGTGAAAGAACATTAGAGATTTCTTATCCATCCCGGTCTCCAAAAGGAATGCCTGAAATCACTTTAGAGAAATGAATTATTTCTTGTCCTTTTTTCTTCATTCTTCCCTTCTGATAAAATCGAACTCTTTCTTTTTTGAAATGATAAAGTAGTAGTCATAGGAAAAATAAAAATCTAAGCAGTGAAGAAAGGCGTAAAGTCCGTTTTTCTTCATCAAACTCATAACTACCCAGGGGTAAACAGTTTAACAGTTTCTAGAGAACTTTCTGAGAAATCTTCGTGAGCAACTTACAAAACCTCTTTGTGACTGGTCTCCACTTGTGAAGTTTAGATAGTACCTGCCTTGTCTCTTTCAAAAGGTAGCTGAGAGTGATTGCTGGAAGTCAGACTGTGATAGAGGATATGAAAGCCAGTGGGAAATGACAGAGCGTCTTATCTATGTCACATATCATGAATAATTAACATTTGTCATTTTGAGCATTAAAATTTGGTCTTTATCCACCAGCAGAGAAAGATGTAAGTTATAGACTCTTCCTCCTTAGATTCTCCAAGCCTTTTGATCTCTAATGAGCCCTTATCATCATTCCCTGAGAGTCAGTCTTGCCTTAGTGCCTGTCGTGTGCCCGGTGCCAGAATTGGGCAGAGGGGAGACAAGGAGAAAGGAGGTGCCTCTGCCTTGGCCAAGCCTAGATTCTTCTGTACTCAGGAGGTACTTAGAAAGGGCTTTCCTTGTTGACCATGATGTTTATAAAAAGTCAGATAAGAATCAAGAGCAAGGAACAAAAATCCAGTCAGAACCTCAGTGCACCTTATAAACCTGTCTTAACTATCTTGTTCTCTCCAGAGCTGGGGAACAAAGCCCAAAGGAGAGGCTTAGGAGGGGCTTTCCTAGAAGAAGCTGGGGTTGTACTGAGGTCTCTAGCTGTGCCCTCCAAACCAGGCCTCCGTATGGAAAATGCATACGAAGTTGTGATGTAAATTTTAGTCCTGCCATCCTGCTAGTCAGAGGGGAAAGTGTGTGCCTTAATCTCTGGAATCATATCCTGCCATTGGCACACAGTTAGGGATTTGCTGACATGAATGAAGGTCTTTAGTTAAACCTGAGTTAATAACTGGAAGGTCTAACGTGTAGTCTCATCCTCTTTTAATACATTATCAAGTTATTTAAAGCTCTAATACAAAGAAAGGGAGGAGAAGGTAGGGGCATCTCTTTTTGCCTTTGAGTCTTCTAGGACCTGACCTTTAGAAAGTCACTGAGGGTACTTGGGGATCGTTTTCCCCAGAGAGCATCGTTCTTAGCTGTCAGCGTTACCCCATCCATTATAGAAAATGATATTTTGACATAAAATTCCTAAGGATCTAAGGGCCGAGTCTCTAATGGAAGGAAATCAGCTACCATGGCAGAAATGATGAGTTAAATCAGGGAGGGCCTTGGAGACTGCATAATCCATCTCCTTCGTTTTATAGGTGCAGAACTTGGAAACCAAAATTGTGGAATAACTCACCCGAGTTTACACAATGAGATAGTATAAAGCTTAGATGTTACTTCAGTCAAAGATATACATACAGATGAATTAGTTCTACATGGTGTTTTGGTTAATAAAAAAGCAGTTTTTTTTTTTTTGCCTTCCCTCCCCTCAATTTCCCCTTCCAAAGAAGCAACCACATTCAACTCGCAGCTGGGTCTTTTGGTATGTACCTCTGTATTTAGAAATAACATTATCTTATTGTACTTTTCTTTTTTTTTTTTTTTTGAGATAGGGTCTTGCTCTGTTGTCCAGGCTGCCATGCAGTGTTACAATGATAGCTCACTGCAACCTGGAACTCCTGGATTTGAGCAATCCTCTCACCTCAGCCTCCCAAATTGCTGGGATTACACAGGCATGAACCATGGCACCTAGCCTTATTGTTATTTTAAAAACAATTATTTTACACATTATCTAGTGACCTACCACTGTGGAAAATGAGGTTTTAGTTCCGTTTCTCACCCACTACCCACCTCCACAGCCCTATCACATACGCACACCCTTCCCAACCTCCCATCCTCTCAATATGGTTTACTGTAATTTTGGTTAAATGAATATATAGTATACATTATTATAACTGTGAAATACCATTTGGAATTCAGTTATGTGGTATGCTATAGTTACTTTTCCTTCCCAGTGCATTTTTTTTGTTTATTTTCCCTGAAGTTAATAAATATCTCTTTGTTTTCTATGTAATTATTATTGATTCAACCACAAACTCTCTACAAACTGTCCATATCTCCTTTTAGCATGTTTAGGTATAAGCAGTATTCTATCAATTTCATATTCTTGGATACATTCTTTGCCAAGCCTTGTAAACTATTCCAGTCTAAATGGTTACCTTCTGCCCTGTGTGCCTGCTGCAAAGCTGTCACCCTGGGATCCCACTTCACTTTCATCCTAGGCTTCCTTTTCCCACTATCCTGTGAAGCTCCTGGTTCCAGTATTCCTTGCCTTCCTCTTTCTTTGTATACTGCATCAATTTGGTGAAGCACCTTTAGTAGATTTCTGAGAACAAATATATAGGAAGTGAAATATTGAGACTTTCCTTTTATATCTAAAATCATCTTTATTTTACTCTCAGACTTGATAAAGAGTTTGACTGGGCATAGAATTTTAGATTAAAAAGAATCTTCAGATGAGATCATGTCCTTTGCAGGGACATAGGTGGAGCTGGAAGCCGTTATCCTCAGCAAACTAACACAGGAACAGAAAAGCAAACACTGCATGTTCTCACCTACAAGTGGGAGCTGAACGATGAGAACACATGGACACATGGTGGGGAACTACACACACTGGGGTCTGTCGGGGATGGGGTTGGGAGGGTGGGGAGAGGGAGAGCATCAGAAAGAATAGCTAATGGATGCTGGGCTTAATACCTAGGTGATGGGATGATCTGTACAGCAGACCACCATGGCATGCATTTACCTGTATAACAAACATGCACATCCTGCATAAGAACTCAGAACTTAAAATAAAAGTTGAAGTTAAAAAAAAAAAAAAGCATTTTCACTCAATTTTAAGGTATCATTCCATTGTCTTCCAGCTCTCAGTGCTGCTGTGCAGAAGTCTGAAGTCAATTGAATTCTCAATCATTTGTATGGATCTATTTCTCTTTTCCAGAAGTGTGTTAAAGCTTTGTCTCCATTATTCTAAAATTATTGAATGATGCGATATAGGTCTGTTTTCATCTATTGCACTCGCCCGGCATAGATCTCTTCAATTTAGAAAATTAAGCCCTTCAGTTCTAGAAAATGTATTACTTATTTCTTTACTGATTCTTTCTCTTCTGTTTTCTCTTTCTGGAACTATCATTCAGATATTGGACTAGTCAACTTGGGGTTCACTGTAGACTAATCTGGGTGGCCCACTTAGTTGGGGAACCTCAGACTATCACTATTTCTAGGCCTTTCCTCTTGGAGTGCTTCGATTACTCCCAGAGTCCTGCCTAAAGGGAGACGGCCTGGTGGCCAGCATCGCAGGAACCAAGTGAAGCCAGATTAGAGGACCCGGCTTCCAGAATACACATGTTTATTTAATTCTCCTGTGTTCAGTACTATACCCTCATGCCCATCTACCCCCACTCCATGCTTAGTCTAGAGATCCTGTTTCACTTCTCCAGAGAATAAACCTCTAGGGACAGGGAAGGGGCCGTGCCAAGAAGAAAAGAGAATCTGGATTTATAACTAGTTTTCAACCAAATCTCTCTTTTCTCTCGCTCCACATCACCCTCATCTCCAGAGTAACTGTTACTGCATATTTCCTGAGCTTTGGGGATAGGAAGATGGAAATTCTGCAGCAAAAATTTCATTGCTCTTGACCTTCCCCATTGCTGGTTCAGGATTCAGTTTTCTTGGATCTACTAATTCAGTTACCACTCATCCGTTTACTTTCAAGATTCCAACATTGTGTTGCATTCTTTTCTTACTCTCTCCATCTTTGTGTGTAATTTTGAGAAGGAAAGTAAAATAGTGGTGAATATTCAATATCTACAGTCTTTATCCAGAAATGAACAAGAATCGTAATAACAGCAGCAACAACAATAATAGCAAAACACTTATTTAGCCTTTGTGTAGCCAGACACTATTCTAAACACTTTGCACATGTTACTTATTGAGTCATCACACCAACCTTATACAGTAGAAGCTCTTACTGTCCACTGGATTTACAACCTTTCCAAAAAGGAGATGTTGCCACATCCTACCACCATCACTGGCACTGTGTCAGGTCACCCTGTCCTCTCTGTTGCCAGTCACAGTTTTACATGGGAAGCAACATTGTATGTTGGAGACAGCACAGAGTTTGAGGTCAGAAGAATGAGGCTGAATCCTGGGTCTGCCTCATCTTTGTTGTGTTTTCCTGGGTAGAATAATTAAACTGTTTGAAATGCAGTTTTCTCAGTGTTCCATGGGAATTATAATGCAAACCTCTCTGGACTGCTTTGAAAATTACATGAGAAAACATTTGCAGAAGTGCTGAGTGCAATCTTTGACACCTAGTAAGCTCCATTATTATTGGTTGGCTAAACGGAGAACACAGTTCTGGAGTCAGAAAGTGAATGGACTGAATCATGCCCCCAACCCCCAGATTCTTATGTTGAAGCTCCAATCCCCAGTACCACAGAATGTGATGGCATTTGGAGATAGGGCCTTTAAAGAGGTAATGAAAGCAAAATGAGGTCATTGGGTGACCTAATCCAATATGACTGATGTCCTTATAAGAAGAGGAGGTTAGGACACAGACAAGCACAAGGGAAGACCTTGTGAAGAAACTGGGAGAATACAGCCTTCTGCAAGCCAAGGAGAGAGACTCAAAAGAAACCAACCCTGCCAGCACCTTGGTCTTACACTTCTAGCCTTCACAACTGCAAGAAAATAAATTCCTGTTAAGTCGCTCAATCTGTAGTTTTTTGTTATGGCAGTTCTAGCAAACTAATACTGAGAACCTCAGTTCAAGTCCTAGTATTGCCACTTACTAACTGTGTAATGCTGGGCAAATGACCTCATCTCTCTGAGCCACAGTTTCCTCATCTGTAAAATGGCTCCACTAATGTATATTAAAATAAGAGGGCAAGGCCTGCGGACTTGGCATAAATTGTAATAGTTAAATAAGCTACTGGGCATAAAAATGTCTCTGGGGTTGTTTAGGGGCTCGGCCAGTGCCTGAGGAGTTACAGGTACCCCCACGATGGTGGCAGTGCAGTAACACTGCAGTCTGGGAGGAGCAGGTTGGTGGATATGTGAGTCTGTGTCTCTTTTACAGGCTAAGGGCCCAGATCTCACAACCAGGTGATATTTTATTCTTGTGGTCACTTTGGGACCCAGGGACAGGATATATTGACACTGATAAACGTGCATGACGGTAACCAATGGGCTGGAAGGGCTGACAGATCTGCTTGCATTATAAAGCTGCAAAGTCGGCAGGGTGCAGTGGCTCACACTGGTAATCCCAACACTTTGGGAGGCCGAGGTGGGTGGATCACAAGGTCAGGAGATCGAGACCATCCTGGCTAACGCGGGGAAACCCCGTCTCTACTAAATATACAAAAAAAATTAGCCGGGCGTGGTGGCGGGCGTCTGTAGTCCCAGCTACTCGGGAGGCTGAGGCAGGAGAATGGCGTGAACCTGGGAGGCGGAGCTTGCAGTGAGCCGAGATCACACCACTGCATTCCAGCCTGGGAGACAGAGCGAGACTCCGTCTCAAAAAAAAAAAAAAAAAAGCTGTGAAGTCTGACTTTGGTGTCTTGACTTCCCTGTTGGGCTCCCTTTGCACCCAGCCACCTTCATGAGAACCCGGCCCAAGCCCTGGTCCCTATGTGACCTGCTTCAGCAAAGAAGCTGCCTTTGGAAATGTGCACTTTAGTTATAAAAGTCATTCTGTCCCTCTCCCATGTCATATAGATGAAGAGCTTGTCCCCTACTAAAGGAATGCCAAATACCAGCATGAGTTTTTCAGGAGTCATCACTTTTATATGGGTCCAAATCTACTTGAGGCTGAGACTATCTTTATCCCAAACTGATTCCATGCAGTGTTACCTGCCAATGACAGTTGGGGGGTGAAAGCATTGTGACCTAACAAAGGGGAAGGGAGGAGGAGAGAGGAGAGCCTGAGCTGGCTGGGATGAAAGCCAAGTTTACATTCCTTGGAGGAAGCCGCGTTATTGCTGACCAGCTTAGAAGTAGAATTCTGACTGCCTTTGACATCAGAGGTTTAGAGCAAACAGGAAGTTTGGAACCAAAGGGAAATTCCTGATTAAATTTGAGTGTTTCAGCTAGTAATGTGTGTTCAGAGCAAAAATTATGAGGGACCCCGTCATCTCTTATTTTTGTGTCTTTCATGGTAGCTCATATAGAACTGAGAACCCATTATAGTGGTTAAGGGCACAACTCTGGAACCCCTGGTCTCTAACCCTGCCTCTGCGCTCATTAGATCTGTGATGTTGGGCAAAGAACTTAACTTCCCTAAACCTCAGTTCCTTCATCTGTTAAATGGGGTTATTACTCCCCCCCCAACCCACACAGAAATATTGTGAGAATCAAATGAGAGTTAGTACAAGTAAAGCAGTAACAACTGGTTCTAGTACAGAGTAATTGCTCACTAAACATTAATTAATGTTATTATTATCATTGTTATTTTGCAAGTGGCTGAGTGCACAGTTCATAAGATTCACTTTGTCCATCTCAAAAATGGGGATGAATGTATCCTGCTAGTTAGTAAACTGATGAAAACACTTTGTCTAGTTAGAGGCCTCCAAACAAGGGCTAATTTGAGGTGTTGGGACCTGTCCTATATAGGGGAATTTGACATCAATATATTTTATTTTATGACTATGCTGTGTTCTATAGAAAGTAGATGCCTTGGAACAATTATTGCTGCAATATATTCAACAGCCAGTACTGAATGCTCCAAGGCTTAGTCATATGATTTTTGTTTCTTCAATGCCTTTGGCTATTGAATCATTAGATTGAGCTACTAAAAATGAGAATTGTTTCAGCAAACAAGTGGCAGCTTTGCCGTGGTAAGCAGAGTCCTGTGTGAATGTTTGAAGTTGGTCTCTGTGGTCCCTCCCAGTTGGCCATGTTTGTTTCAAGATGACTCAGGCTGGAGGTGGGGTGAGGAGGAGAGTGGTAGGGGGTACCATAGTGAGCTGAGGTAGTGGAGACTACACTTAATTGGCTTTGCTTCCCTCTGGTCATGCAGCAGCAAGCTAAGGATTCATACTGCTAATTGTTGCCACCTTCTCTCTCCTTGCTTCTGGGTCTCTTCTTCCAACATTCTTGGCCAATTCATTCTGGTAAGCAAGGAGCTGGGTTGCTTTCTTGCTCAGAAGCCTGCCATGACTCCATTATCCCAAGACATCCCCACTCTTCTGCCACTTACTCAAAGCCACCCATAAGCTGACCCTGCCCCTAAGCTTCCTCTCTGGGGTTTATATACTGATCTCTTTCTACCCCACAAGATGACCCCTTTCTATCTCCTCAACAGCTTCTCCAGCCAAACTCCTCTTTGAGTCACTACTTGAGCCTAACAGAGGTGCTCATTGACAGGCCTTTGACACACCCATACACAATGTGCATTTATTACCAAGATCTTAAGCATCAATAGTCACAATACAACATGTTTCCACCACCCTGTACCTTTGCTTAGGAATACCATACCTTTTCCTGGAATAAGGTATGGTATTTTTTTTTTTTTTACGCTAACTTTTCATCCTTTGAGATTCAGCTTCAGATCATTTTTCCTGGCTGTTAGTTATTTCTTCCAGCGAAGTTAGTTATTTCTTCCCCCTGTTAACATTGCATCTGCTACCTTATATTCTAGCACTTCTTATACTGCATTGCAACTATTTCTTGGTTGACTGACCCTACAGAGTTTCCATAGGTTATGATAAATGTATAGTTATACCCAGTGGCCCATGATTTCTTGACTAACCTATTTACATTTATCGAGAAAACTCCAGGGAGGTGAGGGGATTTTCTAAGCATATTTGGCTGCAGGATATATTTTCTAATGGACTTCTCACTGGACCGCTCTTCCCCTGGGCTCCTTTCTGTGTGCATGGCCCTATTTCACCTGTCTTTTTAGTCTTCACAAGGTCTGGTTGGTGAGTTGCTGCAGTGGAAAGAATACAGAGTTAGGAATTAGGGACTAGAACTCTAATAAAGCTCAGTCTTAGTTGGGTGTCCTTGGGCAAATGACTTCTCCTTGCTGGGTCTCAGTTTTCCTACCTACAAAATATGGTGGCCAGACTGGATGATCTAGCTCTGTGATCCTAAGATTGTTTGGTCTGGGAATGCCTTGAAGAGCATCTGAAAATGAATTTCTGAAAATCTGTCTCAAAATTACCTCAGTGAGGCTCCAGAAGGTAACTGATCCCAAGTAACAAGAGTGCCCCTGAGGAACATTCAGAGATCCAGGCCCACAATTCCTGTCATTCCTCGGAAGGTGAGACTTCATTGGCTGGTGGTCCTGTGCTCTGCTCTCGGTATGTCAAATCACCGTCTGTGGGTTTTCCTCCCTCTCTAATTTACCCAAAGTCCTCCCTCTTAACCAAAACAAATAGCTTTTGGGGGATCTGATGTTGCCAAGTTGTATTTGCTCCTGTGGCAAGCAGAGCTCCCGCAAGGGGCTGTAACCAACCATGTAAGCAAGAACTGCTGGCCGAGGAGCAGGGATGCTTGCTCAGAAGTCCTAGTCCTGTCAGGATTGAGAATGCCACCCCTGAGACAACACCCTCTCGGAAGTGGGGCATCTCTCATGAAGTCCCCTCCCGTGTTGGAAATCTGCTCATGCAAAAGCATTCATCAGAAGGGGGTTTCTTTCTAGATTTGTACTTTTGTCTGGGGAAGCAACTAAGAAAAATATCTGTTGTTTGAAGAGCAGTATAATTTAAGCAGACATTCATTTATTCACTCAACAGACAACGAGTAAGTCATTTTTGCTGTGCCAGGTATAGGACTCTAAGATGCCATGACAAGGAAGAAGAGCACATTCTGTCTCTAGCTTCTTTCTGAATCTTCCTTCTTTCCTTTTCTTTTTTCTCTTCTCTTCTCTTCTCTTCTCTTTTCTTGATGGGATCTCGCTCTGTCACCCATGCTGGAGTGTAGTAGCACGATCTCAGCTCACTGCAACCTCCGCCTCCCAGGTTCAAGCGATTCTCCCTCCTCAGCCTCCCTGAATAGCTGGGATTACAAGCACCCGCCAACTTGCCTGGTTCACTGTTGGATTTTTAGTAGAAATGGGGTTTCACTATGTTTGCCAGCTAGTCTCAAACTCCTGACCTCGAGTGATCTGTCCGCCTTGGCCTCCCGAAGTCTGGGATTACAGGTGTGAGCCACCATGCCTGGCCTATTTCTTTTTTAAAAAACTGATAACCAGAGAGACAGTCTCTGCCCCTTTGGCACTTGAATTTAGGTGGGGATGGCAGACAATAAAAGAAGCAATAACAATAAGAGTTATGATAGAAAAAAATATGGAGTTGCCAGGGAAACACATTACAGGGATACCTCAGCCAGTTTAGAAAAAGTCAAGGAAGGCTTTCTGGAGGAAGTGACCACTCCCGGAGAGATCCAATGGGCTAAGTAAGAGTTGGCCAGAGAAAGAGGACATGGAAGAGTGGCCCAAGGAGTGGGAATAGCATGTGCAAAGGCTCTGGTGGAGGGAGAGGGAACACCAAATGGGTCTGTGGCTCTACAGAATTTGTATATGCCTGGAACTCAAAGCACAAATAGAGGCCAGGGACCCTAGCCTCAGAGGCTGTCGAATGACTGTCAAAGCCCTGTAAGTGCACGGTGACATGACCTCAGGTTTTATCTGGAACAACATGTGGGAACTGAAAGATGATCCTAGTATTTAATAGAATTTCAGAGGTGGGAGAAAACTTGGGAGTTTAGTCCTCCAATTCGCTGTTTTATAGATGACTAAACTGAAACTCAGAGACGATGTGGCTTGTCCGAGGACACTCGGTCTCATAGCAACACAGACAGAACCATAAGTTGGGACTCTAGTGTTTTGGTGGTGTATGCTGATAAACTGGCTTTCAAAAAAAAAAAAAAAAAAAAAAAACCCAAAACCCTGATTTGTAGCATTAACTGATTTCTATGGTATAAATATTCTCCCTGGGGCCAGTTTCAGGCTATCCATGTTGAACAACCAGCTCACAAAATTCCTGAAATTTTAACAATCTGCTCTTGTGAGCTGGTGTGAGCTAGCTACAGGTCCCGGCGGGAAAGGTGATTGTGCGTGTCTCTTCCCCATTCTGTGTTCAGTCACATTCCATTGGTAGCTTGAAATCAGCCATGATGGTAGTACTTATACCATGGAAATCAGCAAGGGTTTTCCTCATTGTAAAGCCATTGTTAAGTGCTTGCCAGGACACCACTGGAGTATACAGTTTTCAGGACTAGTAATCAGAGACTCTCTTATGAAGATAAGAGAAAGCATTCCAGTGTGTTAACAGGCCTACACTGGGTTCCTTTACATCTCTGGCCTTGATTTCCTCACCTGTAGAATGAGGATAATGTCAAAGTTCAATAAATTTCAGATGTCTTTAAGATACACCATTATTTTTATTTAAATAAACTTTTTGTTTTAGAACAGCTTTAGATTTACAGAATAGTTGCAAAGATAGAACAGAGAGTTGCCACACACCCTACACCAGGTTCCCCTATTAATGAACTAATACTGACACATTATTATTAACTAAGCCCATATTTTATTCCAATTTCCTAAGTTTTTACCTAATGCCTTCTTGTCGTTGTTCCAGGATCTCATCCAGAATATCATATTACATTTAGTTGTCATGTCTCCTTCAGCTCTTCTTGGCTGTGACATTTTCTCAGACTTTCCTTGTTTTATGACCTTCACTATTTGAGGAATAGTGGTCAGTTATTTTGTAGAATATCTGCCAGCTGGGATTTGTCTGATGTTTTCCTCATGATTAGACTCTGATTATGGATTAGACAGGAATACCTCAGAGGTGAAGTCTTATTTTCATTACATCACATCAAAGGTCCATACTATCAACATGACTTATCATTGATATTGACCTCAATAGTCAATATCAAATGTTTGCCAGGTTTCTCCACTGTAAAGTTTCTCTCCTTTTCCATGCCCTTTTCCATACTGTATTCTTTGCAAAGAAGTATTATATAAAGCCCACACTTGAGGAGTGACAAATTATATTTCACCTCTGTGAGGGCAGAGTAGCAATGTAATTTATTTAGAATTCTTCCACCCATGTGCATTGTCTCCTCCACCATTATATATGTATTTGCTCATTTATTTATATCAATATGAACTCATAGATAGTTATTTTATATTTTGGGTTATAATTCAATACTACTTTATTTTGTTGCTCGAATTATTACAGATCTGCTTATTGGGAGCTCCATTAGGTGGCTCCTGTGTCTCTTTGACATACCCCCATCATTGTGGAGTGGTTTGGTTTTCAGCACTTTCTTACTTTCTGGTATTACAAAATGTATATTTCTTGCCCCAGTCCTAGAATCAGCCATTTTCCTAAGGATCCCTGGCTTCTTTTATTGGAGAATGGAAATAGAAACCAAAATCTAGGTGCGAAGTGTGCTAGTTGCTGCTGGGATGTCATTTCTTGTAGTCCCTCTCAAAGGACAGAACAAGGAATTGTGTGTGTTCTAACTCATGAATACACACATACACATAACTCATGTATAATACACATATTAAGTATTTCTACAGTGGACCCTTGAAAAACATGGGAGTGAGTGAGCAAATATAAAAAACAGTTGAAAATCTGTGTATAACTTTTGAATCCCCCCAAACTTAACTACTGATGCCCTACTGTTGCCCAGAAGCCTTACTGATAACATAAACAGTTAATTGGCCCATATTTTGTATGTTACATGTATTATATACTATATTCTTAAAATGTAAGCTAGAGAAAAGAAAATATTTATAGAAAATCATAAGGAAGAGAAATATATTTATAATTCATTAAGTGGAAGTGGATCATCATAAAGGTTTTCATTCTTATCTCCACATTTGAGTAGGCTGAGGAGGAGGAAGAAGATGAGGGGTTGGCAGAGATGGAAAGGAGGAGGTGGAAGGGGAGGCAGGAGAGACTGGCATACTTGGTGTAACTTCACAGGAATACATCATAATTTCTGTCTGCCTCTTTTGCCTTTTCATTTCTCTAAAAATGTTTCTAAACTATACCAATTCTTCCACCGTTTGCTTTATTTTCAGTGCCCATAGGATTAAAAGGTCCATGTTCTGAAAGAAGTCAAAAGCAACCTTGAATAATCAGAATCCTCTGCCAGATTGCCTAATGTCAGTTTTTATTCTGGCACTGCTGCTCTACTTCTTCTTCCTCATCATCTGGCATTGCTTTGGAAGCCTTCGTCTCCATCAAGTAACCTTCTGATAATTCTTCTGATGTGATGTCTATTAGCTCTTGAATTACCCCAAGATCCCTATCTTGAAACCCTTCACCTTGTACTTTTTTTTTTTTTTTTTTGCCATATCTGCAATCTCTTTCATGATTTTCTTGATTGGTCTGTTGTAAATCCTGTGAAGTCATGCACAACATCTCAAAAGTTTTCTCCTACAGGTATTTATTGTTTCAGGCTTAATGGCTTTCATGGCTTTTTCTAGAACAAGGATGGCATCTTCAGTGATGTAACCCTTCCAGACTTTCATGATGCTCTCTCTGTTGGGGTTCTTTTCTGTAGCATTGGCAGTCCTTTCCATAGAGTACTATATACAATGAGCCTTAAAGGTCTTTATGATCCTCTTATTAAGAGGCTAAATTAGAGATATTGTGTTTGGGGGCAAGTAGACCACTTTGACTTCTTTGATGTTCAACTTATGAGGTTCCAGATGGCCAGGGATATTGTTCAATATCAAAAGAACTTTAAAAGGTAGTCCTTTACTAGCAAGGTACTTCCTGACTTCAGGGACAATGAAACCAATTGTCCAATGAAACCAATCTAGAAAAAGTGTTCTTGTCCAGGTCCTTTTGTACAACCGAAAGACTGGCGGCTGGGGTTTATCTTTTCCCTTCAAGGCTCTGGGGTTAGCAGCTTTATAGATAAGAGCAGTGTTGATTATAAACCTGATTGCATTTGCACAAAACAGTGGAGTTAGAATATCCCTTCCTGCCTTAAATTCTGGTGCTTGGTTCTCTTCCTTACTAATAAATGTCCTCTGTGACATCTTCCTTTTTTTTTTTTCCCCAGAATAGAGCACTTTTGCCTGCATCAAAAACCTATTTGGGCAGATGTCTGTTCTTCTCAATGATTTTCTTAATGGTGTCTGAGAGTTTGTCCGCTGCTTCTTGGTAGACAGAAGCTGCTTCTCCTGTTATCTTGACATTTTTTTAAGACAAATTTTTTTCTGAAATTATCAAACCATCCTTTGCTGGCATTATATTTTTCAGCTTTAGATCCTTCACCTTCCTTTTGCTTTATCATATAACTTCCCTTCTTGAATCATATTAGAGTCTATAGCTAGGGCTTTCTTATAGCAACCCTGAGCCCCTGTAAAAGCTGCCTTTCAATACAAAATTAAAAGGTATTTCACAAAAAGTGCAAGGTTTTCATGCCTGCTGGCATAGCTGCAACAACAACTTCACAAATTATCTTTATCTTTCCTTTTTTTTTTTTTTTCACAATAGTGCTTACGTTTGATTCATTTATCTTGAGATGTCAGGCAACCACAGATGCATACCTCAATCTGTGGCACGTATCAAGAAATTCACCTTTTTCTTCTAATACCATGACTTTTGGGAACACTTCCAGCATCACTAGTGAATGGCACTACAGTATTATACTAAACACAATGAAAAATACTCAAGAACCACCAGAGATCACTTTTTGCTGTGTGTAATACACAATTTGCTGGAGAGAGGAACTGCTCATATGGAGGTGGTTAGCATCACATGGCCTTTTAAGCAGATACTCACAACACTTGAGCTTACCACAATAGCAACAGGAGGTGGCTACAAAATTATTATACTAATACAGTATGCAGTACAGTTAATTTATGCAGTTATGACTACATACTGCATCATTACATTCATTTACATTTTTCATGACTGCAAATGGCACCAGGTATGGTTGGTGTTTGCATAAGTTTTGATAAATTTTAACTTTTTATGTTAGATTTATGTATGTTTTATAGTAGTAAATGATAAAATAGACTACTATCTACATATGTTTTATTATTCATGACATACCTAACTTGTGCTTAACTTTTTCAATATTTCTAGGCTATGTGGTTTGTCTGCAAGTTTTTTCAAGTTGTCATAAATCTGCAAACATTTTTCCAATATATTTATTGAAAAAAATCCATGTATTAGTGGACCTATGTAGTTGAAACTCATGTTGTTCAAGGGCCAATTGTATATGTAACCATCTGTGTCTATATGAAGCTATTTGAGCTCACACCGATGTCTAATTCTAATCTGTTACCATATGAATCATTCTAGCCTCTTCTCATTGCTTATCTGTGAACTCCCACTCTGGCATTAAGAAACCTAGCTCCCACCACCTGCCACCCATTTACTTAAGTGTTCATTCCCAGTATATATGCATAGAATTGTTAACCCACACTGCTGTGGGAAAAACTTTATCAACTAGAGTACTGCAATAGTTTGCTTGGGCTGCCATAACAAAATACCACAAACTGGGTGGCTTAAACAATAGAAATGTATTTTCTCATAGTTCTGGAGGCTGGATGTTCAAGATCAAGGTACCAGCAAATTCCAAGGGCCATAACAGAAGTATCTGTTCCAAGTTTCTCTCTTTGGCTTGCAGAAGGCTGCTTTCCTGCTACCTCTTTGCATGGTCACCCCTCTGTGCACATGCACACCTGGTGTCTTTTCTGTGTGTCTGAATGTCCACTTCTTATCAGGACACCAGTCAGATTGGAGTAGGACCATCCTGCTGGCCTTATTTGAATTAAATGACCTCTTTAAAGGCCCTGTCTCCAAATACAGTGATTTTCTGAGTTATGGAGGGTTAGGGCTTCAACATACAAATTTTTGCAGAACACAAATCAGTCCTATACCAAGTATTGTGCTTACGCTTAGGTCAGCACCTTTCTTCCCCACCCTTCGATGAAGTTGTTTCATACATTTATAATACAGATAAGTTATTTTGTCACATTTTGCACTCCATCTGGGATTTCTCAGCTTCCTAAATAATTTTTCAAATTTGAGTGTATTAAGTTTCACTCTTTGTGCTATAAAGTTTTATGGGTTTTAACAAATGCATAGCATCATATATCACCATTACATTGTCATACAACATAGTTACATTGGCTGAAAAACCCCCTGTGCTTTACCTATCCAACTCTCTCCTCCTCCCTAAACCCCTGATAACCACTTACCTTTTTTTACCAACACTGTAATTTTTGCCTTTGCAGAATGCCATTTAATTGGAATCAGACAGTGTGTAACCTTTTCAGACTGGCTTCTTTCACCTGGCAATATGCACTTAAGATTCATCTATGTCTTTTTGTTGCTTGACAGCTCATTTCTTCTTATTTTTAAATAATATTCCGGCCGGGCACGGTGGCTCATGCCTGTAATCCCAGCACTTTGGGAGGCCGAGGCGGGCAGATATTCCACTTTATGGCTGTACCACACTTTGTTTATCCATTCACTATTGAAGGACATCTTACTTCCAGTTTTGATGATTATGAGTAAAGCTACTATAAACACTCACATGCAGATTCTGGGGTAAACATGTTTTCCAATCAGTTGGATAAATACCTAGGGGAGCAATTGCTGGATTATATGGAAGACTGTGCTTAGCTTGGTAAGAAACTGCTAAACTGTCTTGCAAAGTGGCTGAAATCATTTTGCATTTCTATCAACAGTGAGTGAAAGTTCCTGTTGTTCCACATCCTCTCTAGTAATTAGTATTGTTAGTTCTTGGATTGTAGTCATTCTAATAGGTGGGTAGTGGTGTCTAATTGTTGTAATTTGCAATTCACTAATGATAAATGATGTTACACATCTTTTCCTATCTTATTTGCCATCTGTATATCTGTATATCTGTAAAGGTATCCTTACAGATCTTTTGCCCATTTTTTAATTGAGTTGTTTTCTTATTGTTGAGGGTTTTGTTTTTGTTTTTGTTTTCTTCTAAGACAGGGTCTCACTCTCACAAGACTGCAATACAGTGGTGTGATCCTAGCTCGCTTAACCTTGAACTCCTGGGCTCAAGCTGTCCTCCTGCCTCAGTCACCCAAGTAGCTGGGGCTACATGTGTGTGCCATTGCGCCTGGCTAATTTTTTAGGGTTTTTTTGAGACAGGGTGTCGCTCTGTTGCCCAGGCGGGTCTCTAACTCTTGGCCTCAAGCAACCGAAAGCTCTTGGATTATAGGTGTGAGCCTCCATGCCTGGCCTTATTTTTGAGTTTTATGAGTTCTGTGTATATTCTGAATACAAATCCTTTATCAGATAAGTGTTTTTCAAATATTTTCTCCCAGTCTGTGGCTTGACTTTTTATTATGTTAATAGTGTCTTTTAATGAAATCATATCTTTTGCAGTAACACAGATAGAATTGGAGGCCATTGTCTTAAGTGAAACAACTCAGACACAGAACAACAAATATAGCATGTCTTCACTTGTAAGAGGGAGATAAATAAACTATGCATGCACATGTGAGCAGAGTGTGGAATGATGGACAGTGGAGACTCAGAGAGGTCAAGGGGAATGGGTGATAGGAGGCTGCTCGATGGGTACAATGTTCATTGCTCCAGTGATGGCTGCACTGAAGACCCTGACATCACCACAATGCAGTATATCAATGTAGCAAAATTGCATTTCTACCCCATGCATATCTACAAATAAAAAAGTGTGTTTTGTGGAGCATAAGTTCTGAATTTTAATAAAGTCCAACTGATCAATTGTTTTACTTCATAGATTGTGTTTTTGGGTGTGTTGTATCAAAAACCTCATCACCAAACCCAAGGTCACCAAGATTGTCTCCTGTGTTTTATTGTAGAAGTTTTGTAGTTTAGTGTTTGATATTTAGATCTATGATCTATTTTGAGTTAATTTTTGTGGAAGGTGTAAAGTCTATGTCTAGGTTCTTTTTTTTTTCAATATTGATGTCCAGTTGTTCAAGCACCATTTGTTGTCAAGACTGTTCTTTTTTTATTGCATTGCCTTTGCTCCATTGTCAAAACTCAGTTGGCTGTATTTGAGTCTATTTTGAGGCTTTCTATTCTGTTTCATTGATCTTTGTGTCTATTATTTCCCCAATACCATGCTGTCTTGATTACTATAGCTTTATAGTAAGTCTCAAAATTGGTTAATGTGAGTCCCCCAACTTTCTTCTTCTTCAGTAATGTTTTGGGTCCCTTATGTCTTTTGCTTTTCCATACACATTTTAGAATAAGTTGCTGATATCTGCAAATTAGCTTCCTGGGATTTGGATGGGTATTGTATTGAATCTATAGATTTTAAGTTGGGGACAATTGACATCTTAACAATATTGAAGCTTCTAATCCATGAACATGAAATAACTCTTTATTTATTTAGATCTTCCTTGATTTCTTGTGTCAGTGGTCTATAGTTTTCTTAGTTTTCTACATACAGATCCTATACATATTTTGTTAGATTTATACCTAAGCATGTAATTTTTTTGTGTGCTACTGAAAACGATATATTTTTAAAAATTTCAAGTCTCAATTGTTTATTGCAAATACATAGGACATCAGATGACTTTTGCATATTAACCTTGTATTCTGCAACCATTCTATTATGTTTATTAATTACAGGAGTTTTTTGTCGATGATTTTGGATTTTCTACATAGACAATTATGTCATATGTGAATAAAGACAATTTTGTTAATTCCTTCCTAATCTGCACACCTTTTATTTTCTTTTCTTGTTTTATCACACTCACTAGAACTCCAGTACAATGTTGAATAGGAATGGGGGGAGAGGACCTTCTTGTCTGTTACAGATCTTAGTGGGAAAGCATCCAGCTACTCACCATTAAGTATGATATTAACAGTAATGTTTTTGTAGATGCTCCCTACCAAGTTCAGAAAATTCCCCTCTATTCCTAATCTGCTGAGAATTTTTATAATGAATGGGTATTGGATTTTGTAAGATGCTTCATCTGCATTAATTGATATGATCAAATGATTTTTCTTCTCTAGGCTATTGATACGGCAGACTACATTGATTTTCAAATGTTGAACCAGCCTTGCATACCTTGAATAAATCCCACTTGGTTGTGGTATATAATTCTTTTTACACATTGTTAGGCTTGCTAATTTTTTGAGAAATCTTTGCATCTATGATCATGAGAGATATTGGTCAGTTGTTATATTTTCTTGTAATATCTTTGTCTGGTTTTAGTGTTAGGGTAATGCTGACCTCATAGAATGAGTTAGGAAGTATTCATTTTGCTTCTATATTCTGGAACAGATTGTGGATAATTGGTGTCATTTCTCCCTTAAGTGTTTGGTACAATTCACCAGTGAAACTCTCTGGGTCTTATACTTTCTTTTTTGGGGGAGATTATTAATTACTGATTGGATTTCTTTAATAAGTAGAGGCCTATTCAGATTATCTATTTCTCCTTGTGTGAATCTTGATAGTTTGTATCTTTCACAGAATTGGCCCATTTCATTTAGTTATCAAATTTGTGGGCATAAAGTTCTTTACAGCATTCATTTATTACTGTTTTCACGTTCCCGTGATCAACAGTGATGACACTGCTTACATTTCTTATATTGGTTATTAGCGTCTTCTCTCTTTTTCTGGGCTAGCCTGGCTATAGTCTTGTCAATATTCTTAGTCTTTTTTTTTTTAAAGCGGCTTTTGGTTTTATTAATTTTTCTCTATTGTTTTTCTGTTTTACATTTCATTAATTTATGCTCTGATTTCTATTATTTGTTTGTTTCTGCCTTAGGTTTAAATTGCTCTTCTTTTCTAGTTTCTTGGGGCAGAAGCTTAGTTTATTGATTTTTAAGTTTTTCTTGTTTTTTAATGTACACATTCAATGCTATAAAATTCTGTTTAAACACTGCTTTCACCGTATTCCACTAATTTTGATAGGTTGTATTTTCATTTTCACTAAGTTTAAAGTATTTTTAAATATTTCTTGAGAGTTCTTCTTTGACCCATGTGCTCTTTAAAAGTGTATTGTTTTATCTCCAAATAATTAGATATTTTCCACCTATTTTTCTCCTGTTGATTTCTGGTTTAATTCCATTATGATCTGAAAGTTTTTTGTCAATTTTAATTCTTTTACATTTGAGGCAGTTTTTCTGGTCTGGATGTGATCTATCTTGATGACCATTACATGCAAGCTTGAGAAGAATGTGAATTCTTATGTTATTGGATGGCTATTTTATAAATGTCAATTTATAAATGTTAAGTTGATTGCTAATGCTGTTCAGGTCAACTATATCCTTATTGATTTTCTGCCTGCTTGATCCACCACTGAAATAGGGGGTTTGTCTGTTTCTCCTTTCAGTTTAATCAGTTTTTTGGTAACAGCTTCATTGAGATATAATTCACATACTATATAATTCATGCATTTAGAGTATACAAATCAATGGTTTTTAGTCTATTCAAGCAGTTGTGCAGTCATCACCACAATCAACTTTAGAAAACTTTCGTCACACCAAAAAGGAACTCCGTTCCTTTTAACAATCATCCCCTAGTCCTTCCATCCCCTTACCCTGAGCCTTAGGCATTCACTTACCTAGTTTCCTTTTAGATTTGCCTGTTCTGGACATTTTGCACAAATGGGATCACACAATACATGGTTATTTGTTACTGGCTTCTTTTATTTAACATTATGCTTTCAAGATCCACTTTGTAGCATGTATTAGAACTTCTTTTATCACTGAATGATATTTCATTGTTTGGATATACCACATTTTGTTTATTCACTCTCAGTTGATGGACACTTAGGTTGTTTCCACCTGCTGCTGTAAATATTAGTGTGCAAGTTTTTGAGAAGACTGATGTCTTCGTTTCTCTTGGGTATATACCTAGGAGTGGACTTGCTGGGTCAAGTAGTGACTCCATGTTTAACTGAGGAACTCCCTGCGTGTTTTCCAAAAATGGCTGTACCATTTTATATTCCCACCAGCAATGTATGAAGGCTCTAGTTTCTCCAAATCCTCACCAACACTTGTCGTTATCTGTTTTTCTTATTATATACCCACCTGGATCATCACATCCCACAGTGGTTTTGAGTTCTATCATTTCTTGCCTCTGTCAGTTTTGACACCCTGTTGTTAGTTGTATACCTGTTTAGGATATTTAGATCATCTTGAGGAACCGACATCTTTATCATTATGTAATGCCCTCTTTTTGCCTGATAATTTTCTTTGTTTTGAAGTCGTCTTTGTCTGAAGCTAATATAGGCACTCCAGCTTTCTTTTCATTAACATTAGCATAGTAATTCTTTCTCTATCCCTTTACTTTGAACCTGTCTGAGCCTTTATATTTAAAGTGGTTTTCTTTTAGAAAACAGATAGTGGAGTATTGTGGATTTTTGGTTTGTTTTGGTTTGCTTGCTTGTTTTGCTTATTTGTTTTATCCACTCCATCTCTGTCTTTTAATTGATGTATTTAGACCATTCACATTTAAAGTGATTATTGATATAGTTGGGTTAATATCTACTCTCTTTATCCCTGTTTTTGTTTTTTTGGTTTTTTTTTTGTTTGTTTGTTTGTTTGTTTTTTGTTTTTGAGAGACAGAGTCTCACCTTGTCACCCAGGCTGGAGTGGTACAGTGGCACAATCTTGGCTCACTGCAGCCTCCACCACCCGGGTTCAGGCAATTCTCATGCCTCAGCCACCCCAAGTAGCTGGGATTACAGGCACGTGCCACCATGCCTGGCTAATTTTTGTATTTTTAGTAGAGACAGGGTTTCACCATGTTGGCCAGGCTAGTCTCAAACTCCTGACCTCAAGTGATCCACCCACCTTGGCCTCCCAAAGTGCTGGGGTTACAGGTGTGAGCCACCACACCTGGCCTCTTTATCACTGTTTTCTATTTGTTATATTCATTTTTTGTTCCCTTCCCCCTATCTTTTTTGTTGCTTTTTTACTAAAAAGAAAAATCACCAGTTGTAGGTTGCTTCTTAATTTCAGATTTGTTAAAATATGAAAAAAGTTTGTTCTAGAATCTATAACATATTGTCATAGTACCCTCCTCATAGAGAGATTGTGAGGCTTAAATAGGACAATGCATCAAAGTACTTAGCCCAGTATTTGGTTTGGCAGTGAGCACTAGATATTAACCATTAATATAATTACTGTATTAGTGCTGCCCAAATACTTCATGGACCTCACAGCTGATTTAGACACCCCAATTCTATCACTGCACCAAGGCTAAGAATAATTACCCTAAATACATAGTTCTGACTGCTTTTTTGTGGTCAGTTACTGCAAGTGTGTTCTCTTTGCATGTGTATTCTGTGGTCTGTAGTTAAATGCAGAACTCTAAAGTCAGACATCCATGTGTTTGAATCCCAGACGGTACTTACAGATATCTGAACTTAAAGAGGTTTTTAAATCTCTTTCAATCTCATTTTAGTCACCTGAAAATATTTATACTAATACCTTCCTCACAGAATGTGGTCAGGACCTAGCAGGGGCCCAAATCATAGATATTATTATTGTCATCAGTTGTCCTCATATCTCTTCCTCTTAACAAGGTGCTCCCTGTGGCTCAGTCTCCCTTTTTGAGCTGGAAACTCTGGGGAGAAGTACTTTGGACCTGACGAAGGCAGAGGCTGCATATAAGAATTAAGCGTTAGCAGGGAGAATGTCTTGACCTATGGGGAAAGATCTCTGCAGGTAGAGTTTGCAGTCCCTGGCTTGCAGTGGGAAGGGGGATGTGCTACATGCTCACCTGCCTCATGTAAGGGCTGCCACTTAGCCCTGGGTAGGGGTAGCTTTTAGGCAAAAAGAGATTCCTGAGGGATGAATGTAACAGGGGTGGCATGACATGTGACCCCTTCTCATACCCATCATATCATAAAGCAGTGACTCCTGAACGAGGACCAGCCACTTATTCGTCTCAGTCCTGGCTGTGGTGGGGACCTCAGATAGATGATTGGGCTTTGTCTCTACAGTTTTCTCTTCAAGACTATTCAAGATACTGCTAGTTATTCATCTTCCTTTGTTTCATTATTTTCCTCTTATATTTTTGTTATCTGACTCTGCAGTTTGGGTTTAACGGGAAGGAAACACTGCCTCTCTCTTCACTCCCCAGACACATTTTTAATGTCTGAACATCTACCAGGCTGGGCCTTTGGACCCGAATGAGCAGGGAGAAGCATATCCACAGAAGAACCCTGCGGTTCTTGGCTCTGCTTCACAGCAGTGGTGGGTATGTCGAGAGGCACAGAACTCGAGGGTTCTGTATAAACTTCGGGGGTATAAACCTGTGCAGACCTCAGCCTGCCATGAGAGGACATTTCTGTGCCTGTCTTAGTGTCCAGCGATCAGGGGGGCTTTGTGGATGATTTTTCTGAGTTAAGATTACAGTCTTCCCAGAGATTGGGCATTGCCTGACCAAAAGGGCTAGAAATAATATTGCCCTCCCAGAGTCCAAGGCTTTTTTTTTTTTTTTTTTTTTTTTTTTTGAGACAGAGTCTTGCTCTGTCGCCCAGCCTGGAGTGCAGTGGCACAATGTCAGCTCACTGCAAGCTCCACC
This sequence comes from Homo sapiens, assembly GCF_000001405.40. Classification (NCBI taxonomy): domain Eukaryota; kingdom Metazoa; phylum Chordata; class Mammalia; order Primates; family Hominidae; genus Homo; species Homo sapiens. The sequence goes on from NC_000002.12 coordinate 46,114,507, forward strand.
TCCCAGGTTCACGCCATTCTCCCGCGTCAGCCTCCTGAGTAGCTGGGACTACAGGCACCCGCCACCACGCCTGGCTAATTTTTTGTGTTTTTTTAGTAGAGATGGAGTTTCACCATGTTAGCCAGGATGGTCTCGATCTCCTGACCTCGTAATCCGCCCGCCTCAGCCTCCTAAAGTGCTGAGATTACAGGCATGAGCCACCGTGCCCAGCCCCAGAGTCCAAGGCTTTTAAGAGAATCTAAAACCCTTTCCCTCAAGAAAGCCCGTTCACTGTGCCTTATGATTTAGTGAGAATTCTAATATACTGATGTGAGTTTAAAATAGGTGTGTGTGTGGTTGAATAGAGCAATTGTCTGGATTACTTAAGCCAAGAAAAAGGCAAGATTTAGAGAAAAATATTTGAGACCTTTATAATATATGTTTAGGGATCTTTCTTATGATTATGTATTCTAGAAGGTCCCAGGAACTCTTGTGCCATTGACCTGGGCTGGTGAGGACATACCAGGACAGTCCCATGAAGGTGTCCAACCTCTCCTGAGTGGCCCTCCACATGAATCAGGCTGCTATAGAATTGTTCCATCTGATGTTCCTGCTTGATCACAGTGTAGCGCAACCGTCAGTTCTAGGCACTGGCAGCTTCTCTTTGGATTAAGGTGGCAGGGAAGTAGTATTTCACAAGTATCAACTGTGCAAAGAACAGAGGTGCTAAGCTCAGCCTGTCACCTTGGCCTCTTGCCATCTGGTCTTCTGCATTTCCATAGGACAGACATTCTCAGGCATTGCTGTCCATCCTGCCAGGTCCCTGTGAAGCAGGGGGAGTGATTTTGCTATTGGCAGGAGTCTAAAAACCTAACATTTTTTTGTACAAAGAGAAGCACATCTCATAAAACCCAAATTCACAGTGAAAAATTTTCATTTAGTCTATCTTGCTCAGAGATTTGAGCCACCAAACACATGGCTGGAAAAATAAGCTGAGAGGGGTGTAAGGAACCCAGAAGCCCCATTTCTCTTCAAGCTCCTCAGCATTCTCCAGTGGGGAAGCCTTTATCATCTAATCTCATGCTGTGTATATACAACATGGTATCTGGCCATTGCTGCATGCAGCAGGCCAGATTTTGAAAAGATCTCTATGGGCATCAGTGCTTGCATCAAAGCTCCCAAGTTCTTTTTGTGTATTTGTCTAAATTATAAATCAGTGTTTTAGATGGAAGCAAGATTCAGAGGTATAATTAAGCCAGCTTGGAACCAGACACAGGCTGCTTTCCCCGTTTGTAATTAGCACCCCATCACAGAGGGTACCAGGTACCCCGGGGAACTCGGCTGAGAGAGAGTGACCCCACCCTTTGCCTTCTGTTTTCTCTTTGTATATGACTCTTCATCTTTGATTTTCTTTTTGATATAAGACATACAAATTTCCTTACTTTTAGATGCCTGTGTCAACCAAGGGCCTAAAGTTACAGAGGAAAGGACTTGCTTTATAATGTTACAGGGCAGGAGGATTGGGGTGAGGTTTCTCCATAAGGTGAATGATCATTTTCCCAGTGGCTTATGGGATTTTGGAGTGTGGGTACAGATGTAATGCTTGCTTAGTCTCGAAATGTTTCGTTTTTATTAGTCTTGTCTCCCCAACCAAATTGCTAGCTAGCCCTTGGAGATCAGAGACCATGACCTCACCTTCTCTTGGATCCTCCAAGGTACCCAGCTTAGGGCTGTGTCCAAGGGAAGCCAACTTCAGAGAGATGACCACACTCCTCTATGTTGGAGAATGTCACGTGAGAGTTGCTTTCTAGAACTTCCCAGGAAACAGTGTGCACAGATGGGCATGAGCTGCCTTGACACTGCAATATACAGGATTCTAAAGTAAACATCCCTGTGACCAGTAATAAGCAATTTGGTAACTGTGACCTGGTTGCTTTCATCCTAGTTTCAAATAATTAGATGATTAAGAAAAATGTGAAAGGAGATTGGAGAAACTGCTGAGGTCACTGTTGACACTTTGAATCAATGAGGAAATCAGAAGGCTGGGTTACCGTGAGTATGTGCTCCCCACCTCTACTGTCCGCCCTTAACTGAAATCAAGTGGGTCCTTGGATTGATGGGATTTGGTCTGTGTAGCCTTCATTTGCTTGTTAGCCAAGTTCATGGTTTATACATCTGTCCCCACCCTCCTCTGTGGCTGGCCAGAGACGCTAATTCAGTCATCACACATGGTGCTGTTCCTGAGAAGGATGCCTGTTCGGAGAAAAAAAAAGCCCCTTGAAGGTCTGGCTAGAGAAATAGGAGGAGTAAAAGCATCCTATACTGAAATGAGGGAAAGGAGAAAGAGTAGCACTGAGAGTGTACTGCAGCGGTTAGGTCTGGGAGGGGAAAAAAAACCGGAGAGCAGGCATTTCACTTGGAGAATCTAAAGAATTGCAGGGTGGTTTCTCTTGCTATTGTTTGAAGGGAAGCCAGCAGTCAAGAAAATTATTGGTCAAATTTCACAGAAGAAGGAACATGACACAGAGGATTTTAGTTTTAATAGCTCAGAATCAAATCTGATGTTTCAAGGAAAGTGAAGAGAACAATTGACTATCAAAAGTACTGGAGAATCTGCCACTGAGCTCTTCCCAAAAGCAAGTGAGGGCACCAGAGGGGTGGGAGTTTCTGTCCTTTGCCATAAGGAAATAGACTGACTTTTTTAAACCAACATACCAGAGTTTACACATTCAAATGAGTATTGTCCTCTCCTTTAACTGTCCTTTTGGGAGACTTCATTCTCAGGGCAAAAATACTGCTTTTACATTGAATACATCTACATGCCTCTCTAGGTTTTTATTTGACTACATAGTCTCTTTTGTGGCTAATAATCCTGCTTTGGGAGTAGATCTGATTTCTGAAAATCATTTTGTATCCAAAATAATGTAAGCCTGTAAAGGAAAAACCTGATTTTTCTGAGTTGGCTTTGAAATGATGGATTCTGAAATTAATTCTACATGAGGTCCAGAAATCACATGGGCAGAGATTTCCGGGCTCCCCATGGTACCTTCTGGGGAGCCAGAAGTTCAGCCAAGCTGGGTGATTACTCACCTTTGAGTCAGACACTCCTGGGATGGGATCCTCCCTTCACATGTGGGTCCTAAGCCAGTTCTTTTTACCTTCTGATCCTCAATTTTCTCACTTAAAAGCTGGGATAGTAATAGTATCTACCTCACGGGATTACTGTGAATATTAAATGAGGTGATACTTGGGAAAACACATAGGAAGGGCTTAGTAATTGCTTATTATTATTACTGATCCCTTACATTGCCATAATGTGGAGCCAGGTACATAGTAGGTAATCACTGAATCTTTGTCAACTAGTTGCAGGGTTGTTGCTAAGGATGTCAGGTTTTGACTTGAAAGTACACCTGTATTTAAAGAGTGGGGTCATCTGAGGTAACTCCAAGACTAGAAAAACATTTCTAATCCTCAATCCTGTAAAACACTTCAAAATGGCATTTGTTCACCTCTAAGATCTACCCTAGCTCTAATAGTCCATGAAATCATGATGCTGAATTACATAAAACAAGGGGATTAATGTGAACAATAAGAAAAAATGTTGACCAATAGCATGGATAATTGAAGAATAAATGGTCAGAACCAGGCAACTCTAGAGGAAAAGCTTAGAGGACAGTTTCGTGGAATTATCAACTGGAGAGACTCCTTTGAGGTTGTTTAGAATGACGACATCATTGTTTAACTTGAGCATGGGAACCATCACCAGGAGGAAACCTACCTGAAATTCTACACTCAGAAGAGTTGGCACTTGGGTAGCTGTGGGACACGGTGGAGAAAGAAACTACCCAAAGTTGGCCAAAGAGCTTGTCACTGTTCTACAATGATCTCAAATTGGTAAAGGAGGTTTTCACAGCTTTTCCAAAGGTTTGAAAAAGAAAATAGCTACTGGTGGCTGTGAAAACACTGCATTGGCTGCAAAAATCAGTGTGATCTGGTATCAGAAGCAAGGTGTTAAATATTATCCAAAAAATGCAGACACAATATACTCTTCATGGAAAGCCTTGGACTAACAAAAGAGAAAAATGGAGATGAGACTATTATATGATAATCACTGCCTAACAACTGGCTTCAATAAGGAGGCTCCCCATGCTGTTGTAACCACAGAATACAGAGCATGAAGAAATGGACTTAAGTTACAGCCAAAGAGATGGAGGATGAGACCTAAGGAAAAAGACTTTCTTACCCTTCTTGAAGATAAAGCATAAGAATGAAGATCCCTAGAGATGGATGGGAGTCGCTGTGGAATCTGGCAGTTTGGGCGTTGACCTGTCCGATAGCAAACCCAGAGCAATGGCCCCAGGGAGTCTGGGAGCCTCCAAGAAAGCAGAGACTTCACCCAAGAGTCTCATTCGAACAACCTGACTGAATCTCAGCCTGCAACAGATGGAGCAAAAGTTCCATCTTAGGATGCTGGAGACTAAATGGGTTAGAAGTAGAGGGGGAAGTGCACGAACTCGGCTCCAGGAGGAAGAGAGCAAATGGCCCATGGAAGTTTTCCTATCTCTGGCTCCTTGGAACCATGGAGTCAACACGATAAAATTAGCAGAGCTAAGTAGGCAGATTTGTGGGGTTGGAGGCATAATTGGTCCTGTTTTTCTCTAGTCTTGACCTAACTGAAGTTCACTGGGTATGTAATGGAAAAAAAACAACCAGCTTGATATAAAAATACAGGAAATGCCTGCAATCACTGCTGATTACAGTAGCAGCTTTCCTTCTGTTATTTTTGTGAAAGAGAAAAAAAAAGGGGGGGTTATTAGGGTGTTTTTTTTTCCCTTTCCTAAACTTTGGAAACAACTTGGGCTATTAGTTCTTTTTAGGGCATTCTTTACTCTAGCTAAATGATGTCACTTAATCTTTATAAATAAAGTGGGTGGGGGGAGACATTCAAATTCTTATCATAAATAAAATTCCTGAGTATAAAATACATACAAATGGTTCTAAATATGGTTTATTGGCCCTAAGGGCTTGTGTTTTCCGAATTCCCCTAATTTCTAATCTTTCTAGGCTGAACAGGATAAATTGAGTTTTTAGTGTAGTGCCTCATTTTGCAGTATGGTTTGCATTAGTGCTAGGAGAGGAACATTGTTTCCAGCAATTTATCTCCCAGAAACCATCTCTGCTTAGCAAGTGAAGAAATATTTGCAAAGAGACTCTTTCAACTAGTGATTGAGAAACACGCATTGTTCCGGCAGCAGAGAGACAGTACGTAGATTCTCACTAAAATGGAGCTTGTGAGGAACACTCCACCCAGTGTGTTAGTATCACTACTTATATCTTAATTTTGGCTTCAGGATTCTCAACTCCCGTTGCTAGAATTTAGATAGAACTGTTGAAGTCTGTAATGATAATGTGTCTTTTAAAATGTCACCTTGGAATTTGTTGGATTCTCCTGGCTTTTAGTTGGCGGGTACCCTGGGAGTTTGTAGCTGGGAGGCTCCTTGGGCACCTTTTGGAGATGCTATGCTTTGTCTGTTAAGCCCTGGGGCTCCTTTGTTCATAAGTTTTCAAAAGATGCTGTCATTCTGGGACTTAGAAAACTCTTCTCCCCAACATGAAGCTCAGATAAAAAATAGAATTTGGTTTTTAAGCAGTAGCATTGCTAAGAGGAAACGCACTGACCTCATGTTCAGACACTCATCAACCATAGTCTCTTCACCTCCCCAGTGAAAAGTGGTTCTTGATGTTCCTCTAGCATAATGGTTCTCAACCACTAGTGGTTATTTTACCTCCAGGGAAGATTTGGCAATGTCTAGAGACATTTTTGGTTGCTGAAACTTGGGGATGGGGGCCAGGAGAGTGCTGCTGGCATCTAGTGGGTAGAGGCCAAGGATACTGGTAAACATTCTGCAATGCACAGGACGGTCCTCACAACAAAGATTTATCCAGCCTAACATGTCAGTAGTGCCCAGGCTGGAAAACCCGCTCTAGATGCAAAGTTCTCTGCTCATGTGACTCTGAAGGTTTGGGGGTAGCTGTGAGCTAACAGGTCTCTTGTTTTGGCTAGTAAGATTTATACAGATTTTGCCATGGTGTTTAGGTAGAGTACAGCCATATTTGCAGGTTTTTCAGACCCTGGAGAAATCAGATGTAGATGATGTAGGCTTTTTTAACTCTTCTGAAGATAGGAGAAGGCATAAGGGGAGAGACTTCCATTTGTCATTTCACTTCCTTTCTCTACTCAACACGTTTTTGTAACTTCTCAGATTGTATTGACCTTTCTTTCAAAGGATGCCACCCATGTTTCAAAAACCAGAGGCTTGTCTTCTTTTCCTGTCAACGTTAAGTCAAGAAGTATATTTAATCTATCCATACTGTAAAAACTAGAATAGTCTGAATAGAATCCTGCCTTCTTACCGATGTATTAATATCAGTTTTCCACCACTCACAGCTGTTACGTTTGTTCACCATGAATCTGTGGCACTTGACCTACATGATCAGGAAGATGATTTTTAAAAACCTAACTCAGTCAAAGCTGTAAAATTTATTGTCTAAGAAAGCATAGGAGCCTTTTGGACTACTTGGATTCATTCCCAAAGTAAAACCCTTTCTTTTGAGATAAATTGTGTTTCAACCAAACCAAACTTTTTAAAATGTCACTTTACCATCACAGCTCCATCTAACCAGAGTATCTTCACCCACCCTTTCAGCAACTTTTATGGGGATGTTTATGCCAATAATGCTTTGGCATTCTTGGGGTTAATAAGCTTAAGAATGCACAGGCAGACAATTTTCATTTCCACCTTGGTGCACCCGTTGTAAAGTAGGCGTTGTATTGTTTATGGCCTCTTGGGGCCAGACTGCCTTGAATGTTTTATGGCATGAGATCAGTCCCCATGATCTGAGGTGGGCCCCACCCTGCACACTGAGAGATGTCCCCTGGTTCTGTTCTCTCTGACACCAAGGTGCCTGGCACAGTCATTGCCTGTCTTTGACATACAGGTACCTGCAACTCCCTGCCCAGTCTGTACAGCATCACACAGTGGACTCTGAGATATTATAGAGGGGCCCATAGGGAATTTACAGGACCCGGCATGGTGCTGGGCTTGTAAAAGATGGCTAAAAGATATTGACCAATTGGTGGATGGGAATTCTGGGTTGATGGTCAGGCTCACCAAATTCAATGCAAAGATCATAAACGCTAGGCTTTCAGCACGTGTCAGTGAGCACATTTGAACTGACAACAGACAGGTGTGCCAGCCCTAAATGCATACCTGCAGGGCCTCGTACACCTAAACATGTACTAAACTGATGCTCATGAATGCTGTGGACAGGAGTCAAGATCTGATCATGGAGAAAAGACAGCACTGTTCTTTCTTGCCAGTCAGCTCACTCAGCTGGATTTACAGGGAACTTAAAAGGAGTAAATCAGGCCAAGGGAAATCATTTACATTCACCAGTATTCTTCTCTTTTTTTCACCCTTTTTCCCTCCTTCCCTCCTTTTTTCCCATTGAGATATAATAGGCCTACAGTCGAGTGCACAGTTCTTAGATATTAATGAATTTTTACATGAATACACACCTATGTAACCCAAACGAAGATACAGCATATTCCCAGCACGAGGCAGGCTTCCTTAGGCTCCTTCCAGTCAGTGCTCCCCACTGCCCGGAGAGGTAGCCACCATTCTGCCAATAGGTTAGTTTTGTATTTAGGTCTCTTTATTTGTGTTTTTTGTTTGTTTGTTTTTGTTTTTGTTTTGTTTTTTTGAGACGGAGTCTTGTTCTGTCATCCAGGGTGGAGTGCAGTGGCGTGATCTTGGCTCACTGCAACCTCTGCCTCCTGGATTCAAGTGATTCTCCTGCTCAGCCTCCTGAGAAGCTGGGATTACAGGTGCATGCCACTATGCCCAGCTAATTTTTGTATTTTTAGTAGACGGGGTTTCGCCATGTTGGCCAGCTGGTCTCAAACTCCTGACCTCAAGTGATCCATCCACCTTGGCCTCCCAGAGTGCTGGGATTACAGGCATGAGTCACTGCACCCAGCCCACTTATAGGTCTCTTTAAAACTGACCTTAGTGATGAAATATGTAAATAGTCCTCACTGGGCGAGGTTACATCCCTCTGACCTTACCCAGGTTTGGGTTGATAGATGAAGTTCCTCGCTTTTATGAAGAATAATAATTATTATTGAGGGGTTAAATTGGGCCTGACAGTAAGTGTTTTCTGTACATTCTTTCATTTAACCACTGGGAAGATAGCTGCAAGGTAGATAGCATTGTCCCCATTTTACAGGTGAAGAAACTGAGGCTTCAAGTTTTAACATGAAGCAAAAAGGTCCAATGGTCAGGAAGTGGGGGCGCAGTGTTGAAACCTGGCTTTTTCTGGCACAACAGTCTGGGTTTTTTTTTTTTTTTTTTTTTTTAGCAGTACACCAACCAGCACTAGTCACCATTATAATCAGGAGAGTCCTGGTGAAGCCAAATTATTTTTTATGTAAAACTGAGTTATTTCCTCCCTGGTAAAATCTGAGGAAAGATCCTAGAAAGCTTTACCAGATCACCTTGGTCATTGTGGCAATATTACTGCCCAGGGGCCATGGTTTCTGAAATCTGTCTCTGAAATGTATGTTTAAACTTTAAGAGGAAAGTTGACTGAAGTTCACTAGCAAAAAAAAAAAAAAAAAATGTGCAAATACAAGGAAAGGAAAAGCTTTACAAAGGAAAACACTTGCCTTTTTTTTTTTTTTTTTTTTTTTTTTTTTGGTCTACACACAGCTTAAAGGAAACTCAGAGTAAAGAGATAAGCAAAGCACATGCTTTAATATCTTAAACTATTCCCTGCAATTGTGGGGCAGTAGCTGACAAGTAGTGAGGCTGAAATGAGGATCATTTGGGGGAAGTCAAATGCAAGGGATTACTTTTAATGAGGGGATGGATGATTTGTCGTGTTTACTCTTAGAATCTTTGAGATCACATAGAACAAAAGCAAACTTTATGGGTTTCTTTCTTCCTTTCTTTCTTTTTGAAGACAGAGTCTCGCTCTGTCGCCCAGGCTGGAGTGCAGTGGCATGATCTGAGCTCACTGCAATCTCCGCTTCCCAGGTTCAAGCAATTCTCATGCCCCAACCTCCCAGGTAACTGGAACTACAGGCGTGCACCACCATGCCCAACTAATTTTTGTATTAGTAGAGATAGGGTTTTGCCATGTTGACCAGGCTGGTATCAAACTCCTGACCTCCAGTGACCGACCTGCCTCAGCCTCCCAAAGTGCTGGGATTATAGGCATGAGCCACTGTGCCCTGCCAAGTTTTATGTTGTATCTATGTCTTCTTCAGCTCTCAGAAGTTTGGTGGTAAGGATTTGTACCATTCCAACTGCAAAGAAATAAAGTTGCCTACAATGAATGAAGAAGCAAATGTTTACAAGGCATGCACTGATTGACAGGGGTGCTAACTCAAGGCAGTGCTGAGTGCCAGCAGTTGGCATGTGTCAAACAATTTCACCAAGCCATCCTGGGTTGAAAAGTGATTTTAAAATGTTTGCTTTTTAATAAAGAGATATGGCTGGGTATGGTGGCTCACACCTGTAATCTCAGCACTTTGGGAGGCCAAGGTGGGCGGATCACTGGAGGTCAGGAGTTCAAGACCAGCCTGGCCAACATGGTGAAACCCCATCTCTACTAAAAATACAAGAATTAGCCAGGTGTGGTGGTGCATGCCTGTAATCCCAGATACTTGGGAGGCTGCGGCAGGAGAATCACTTGAACCCAGGAGGTGTAGGTTGCAGTGATCCAAGATCGCACCACTGCACTCCAGCCTGGGCAACAGAGCGAGACTGCATCTCAAACAAAAAAGAAAGAGAGATACTAGTGTTGAGTAGCTGACACTATTCCTATTTCTAATTTTAATCGTGTTGCTGCCTTCCGAGATGTAATAAGGAATATGAATAGATGGCAATCTATAGAGAATTTTCTCTTAATGAATGGTTCAATTTTATCCACTGATACTAATATAAATAAGAATCACCTCCTCTGTGAAACCTCGTTTCATGAGTTTCCTTGATACTGCCCTATCACTTTGTGTTCATTCCCCAGTTAGAGACCCCCTCCTTCTGTTAAAAATGACCACATAATCCATGGCTCTGCATTTATGTTCACACTTGTGGGCAGAGGAAAGGGATCATATTCTTTGTACCCAACACTTCACTCATCGATCTACTTGTGACAAACTACAAACTCTTTGAAGACTGGGCTCATTCCCAGTCTTCTATCTCTCTGATCTTCTAATATATCCAGCAAAGATCCTTAGTCACTGTGGGGAATGATAAGGATGATGGTGCTGTATGGTTATAAAATATCACGTGCCCCAAAATAACTAAAAATATTTCTCCACTAGCAACCTCCACTTAATCGATGAATATGGTAAGTCTTGAAAGGAAATTTTTAGACACATTTAAATCTTAGCTGGAAAAAGGGATGGCCTATCTCAAAGTGGCACAAATAAAGAGACTTTGGTATTTATTTGCAATGGTGTCTTGCCTTGTTCAGCCACTGATTGCCCAGTACTTTCTCCCTGTAGCCATTTCTCAAATTCTTCTTTACTGCCATGCTTAGTTATATGTCTGCATGTAAGCTTTAGAAAATTGGAATCTAATTGATTTACAGTTACACTTCTCTAAATATTAGTAGAGAAGTCTTTGGGAAGAGCATTTGGGAAAATGAATTGATGGTCAGTACTATAGTTCATCCAGTCTGTAGAGCTCAGTAATACAAACTGATAGGAAGGGAAAATAGGCGTCATCCCCGGTATGTGGTTGACAAGGAGGACTGTTTGGTTGCTGATGTACTGTGCCTCTCTAGAAACTCCTTTGTACCCAGCCAATAACAGTGACTTTGGGGGGACATTTTAGGTAACAGTGACTGGATTTAAAATAAAAGTTTGAATTTGTGGGAGTCAATTTATCTGAAAAAGAGAAATATTTTCTCAAGTCGGTATATTGGACAAGAGGTGGCTGTTACATGCAGGCCTTAAGAAGAGGCTGGGGGAGGATGGTCGGTTTCCTAGATATGGTTAACCATACATCATCAGGAGAGAAATGAACTGGTCATTGACTTCATCTAGCCAAATTCAACTGACTGATGGAATTTTTCCACTTTTCAGTGTCTTTGAATAATTTTCTTCTCTTAAATTCATGCATGCCAATAAATACAGGCATAAATATACCTTCACAGTATATACAGACACTTAGTAGGTACATAAGTGAGAATTCTGAGAAAAATCAGTGTTCTGCCTATGACAATGAGTCATTCTTAATTCATATTAGAATTAAATAAGCATGAAAATCAAAGTCCATTGCATACATGATTACTGCCAGAGCAGAATGGAGTGTGAATCAAAATCCAGTTGTACGTGTCTTCGTTCTGAGTGAAGTACCTGTTTAAAATGATTAAAAGTGATTTAAGACAAGTTAATCTGCTCCAACAGCATGGCAGATGTAAGCAGCAGGCTTGGACCGCCAAGCCAGAGCCCTAATACTCCAACAGGTCAGTTCTTGCCGAGTGGGCTCAGGCAGTGTTGTTTTACCAGCCTGGCATCCAAGCTCTGGCACAGGTAATGCTGTTTCCAGAAGAAAAGTACTTATTGGATGTTTCTTTGGTAAATACTCCAAAGTGCCTGTTGTCTTAGAAGCAGATTCCATTCAACCCACAGAGATCTCTCTGGGTCTCTTCTTAACCCCTCTGTTCATTCTTAACCATCAGATATTTACTAAGGGCCTATTACATCTCAGGCACTGTGCAGCGTGCTGGGGGGATACAGTGGTAAACAAGACTCAGTTCCTTTGTCCCCTCTTTGTAGACCTCGCTGCCTATTGGGGGCATTCACATTTTCTTGTAATATATACTACACCAGAGGAGGTATAGTGCCTTGGACCCCTTAGGAGGGGCACTGAACCCCCACATGGACTCCCATGGGGGAGTCCATGAATTCTTCTTACAGAAAGTGATGGGAGTTGGCCAGAGAAGGCATTGGCGGATGCTGTTACAGACAGAGGAAACAGTTCATGCAAAAGCCTGAAAGTGAACACTTAATAGGCATAGCTTTTATTTGATATTTACTCATAATTAAATATATATTTCCCATTTGAATATCAGATTAAAAGGCTTTTCCTGGTGGTAATTCTTTTTTAGCTTTCTTGTGTCTCCCCATAGGACCTAACACAGAACCGGGTCTATGGTAAGGGATTGACAACTGTGAATTTCCTCCTCCCTTCCCTTGAGCAGTCCCATGGGAGGGTGAATGCTACCGTCACAGCCCTTACTGGGAGCTGATGAGTGAGGGCTACAAAGAGCATGGAGCCAGTAGATGCTGGAGGCAGGACAAGCATGAGATGAGGAAAGGCTACAGACAGCAAAGACCCACTTCAGCGGTTTACAGTTTTCTTAAGACCCAACGTTAACAGACTTGTCCTAGGTGAGCTCCTTTGAAATATGGGTGTTGTTGAGCTTAAAAATCTAGAGTCAGTGAGTGCTATTTTAAGCCTCCAGACCCTTGGCCTAGGAGTTCAGGGGCAAATGCAGAAAAAGGAAAGCTTGAGAGCCAGAAAGCCCACAGATTTGGGCCTTCCTGGTTAGCTCTAGGGGAATTCTAGATGCTTCAGTGTCCATTCTATGTTTAGCTTCCAGGTTTGTTCAGTTCAAAATTGTTGACCCTTGCCCTTAAACAATTTATCATTGATATTTTCTTCACGTCACTAAAATCCTGGATTCTTAGGATCTTTTTAATACAGTGTCCCGCACAGTGAGTGCTCCAGGTTTTAGTAATATGTTTGATGTGTTCTTTTATTTTGAAGCTGGAGTAGAAACAGCTGTATAGACTTGTTTATATATATAAAAGAGAGAGCACGCCCTAAACCAGCATCTGATCCTAACCTCTCAGCTTCCAGATGTTCACAGTCATGGCAATATTCATCCAGTAGCTAATTTTTGCCCCAGCCTTCTCTTAGGGCATAGAAGCCCACTGCATTTGTAATGCTGGTCATATTGCACTTGATTACTTTTCACAGTATTGGTCTCTGCTATCAACCAGTGCTGTGCACTTGTGGGGAACGTATGATGGCCAGCAGGGCCTCTCCACACTGACTTGGATCTTGAGATAGTTCTGAGTTGGTAAATCTTTGACAGTGAGTGGCTGTCACTGTGGGCAGCCTGTTACCATTGAGGATCAAGGGGTAGACTGTCCTGGAACTTGGGAGTTTGGTCAGAGTTCTCAGTAGTATGCATAGCTCTGCCTAACTTGCATGGATAAAGAATTTGCTGGAAAGACATGAGACAGCTCACAGATACAGTAGGCAAACTGGAAAATCAATGGGAAAATGGACAGGGACTGGGGCTGGACCACAGCTGTGTTTCTCAGACATGGCCGTGGGAAAACACAGTGGGTCAGCTCACAGCCAGTTTGCCTTCATGCCACTGCCTCAAAAGTCACAGGAGTATCAGGAAGGCCAAGCCTTGGTGTTCCATGTTCACACACTGAGGTACGCCCTTTGTGGCAGACAGAGTCTGCTACAGTGGGCAGTAAAGATAAAATGAAAGCAAGCAGGTACAGACACCAGGTTACAATTCCTGGACAAATTATTCCAATGATATCCTCTTTCTATTCCTTACCTGGTTCCCCCTCTAGTTTTTGTTATTGTCATTTGCCATTGTGTTGTTCCCTTCCAGCATCACTTGTAATGTCATCAGTCAACAAAAAAAAAAGAGTAGATATTCGAATCTGTTTACATGACAGTGATTTTTTTAGTATGTGAGAAAGGGGTAATGAACTCATGGTTTAAATGGTCAAGTTTGGAAACTGCTCATGAAGAGCAATTGGAGCTAACATTTGTTAAGCACCCACTCTGTGCCAGGAACTGGTATAAACCCTTTCCATATTACCTCATTTAGGCATCACAGTAAGCCTTTGAAATGAGTACTGTTATCCCCATTTTATGGGTTAGGAACCTGAACCTAAGTGAGACTAAGACATTGTATTCACATAGTGTTAATACTAAATCAGAGTAATCTTCAGACTTAGGCCTGGGAGACGTCACGTTCTCCTGCTCAATCTCAGGCATCTCTGTCTTGCTATTCCTTAAGTAGCATCATAGGAGCTCCCTGTTTTGGTAAACGTTCCCTAATCTTTATGTCTTCGATCTTTTAATCAGTTTTCCAGTGGCCCCAAAGATAGATCTGTGGTTGACCATTAAAAATAAGGTTGATAAGCCAATGAAGTGTCATCACTGAGAAGTCAGGGCTGGATAACCACACACCTAAAGACCTTCTGCACTGGAAATGTTGGTGATCCTGGGGAGAGACCACCAGAGAGTGACCAGGCAGTCAGTATTTCTGGTCCTGCTCGTGGGCACTTGACTCTGGAGCAGGTGCTTTGAACTTGAGGAAAATATGGATGCCATAGCAGATGTGGGTCCTTCTTGGAGGAGCTCAGGGCTTCTCAGGACCTCCTCCACCACCTAGCCTAGACACTGGGTGGTTAAGAGTTTGCCTCTGAGTTTCAAATCTTAGTTTCCCACTCCTATACTAGCTGTGGGCCCCTGAGCAAGACGTGCACCCTCTCTAGGTCTCAGATTTGTCATCTTTAAAATGGGAGTGATGATAGTACCCATTTCAGAGTTTGGGGGAGAATTCGAGGAGCTCCTCCACATGAGGCGCACTAGTAAAGGCTCATCAGCACCGTCAGTGAGCACAGGGTCTTCATGGTTTTCTCCTTGTTTCACATGTGGATGGCAGAAGCCAAGTCTCAGAATGATACCTCCCATCCAAGGAAGGTGGGGGCCCATGGCAGGTGCTCAGTACGTAGCTGTTGATGAGTGGAAAAGAAACAAGGGCATGGACCAGAGTTAATCTCAGCATGTACGTTCACAGCACTTTTACTCCTCAACGTTATTTTATTTTTTTTATATGTGTTGATTGTCGCTTTCCACACTAGGATATAAATGCCAAGAGGACAGGGAACGTGTTTCCATAGTGCCAAGAACAGCGCATGTCACGTGGTAGTCACTCCATGAATATTTGAATACATGAGTGTATGGGTTTTTTTCTATGAAAAGGAGCAAGCTGATGAGGAGCCTGTGGGCAGCCTCTGCCCTGGAACCTCCTGAGCCCTGGGCTGACTGTCTCATTCTTCCATCGGGCACTCCAGGCAGCCTCGTGTTCATGCTGGCTGAAGGCTGCCCACAGGAAGCTGCCTGTGCCTGTTCCTTGCCCCAGCAAACTACAGGGCCCAGGGCAGAGCCTTGCAGATTGGAAGCTGCTGAGTTATGTTGTAAGACTCGCTGGGAAATGCTGCCATTCCGATTTATTATTTTAATTGTTTTATAGTTTATACTTATGCCCTGCAGTGATTTTCCATTAAATCAGAACACTTATGTTTTCAAAAAAGAGCAGGTATGGTTGTGGGTGTATATCTTAACAGCTAATCTCTGGCAATAAAAGCTGTTTGACAGTCATCAACAGATTAGGAAATTAGTATTTGTTTAATTAACCTCCCTTAGGGACTATTAGCACATGAAAATAGCGAGTTTTTTTTAACCTGATAAGATGACAGATTTTGTTCTTGTGTATTCTTAAGGTTTCAGGTATAATTGTTTTTGTGGTTGTTTTCATTTTTATTAGCATAAACCATTGGGTTGGTAAAAATAATTACAAAATTGGAAAGAGACAAATAACACAAAGTATAATCTAATAAGTTACAATTAAACTTTTATTAATTTTATGTCATATTTACACTATATGTATATATTATACCACATAAAATATAAATATGCATACATGAATATACTATTACATATATTAATCATACTGTATACTTTATCATACATACTTTGTTATACATTATATATACTTTGTTATATATAAGTATATAGTATGATTAATATAACATGACATAGATATATAGAAACGTTGAGAGTTACATGTTGTCTGCGTACAGTCTCACAACACATGTTAATTATCTTTTTAGTTTTCACTGAAGTTTCAATTTTTGTCATAGCACTTGCTAAAATAAATTTTTAAGTCATGATTTCTTTATTTCAGAATAGACTGCTTAAAGGATTTATTTGTCATAGATCTGAACCACCAACAAATTCCACATTCCTTTCTTCAGTTTGTTCAAAGCACTTGCTTTCTGGCTGAGAAATATTCCTTCCGCAGACCTCATTGCTCTGTTTCCACTTGGTCTGGCTCATTTGCTGGCCAGCTAACCTACCCACACGTAGCTTCATTAGAAAACACATTAAGATATGTCCTGTACACAGGTAGAAAGTGCTGCTTGTTTTGGACCCTTAGAGTAGCTTGAGAAGAGTAAAACTGCAAATGCCAAATGTGGGTCTGCTGTACTTCGTGTGCGCACCCTTGTGCCATCAGGATACTTCCATGACCTGAATCATAATTGAGAGACTTTTGCTTAAAAACTGGGGGTCACTTTTTCCCAAAGCAGAGATAGGTTATCCTTTTTGAGCACCTGTCTTCCTTGAATGTAACTTACTAATATTTCATCCACATCTATGGCCAAACAACCTGCTCTAGTGTGAGGATAAATCCGGCTGGTGACCACCAGCAAAGTCAGGGATTGAACAGCACTCTGAATTTTAGCTGAATGGCCTCAGGAAAATCCAAATCTTGCTCCAAGTAGAGTCTTTGGGTTAAAGAAGGTAAAAGGAAGCAGTTGGCTGGGGATGGAGTCAGAGGCAGGGGTGAGGCTGTGGCCTTCAGGAGGGCCCTGGAGAGGGAACTCTAGACTCTTCCTGCCAGGATTTGAGAAGTGGTCTTGAAGCTGTGCCCCATGCCTTATCACCTCTGCTGACTCTCCTGGATCTTCTGATACATCTCTGCAAGTTCCCTGGGGGAAGTTACATATCAAGCCATAAGGGTCCACCTTAGCTCAATGACACTGAGCAGATTTGCAAGTAGTTCAGAAGGGATCACAGTTTAGGGAAGGGTGATTTTTAAAAAGGAGGAAGTAAAGAAATGTCCAGAGTATGGGCACCCCTTCTGATGGGCCTGGTGGAGTGGGGAGGAAAGAGAGGGCCCAGGAACACTGAGCTGATTTGGGCTGGGTCACCATTGCCCCAACTAACCTGCTCCTCAGGGACAGCCTAGGATTGGCAAAGGAGAAGCTGCTGGATCCTTCTTGGTTGGAAGACTGGAAGGCATGTGGAGAACATGGAACTCTGGTGGGTTTTCTCTGAATAGGGTTCTTCCCACATGCAGACTCTACTGCCTTGAAAAAGGGCATGTCTCCCAGTGTCACTCCAAGAGTTATTGCTTGCTTTCTTTTTTTCCCCAAGTGGAATTCTGGAACTCTCCTTCTTTCCCATTGGCAGGTTTGAGGTTTACAGTTACTTTCTTTACTAAAGCTATTCACTGGGCAGACCCTGATACACAATGCCTCTATTAGTCTGGAAAGTCTTTTCTCAAAAGATACAACCAATTATTATTTTTATTATTATTATTTATTATTTCTAAATCAGAGTCTCAAAGCATAAAAAGAAAAAATAAACAAATATAAGTAAGGGCACGTGACTTTATCTGCCTGGGCCTCAGCTGGATAAAAAGACCTCTGAACCACCCAAGTTCAGAGCCCTTCACTGACTGACCACGCTCTTTGTTTGAGATTCTCTTTTTGGGTTTCCCAAACACCAAAGTCCTCGGTGGTTGCTCTGTCTCAAGTCCCAACCATCAAGCGTTGTGCTTGCTTACAGATCATTTCCAGCCTTCTTCTCTTGTCACACTGTATGTGATCCTTTTCTCAAAAAATCTCACCCACATTCATTCTTTTCCTCCAGCCCAAACCTTCACATATCACACCTAGTCAGCATGTCCAGTGAGGTGCTTCCAAGGGACCAATAATGTTCAGCATGCACGAGCTGAACTGCTGCTATCCTCCTGCCTCCCTCCAAAGCCTGGGCCTTCCTGGTATGTCATAAGTGCTCAGTAGATGTCCATCACATGGAGAAATGGAGGCTGTCTTTATCTCTAATCACCTTTGATTTTGTAAACTCTACCAGATTATGTCCTCCCTGATGAAGAGGAGGACTCTTCTTAACCGGCCTCATTCGCCTGAGCCTGTGCAGCCTCGTTGTCCATCAAACCACAGGTCTAGGCCCATAACAGGGCATAAGCACAGCCCTGTACCCCTTCTTATTGGCATATATGCATATATGCACACGTGCGCGCACAAACACATTTCTTAGCCGTTGGAAAGCACCGCATGGTCTTAAAGCAAATACCTTCCATGGCCAAATTAAACAAATACAAATGTAAGACTTCTTTTTTAAGAATAATAAAATCTGTTTTCTGTCCCTTCAGAGGTCAGTCCATTTTCAGCCTCCTAACCTTGAATGAGGCCTCTGATATCCTCCAAGTAACTTGGGTGACCCCCACTTTGCAGGAAGACGTGCCTTCCCTACATCCCCGTCAAATTGTGTGGAGTTACATTTGTGTTTCCTCAGCTCTTTATCTGGGCTGGGGTGACCTAAAAGGGGCTAACCAATCTCCTAGCACGTGGCTCCTTATGTGGCTGGACATGGAAGACATACGCCTACTAGTTTTGGCAGCTTCTGGTCCTGACAAAGGAGCTTGAAGTGCGGTTTTCTGGCCTTCCTGTCCGGGAATTCTGGACCCGGTATTGGGTTCTACGGTCCACTTCCGCCAGGCTCCAAGAACGCCCCCAGAAAGGTTACTCTTGGTCCTTTAGCTGGAGTGGCCCTTTCTGTGATGACAGAGTGCTGGCTGGACTTGGAGCTACAAATCACTGGGCCCAAAAGAGGTGAAACCAGCAATCCTTGCCTTCTAAGGCAGTGATGATGTCCTGTTTCTCCCTCTGGTTTTAGAACTTGCCATCCTAGTACTCTGGCCTCATGTCCATCTCTCCTTCTAGACCCTAGACCTCTCCTTGAAAACAGGGATTGTGTCTTTCTTCCCTCTCCCTATCCTGAAACAGACTCTAAGTAGAAACTCAATAACTATTATAGAATTATTACATAGTAGGGGCAAGTAGTCAATGAATATATCAGTGATTGTAATCATGCTGCCAATTTGATGGACGCTAAAATGGACTTCATAGAGACCCTGCCCATCATTTCGTTCTGACATTCAGTGAACATTGAATACTGGGTACTTTGCAGGGCCCTGAGGACCAATCATCATTTCGTTCTGACATTCAGTGAACATTGAATACTGGGTACTTTGCAGGGCCCTGAGGACCAATCTGTGAACACGAAGGCACCATGTCTGTTCTCCTGGAGTTCATGTGAGGAAACCAATAATGCTCAAGGCAATAAGCAAAATAATGACAAGTTGTCATTGTTGTAGAGGAGCTGACCAAAGTGCTGTGACTGACATTAAAGGAAGGGTTGGGGGTGGTAGTGAGGGGCTGCTTCAGGTAAAGTGGCCAAGAGAGGCATCTTTGGGATAAAGGCAGAGACCTCACAACAAGAGGGTGTTGCTTGGTTCTCTTCCTGAGTATAATAGGGAGAATGGGTTGGAGAGTGCAAGAGAATGTTGGATTCAGCTGCCTCTGATGGTTTTGGCCTTAGTTTTAATAATTTTCAATAAAAATGTTTTACTCATTCCATACATTATCTGGAAATGTGTGTTCACATCATCTGGCTGCTTGGGGCCACGATCTGTGAATTCACTTTTCTGCTCTTATTCCTTCATCCATTTGACCAGTAGGTATTGAGACACTGGGATGCATCAGACACTGTGGGAACTTGGAGACCCTGCCCTCATGGAATGGTCCCTTGTGGAGGATAGACACTCATAGTGGAACAGGAGACAGGGACCATCTGAAGGTTCCTCTGGCCTTCTAGCCTTTTCCATCATCATACACTCTCCTGATCCAAACTGGATGGATGAGGCTAGAAGGCCATGGGGGACCACAAAGGGCCTCTCACACCATGCTAACAACCCTGCTTCTGGGGTGCCATTGAAGAATGCAAGCAGCAGGGGAGCATCATCTGATTTACATTTCGTGTAAAAATGCCTGCTGGCAAAGGTTTGCTCCAAAGTGGAAAGGGAAAACATTTGGTGTGCAACAGCCAGGACTGCAAGTTCAAGCAAGTTCTTTCACGGGCTCCAGCTGCCTTCGCTTCCTGGATCTTAGACTGGAAAGGCCCTTGGGGATTAACTCATCCAGCCGTCTTATCTCATATTTGAGGACAGTAATGCTCAGAAAAGTGACTTGCTTGTGGTCACTCTGTCCTGGGCTTTGCCCAAACAGCTGTTTTGATGACCAAGTTGATTGGCCTGGAGAGAGATAGGGGAACTAGGTGTAAGTGTCACGACGGATCGTCAGGCTAGCTCACCCACATGCTGGAAACACAAGGCAATGCCTGCTTCCCCTCAGCAGGGATCAGGATTTTATCCATGAATATTAAGGATAAGAATGTACTTTCATTATTGTGGGTTAAAAAAAGTAATTGGATGATCATGCAATCAGATAAGCAATTCTGTAGTGATTCCAAGGCTTAATGCCCAGGTACAGCCACAGGCTGTTTATTATTATTTTTTCTATTGGCGGGATCAACCAGGTACCAGGCTATTTATTTTGGCTTCAAACCGAGATGTTGTTTGACACCTCAGGCTTCCAGCTGTCAGTGTAGTGTCTAAAAGTCTTCTCTCTCCAGTTGAGAGGACATCTATTTGATCAAAATAGCATTGTCTGGCTTATCTGTTACATCTTATAAGCATGTTTCCATGAGTTAGAAACAACCACCACCCCAACAACTACAACTGTGTTCTCTATCCCATGAAAGGGCGGGCGTGTGGACACGATGTATATTTTTTTCTCCTCAAACAACACAGTGAAGTGATTCAGAGCATGGAAGTGGGGTCAGGCAGGGTGGACTCTGTTGCTCACTCACCACCTGTGTGTCCTGGGCCAGTCAAGTAACCCCTCAAACTCTTTTTCCTCATCTAGCAGGTAGGGATAATAACAGTCTTACCAGATTCACAGAGCACTTGTGGGATTAAATGAAGTAAGAGATAGAAAAGATTTAACACTGAGCTTGGGATACAAAAGCATTTGGAAGAAGAAAAGTAGTTAATTGTGTTGCTCCTAAATGATTGAATTTTCCTATGCAAAGACTTGGAGAGATTTTCCCTGGAGATTGGCCCAGAATGAAATATTATCTTTGACTCTCGGTTATCAGCACTGCAATGGAGAACTTGAAAAAAATTTACCTTGGGTTCAGAAACAAATTATGCTTTTTTTTTTTTTTTTTTTTTTTTTTTAATGTAGGGGAAGTAGACACACTTTGCTTGTCTTTGTGTTTGGCCTCTGGTGGTCTTTGAGGGACTTGCTTCCTGAGAGTGATGGGAGGTGCCTATGTAGAGAATGTCAGGAAGAGGGTGCCTGCCAGTCATCAACATTTGCCACAATGTTGATCTGGAAAAAACGTCTTTCTCTCAAGTGTATTGTTAAATTTATGAAGGTGCTGGTACCATCTGCCAGAAGAACCAATATTCCCATCTGATTGACCACAGTCATTCTCAAGTCTCCACTATTTGTCCCAAAACAAGCAGGATTTCTTCATAATCTCCCTCGAGGGCCTGCTCTAGGACATGAAGTAATTTTTCTAATCTCTTATCTTCAAGTAACTGGAGGAATTTGCTGTTATTTCTGCAGCACTCAGGCCTGAGCTTTGTGGAATTTGCATGCCAGGGAAGTGAGGGCATTGGAAAACGAGCGAAGAATAAAGGAGCATTACAGGGCTCTTCTGTGGTGAATTTTCAAGTCAAGCATAAAAGAATTGTTTCCTATTCTTTCTGATATGTTAAGGGCCTCACGCGTGCTAACGCTTTGCTAGATGCTGTATGGTTTACAGAAGGAGAGTTTTCTGGCTGTTATTCTTAGGGAATCTACCATCAATATAGAAAAATACAATTTTCCAAATGGGAAATGATAAATTCAGATGAGATAGCTGAGGTGCAGGGTAAAGAAAACAGGATTCCACCAAACATCTACAGTTCAGGTCCCAGTCACCTCCCTAGCCTTGTTTACTCACCCCCACCCCACCTTAAGTTCTTTATCTGCAAACCTATGATGATACCCGCTGCCCAGGGCTGTTGTGGGAAGGAAAGGAATACTGTCTGTGATAGCACACAGTGGCAGCCAGTCCTGAGAAGTTGAAGGGTCTGGAAGCTGTCGCATGAATCCTGTTGATCAACATCTGCACAGCCTCACCCCTACCTGTGAGCCCCACTGTCTTTGCTTTCTTCCCTGGGAACTTTGTGTTTCCGTGCACAGTGTCACTCCCCAGTCCCGGGGAAAGGAATCTTGACTTTCTCACCGGGCTATGCTAAAAGTCTCAGTCAGTCTCATCTCTGTTCCACATCATTTGTCCCTTTCCCCTAAGTTACAGTTGCATATACTTCATATGTTTCATCCCACAGCATCTATCTCAGTGCTTTATACACATAAAAGACCTTAAGTATTTTTCAAAAATAAAAGGAGTTTTAGGGATTTAGTGACTTGCACTGGCAGGGAATGTGTATTTTAAGAAATGAGTGTTAGAGACCCCTGGAGGAGGCAGAATTTCTGGGATATCATGGATCAGGCACTGTGCTAGCACTTTCGCAGAGGTTACATCATTCCATCCTGGCAATCCTATCCCCAGTTAACAGATAAGAAAACTGAGTCTTAAAGATATGTTGGACCAGCCCAACCTTATCCAGCTGGTAAGTGGCAGAGTTGGGATATAGATTCAGAACTGCCTCACTTCTTGTCTGACATCGGGAAGAGAAAATATGGGGACCCACCCAACATCTCAGATCACATGTAGGCACAAACAACTTCTTATACATAAATTACTATACACAGAATTAGATACATGCATAGCCAAACCTGGGAGGCAATTCTTAGAAGCCAAAATATGTGTTTCAAATTATTCTAGACACATTGCTAGAGACATGAACAGTCAGTTTGTTTGCTGGGCACGGTGGCTCATGCCTGTAATCCTAGCACTTCGGGAGGCCAAGGCGGGTGGATCATTTGAGGTCAGGAGTTCGAGACCAGCCTGACCAACATGGTGAAACCCTGTCTCTACTAAAATTACAAAAAAAAAAAAAAAAAGATCTGGACAGTAGTGGTGCATGCCTGTAATCCCAGCAACTCAGGAGGCTGAGGCAGGAGAATCGCTTGATCCTGGGAGGCAGAGGGTGCACCGAGATAGTGCCACTGCACTCTAGTCTGGACAACAGAGTGAGACCCTGTCTCAAAAAAAAAAAAAAAGTCAGTTTCTTGTCAAGTTAGAAGTAGAATTTGACCTACCACTGGTCTCATCCCATCTCCAGCATACCAGCATATATCTTGATACGACATCTTCTTTGCATACCAGTTCTCCCTCAGTCTTAGACCATTTCTTCCCCACCTTGCAGCAAAATCACATTAGGGATCTGTTTGTACTCACTGATGCTTTTCCATTTTCCTACCCTAATAAATTAGTTAGTATAGTTAGTCTTAGAAGTCAAACTTTTTGTTTTTCCCCTGAGACTATTACTGCTAGGACTTATTTCTTTCCTGCTCAGATAGGTTTTATAGAATATTTTAAAAGTACATTGTTTAGGGAATTTCCTTTCTTGTCATGTTGTGATTTTCTGGAAGAGATCTTCACTCCTACCGCAGGAGAGCCTTCATTGTGCCATCCTGCCTTGAAGTGGGTCTGCCCTGGTAGAGTCTGTGATCCCTTGTGCTCCATGTTCTCCTCACCACAAAGATTTCTTTTCCCAGCCCAGAGGAATTTTAGTCCAAGCATCAAATAGAGATTTCCAACTCATACGTCTGTCATTTTATCTAATAGGTGGTCACGGGCAGTTATGTAGGGTCAGCCCACGCTGCCTCTTACCAGCCATGTGACCTCAGACAAGTTACCTTTTCTGAGCCTCAGTTTCCTCATACATTTAAACATGTGGGTTGAGGATGCCAATTAGCAGGGTTGGTAGAGTCAGGATTCCCATCTCCTAGGAATAAAATGGCAGAGGATGTACCAGGCGAATGCACCCTTTCCTTATAGCCAGGATGTGCTTTCCAAATCTCTGTCTGGCTTAGTGATCCGGGCCAGGCCGTGTTAGAGCCCTGATCACTGCTTAAGACTCAGATTAGAGCAGTGGTCGTCAACCAGAGGGCCTGCAAGGGACACTTAGCAATGTCTGGAGACACAGTTGGTTGTCACAGCTGGAGAGGGGGCATACTAATAGCACCTAATGCATCTAATGCATAACATCTCATAGCATCTAATGCGTAGAGACCAGGGTGCTAGTAAACATCCTGTAGTACACAGCACAGCCCCCCACAACACAGGATTATCCAGTCCCAAATGTCAATCTCGTCCCAGCATGCCAAGGTTAAGACACACTGGACTCAAGGGAAGCTGAAGAGCCTGGTTCTTATCACCTTCCTATAGCCCACATCCCAGTTGGCTCTTGGCACTGGGGGAGGAAGTGGGGTTCCATGGAAGTTCTCGTAAGTCTTCAGTCGAGTGGAGAGTAAAGTAGCCATCTATCCAGGTGTCAGGCAACAAGGGCTATCGCAAAGGCATTCAGGCTGAGGGGGAAATGCTAGGAGTGGCCCTCCTAAAATCAGGGACCACCAAAGATGCTATCACCATTATTACTTAGCATTGTTCTTGAGGTTGCAGTCAACACAATCAGACACAAGAAATGAATTAGAAGTATAAATACTAAAAAGGAAGAGGTAAATTAATCATTAATAGCAGACAATTTGAAAAATCCAGGAGAATCAACTGGAAAACTGTTACAAAAATAGAGGGTTCGGTATAATGGCAGGGCACAGAATGATAAACATAAATCAATACCTAGCCTATACATGTGTGAGCAGATAGAAGATATAACGGAAGAAAGCCCCCATTTACCAGAAGAATTTAAAATATAAAATAATAGCCTGGATTATTTTGAAGTGGATTCCATTGCAATTAACACATAAACCCAAAACAACTGTGCTCTAAATAAGATACAAGTTTCTTTCTTTTTCATATGAAAGTTATCTGAAGGCTGATGGTCCAGTTACCATTCCTAGGACTTAGTCCTTGTCTTTATGGTTGTAGGTGGCTGCTACTACTTTAGGCATTATGTCCTCATTCATGCAATATACAGAATATATAGAGGAACATATATATATATATGCGTATATATATGTGTGTGTATATATATACATATATACATATACATATATATCTAGAGAGAGAGAGAGAGAATATATAGAAGGAGGAAAGAAAAAGAAGAGTAAGGCTCTTCCTTTTAAGGAGACTTCCACATATCTGATTGCCTAGAACCTAGTCACATAACTACACCCTGCTCCAAGGGCAGCTTTTAATTCTAGTTCATGGCTGCGTAGCTATGTGCCTGGCTTAAAAAATAGAAAGTAAATGTTCTCTTACAAAGGAAGAAAGTGAGAATAGATATTGGGACAACCAGAAATCTGCCATAAAATGTCATAAGAAATTTATAAGATCTATATGAGAGAATTTTAAAATGCTCCTAAGGGACACAGATGACATGAAAATGGAAAGACACAAAGTATTATTGGATAAGAAGGGAAGACTCAACATCATAAAAATATCAACTCTCCCTAAGTTAATTTATAACTTTAAACATATTCACAATAAAGACATCACCAGGATTGTTTTTTAACTAGACAAATGATTCTAAAGTTCATATGGAAAAATAAACAGGAATGGCCAGGAAATTTTGAAAAATAATAATATGTAGACTGGTACTACCAAGTGTTAAAAGGCATTATAAACCTGCAATAATTAAAAGAGTGTGGTATAGAGTGACGTTATAGAATAAAAGATACAGGAAAAATCCAAGTGCACATGAGGATTTAGTACTAGTATTTGATAAAGGTGGTATTTCAATCAGTGAGGAAAAGATGACCTATTCAACGTAAGGGACTGGGACAACTTACTAAGTTTCTGAAAACAAGTGAAGTTGGATATGGATCACACATCTTTTATCAGAACAAGTCCCAGATATATCAGAGACTTACATTTACCAAATGAAAACATAAAAGTACTGGGAGAAACCCTGGGAGAATACTTTTATAACTTTGAAATGGGTAAAGCCTTTCAAATTAAGACATAAAATCCAAACCCATGATATAAAACATCAGTTCAATTACATAAAAATAAATAATATTGGCATGACAAAACCACCATAAGCAATGCCAAAAGTCAAACAAAAAACTGGGATAAGTATTTGCAATTCTTATCTTCCTGTATGCCCTTTCATGCATGAAGTTTGTTTCCTAATATAGAATGAGCTCCTAAAAATCGATAAAAAACAAACACCACAAAAGAAAAATGGGCAACAATTCATGGAAAAAAATACAGATCTCTTTTGAATACATGAAAACATGCTCGAACTTACAGAGAAACTTAATAATATAATGAGATACTGTTTTCACCTATCAAACTACCAAATCTTGATAATATACCATGTTGGGAAAGATATCGGAAGCAGGCACTGTCATATATTGCTGATGGACGTATAAATTGTTCTTCCACCAAGAAGGGCTGTTTGGCAACATCCATCAAAATTCACATTCTTGTAGTACCTGATTCAGAAATTTCTTTTCTAGGAAATGTGTATAGTTACCCTCACATATGTGCAAAATGTCCTATGCAGATGGTTATCCACAGCAGCACTGTTTGTAATAGCATATACTAGAAGCACCCTAAATGTCCCCCAATAAATACAGTGGATTATTATATAGCCACAATAAAGAATCAGAAGGCTCTTTAAGTGCCAAGACAGAAAGAGCTTCAATATATTTTAAGTGAAAAAGATAAAGTCTAAAAAAATGTGTATGGTAAGCTCCCATTTAGTTAAATGAGGGGAAATGAACATATAATCATATTTTCTTATTTATATGTAAAGTATGATCAAGAGAATACACAGGGCATGAATAAAAAGAAATCGCCTGTAGAGAGAGAAAAGGGTGACTAGGGAATGGATGCAGGAGGGAGAATTTTTACTGCATGCCCTTTCATACTTTTTGGTTTTTTGAACACATGAAAGTATTACCTATTGAAGAAAAATTGAATGAAACTTTAAATAGATAAATGAGTATAGGCTAGTCACATTGGCTCACATATTGGGAAAGAAATTTTGCTGGATTTTCCCCCCTCTATTAAAAAAAGACCCCCCTCCTTAAAATATGTCCCATTCCTCAAAAGTACCCTGGCCTTGTATTTGAGGACCAAGTACACAGGGACTAATATCTGGGCAGTTGTCCCTCTTTGCAAAGCCGTCAGTCTCCAGCAAGTTTGATGAGCACTTGCTACACGCCTGGCCATGTCCTGAACACTGAACACCATGGGAACTCTCAGGAGAATAGACAGCCTGCCCGGTTCTGCCCTGCCAGCAGGACCCCAAAGTAGGCAAGGCTGGGAAACCATTATTCCCAGTCCTCCTGCCCAGTAAGGTCTACAGGTCCCTAGCAAAGAGGCAGCACTGAAAACATACAGGCAGGAGACTCCTGGGGCAGGAATGAGGAGTGGAAATTCAGAGGTCCTGGGGTAGCAGTGCTGGTAAGAAAACCATGAAGGAATCTCTTAGGGAAGGACTAGCTCTTTCTCTTCCTACCACCTTCCACCTCCACTGCATCCTGCCCCTACACCCACCCCTGAGCCATCATGGCCCTGGGCTTCCCTGAGCTATCCCATCCACTGAAACCCTACTCGTGAACTGCTTGCCACTGAGAGCCCAGTGCCAGGCAAGTTTAGTCCCAGAGGTGTGAGCTCTTTTGTTTATAATGGAACCGAAGACCCCCAGAGAAATAGAAAGTCCTAACAATCGCCCTTCTGGCTCCCGGAAGTCTTTGGACCCACTCTTAACTTTTTCTGTCATTAAGGAAAGGAACTTAAGTCCCTAACTCTTCCTGGACTTGGTTTTATATGGACAGTTAGAGTTTTCAGGAAATACAGAGGGGGAATTGGAGGAAGTGACCAGGGGCGGGCTTCAGGCCTCAGTGGCAAGACAGCAGGAAGAAGCATTTTGGTCAGGGCCTCCCCCAGTCATAGCCAAGGGCAGCTGCTGCATGCTGCCTGCAGACCATGCTTGGCTGTGGCAGCCACCCTGGACCACCTTTCCCCTGGGGAGAAGAAAGGGTAGAAAGCAAAGGGAGGGTGAGCATCTGGGGCCAGTGCAGGGGCAGGCAAAGAAGAGCAGGAGCTGGGGAGCAGTGAGGACTTCCTCCTTCTTTGCCCCACCTGAGGCAATCCTGGGCAGAAGAAAAGGCGGAGCCTTGCAGCCTGAGTCAGAAAAGGGGCAAGGTTCAAGCTGGCTTGGAATCTTCTGAATCCATTCAATTTATACAAAATTAGAAGAAGTCCTTCCTCAGACATAACAAAGGCTTTAAAAAGAGTGCTTAGGAGGTGGCATTTGGGGTATTTTATAAAGTTGGGCTTGGTGGCTGGCATTGGAGGAAGTCAACCAATGTGAAGGCAGGAGGGCAGAGGAGCGCAGCACACAGGGATAAGCACACTGGCTTGCAGAGCAGATCCACCAAGCCTTCACCACCTGTAATCACCTACCTTCTTCCAGCTTCCTTTGACGTATTTCTGTAAGGGTAGTTGCCACATGTGCTCCTCCTAACTCACAGAGCTATGCAATGGAACTGTTTAATGGAATTCACAGTGCTGAGCGTGGATCATGAACTGGGAGGTGCTTCCCACACATAAAGAAGCATCATTGTTGTTCCTTTTCCAATTAGTATCACCATTGTGCTGATCGTGTGTGTCATGGGGGTTGGCAGCACTGGATACTACAAAATAGGGATAGAGGGGCATGTGACTCAGTGGGGCCCCAGCTGTCAGCTTCTCAAGGACTCAGACATTTGCAAGTGGGCAGATAGTTCACCCAGTTCCCTTGAACTTGGTTCCTTCATGAAGAAAGTGAGTGTGACAATGTTAAAGACCTTCTACTTTCACGCACATCTCATTAGTCCTTCAAATAAGCCTACAAGCAGGAGCGTGTCATTCTGATTCACCAGATAAGGTCACAGACCAGCAAGGTGACTTTACCAGGACAAGGCTACAACCAGTGCTACAAACTCAGGCCCTGGGTCCTGGCCCAGTGTTTGTCTCACTGCTCCATCACCCACAGCCAGAGCTGGGCCTTGACCACACACAGTGGCCAGGGTGGGGGTGGGAGAACCCTGGTCCCAGGGGCTCAGCTTGGTTGGGCTCACTGTTCTTTCTGTAGTTCATGAGCATTTGCTTACAGCAGCATATTTTATATGCTCTTTTTTCTCAAGAAGTCCCAGCTGTAAGTGGAAACGGGGTCGTGGCTACAATGCAGGCTGGTCCTAAAGTGCTTCCTGCCCCACCTTTGCACTCAGGCCTGGATCCCTGGCGATGGCCGGAGTTCACATCTTGACGCCAGCAGACCCCTCCTGCTTTCTGTGTGCAGACAAATGGGCCTTCTTTGCAAGACCCTTCACCCTGCATCCCAGCATGGCTGTTGCGGGGAGCCCAAGGTGGATACCACCACCCAGTCTGGGTTCTTCTACCGTGTCAGGGCTGTGGGTTCCAGGCATGGTGGCAAGGAATTTTTACCCAGAACCCCAAAGTGTAAAACAGGCCCCAAGGGAGCTGCACTGTTTGAGACTGGCATGCCCCTATGGCTCTTGCTTGCTGCACAGAACCACGTGGGCTCTGTGGGTCCAGGTGATTATAAGCAATGTGCCTTCCTTGCTGCCTCCAGACCTTTCCCCCACCCAGCCTGCTTGCCCCTAGGAAAGTGATCTTACAAATGCATTGTGCTCATGCAGGCAGGATGCTTATTGCTGTTAGCATGCATTTCAAATTCTTTTTCCTAGCATTCCAGGCTCTTTGAGCAAAACATTCCTGTCTTGCTTCACCATTCACTAGGGCCCAATTCTCTGGCCTCCTCACTACCTTTTGCATCAGCTATATTGGCCTTCTCCTCTCTCCCATCTTCTCTCCTCACAGTGTATCGAACCCTTATCTTCTAACCATGTTTCTCTTGAGGGGCGCTGTTTCCTGGAAGCCCTCACTGCCTGCACTAGCTGTTTGTGGTCTCCCGCTCTGATGCACATTAGCTCTCATAGTGTTCTATAAAGTAGTGCCTGACTCTTAGGTGGTTTTAACCGTTTCGTTGATGTCCCTATGTGTCATGCTGGGAACCCCAGCTGATCCCCATGGTTAGTTCATGAGGGACAGGGGTAGATGCTTCTTTCTTTCATAGCAGGATCTCATTAATATGAATGTGGGTGCATAGCAGGGCTTCTATATATACCTACTGACTTAGCTCTATTAAACCACAGCAGTCTTGATATATTCCTGGGGTTACAGAAGTTCCTCCCTCTTGCTGAAGAAAGTGGAGGTGCCGTTAGGGGCTGACTAACATGAGAGAGAGCCCCTGGACTGAGATGGGTTTCAAGAAACACAAGCTTCTTTCAGGACTTTTTTGCTGGAGATTTCCCTAAGATAGGCACATACCTCCAACTCAGGAAGACTATATTGGGGTGAGTGACGTATTGACATTATGGTCCTGGCCTATCTTGCAGGGATTTGAAACTGGACAACATCCTTCTGGATGCAGAAGGTCACTGCAAGCTGGCTGACTTCGGGATGTGCAAGGAAGGGATTCTGAATGGTGTGACGACCACCACGTTCTGTGGGACTCCTGACTACATAGCTCCTGAGGTAAGACCTGTGTGCAAAGGTTCACCTCCTCCTGGTGCCAGGACCGAGGCAGGGGTCCAAACCCATGCACTGGGGTCATCTAGTGGTGCTGGGGGAAGGCTCTGGAAATCCAGGATGGATTCTAGGAAGGAGGGAGAAAAGGAAAGGAAAAAAGTTTGCTGATTGATGTCTGTCAAGAAGTCCTAGTGTTGGGGAGATGATGAGTGAAATGAGAGTAACAGGCTATTTCCCAAACCCGGGCAAGTTCACACTGAACATCTCTTTCCCATCCTAGTCCAGAACCACCAATAAATCTAGGACCAAGAAAAACGTGTTGACTTTTATTATTGTTTTCATGTCTTTAAAATCAGAACAGGGTGGGCACAGTGACTCACATCTGTAATCCCAGCACTTTGGGAGGCCAAGGCAGGTAGATCGCTTGAGCCCAGGAGTTCAAGACCAGCCGGGGCAACATGGTGAAACCCTGTCTATATAAAAAATACAAAAATTAGCCAGGCATAGTGGTGCAAACCTGTAGTCCCAGCTACTTGGGAGGCTGAGGTGAAAGGATCAATTGAGCCCAGAAGGTTGAGGCTATAGTGAGCCATAATTGCACCATTGCACTCCAGCCTGGGTGACAGAGCAAGACCCTGTCTCAATAAAAAAAAAAGTAAAAAATAAAATCAGAATAAAGGAGCATCATTGATCATGGGAGCACTTCACTTTATCAGCTACAATTTGCTAACAGTAAAACTAGGAACTGTTTGCTATTTCCTGCATAGTGGCAGTTCTATGCTGTGAGTACACAGGATGGAGCAGGAAGAGGAGAGTGACTGTGCCTCATTATATACAGATATCAGAGATGTTCACTGTGAACCACTCCAATAGGTTGCCTTTCCTGAAAGTTGTTTGGGATGTTTTGCTCAGCATGAAGTGTTTGTTTGCCTTATTCCTGCCCAAACTGAGAGATAACTAGTGTGATGTGATTCAGATTTAAGACATGGCCTGTCATAGACAATCAAAATGATCTTCATGGTTCTGAGACATGTAAGATAGGAAAGAAGTACCAATCCCCACTAAACATCGCCCATGGCGGATAGGTATTAGCACATTCAGAGCTCATTTCTTTCAGTGGGCATTGTTTGAGCACGTGCTAGGCACAAAGCAATGTGGAGATAAAGAACTGACTGAGACACTTGTCCCTATTCTAAAGAAGCTTTTGGTCTAAAGGGAGTGATAGATAAGTAAACAACTAATTAAGCAGAATAAATAGGCACATAAAAGAAGATGGTATCCTCAGGGATCAGGAAAGGCTTCTTGGAGCACCTGGTGGATGAATTGAGTTGTAAAGAATGAGGATTTCCTTTGACGGAAGGGGTGGGGAGGGTATTCCTGAAAACAACAGGATTGGAACGGGGGCAGGACAGGAAAGGAGGTTCAGTGTCCCTGGGCCCTGGATCCTTTGAGGGCAGGGTCTGTGTTTCTAATCTGGGTACTGCCAGGATCCGGCACACAAATCAGGATCTTAGAAAGGTTTGTTAAAAAATGACAACTTATGACATTCCAACATGAGCAAAGGCCAAGGGACAAAAACATCTTGGTCTTTTCCAGGACAGTTAAAAAGTGTAGCTAGATCATAGGGTTTCCTGGTGCTCATAGTAATGAATGAGATTGGGATAAAGACCCAGTGAATGTGGCTTTGATCCTGTAGGATCTGTGGACCCACTCAGGGTTTCAGTGGAGGAGAGTCCTAGTCAGATCCATCCCAGGAAGAAGGAAGGCCACAGCTGTGCAGATCAGAAGGCAGGGAGTGAGGGACTGATGGTCAGGAGGCTTCACAGACCACACAAGACAGGGGAGGCCTGAGGAACATCTCGAAGTGAAGGTGATGAGTAATAGGTAGTTTCCCTTTAGAACCTTTATCTTCTAAGAGATCTAAAGAGTAGGGATTTCAGTCTTTCTGCAAATGTATTTCCTTAGCAAGAACACTAGGAATTCAGCCTTCAAGGAGCAACAAATGAAAGCAAGAGCTTTCGACAGGGAACTGCTTTTCTCGTGTTCTTCGTTCATTCTTCATTGTCAGAATACTTAGTTCCAGTTCCTCTCTAAGTTGATGCCATCATTCATTCTTCATTGTCAGAATACTCAGTTCCAGTTCCTCTGTAAGTTGATGCCAGAGCCTAACAGTTGACAGCCCATGTTATAGTTAAGGACCCAACCCAAGACAGAACATTCACTTTATAATGAACAAAATAGCCACTCAGCTTTCATGAAAAGCAGTCCATTGGTGAGACTCACAATGAACAACTCTGATCTCTGTTCACAATGAAGCACAGACACTCTTCCTTCCTGCTCTGGCCTTCGTGCCCACCGTGCAGAAACATCTCTGCACTGGCAATGACAATCCCTGGTCTTGCTGTAGGCAAATTACAGCTGATAAAGGTATTGCTGCCTTCATCGAGGGCTACTGGGAAGATTAAATGAGATTATGCCTCTAAAGCATTAGCCCAGTGCCCAGCCCACAGGGAGTGCTGGCTAAATGGTGGCTTCATGGTTATCATCATTGTTGGGTTGTGTGATGGGATAGGAAACGCAATCCTGAGAATTGAGTCTTGAGTCCAGATTTGACCACAAATGTACACATGAGCATTTGATGACTTGATGAAGTCACAAAATGTTTTTGAGTCTCAGGTTTCTCATCTTTCACATGGGAGCCATAACTCCTTCCCTACCTACCTCATCAAGCTGCTTTGAGAATCTAATGAGATTAGAGCATGGAAATGCTTGAGAAAGCAGAAGCCTCCATTCAAATGGGAGAGGTGGTAAGGTGCTGAGCTAACCTCAAAACCAGAGACAGCTTTGGAGGCATGAGGTCTGCCCCAAGGCTTATCTTCCTGCCACATGATATGCCCCATGGCACCCCCTCTGCTTTCCCACTCCCAGCCCCTGCTTCCCAGGAAGTGGCCACCAGCCTTTGGTAATAGCATCATCAGGGCCAATGCCTTCTCCCTTCTCCCTTCTCCCGAGCTCTGACGCACTTGAGGGGTTGGCTCCAGGTGACTTCCCGTGACATGGAAGCCTTGCCCTTCTGCCCAGATCCACTGCCGACAGTTAATTAGGAAGCAGATAATTAGAGCCAAGCCTAAAAGGAATCTTACAAAAGATGCCACCCAAAATGAGAAGGCTGTGGAAGGGGCCTGGAGTGGGGTGGCAGGGCGGCTCTGTGGTTTCCACAGCACCATCCAGTCTCAGCACACACAAGCCACCTTCTCCCCACCCCCTGAAGGCACAGAACCCAGCTGCCTCCTTCCGAGAAGCTGGAGGGCAGCCACTGTAGCACCCAGTGTGCCCTGAGGCTAGAAGAGAAGGGAGCATGCCCAGTAGATACACACAGTGGCCATGCATGCTAGCCAGTCACAAGATGTTGACTGTCTCCTGGATGATAGAACAGGCTGGCCACAGCACTGGGCTCAGTAGCATGTTACAGCTCCTACCCTCTGGTACCTTATAGTTGCACTGGGGAGACCGCTGGCCATGAAAAAATAACTAACGACGTAGTGGTATGTGGAAAGTGAGAAAGTGCCTGCAACTCGTAGGAACAGGCAGGGGTCTTAAGTTGGGCGCTGTGTCTTTTGAGGTTGAGGGAGGAGTTGGCATTGGCTTTGGAGCATAGCAGAATCACTGGCTCCTCAGGACAGTGGAGCCCATAGCTTTGACCTTACAGCTCAAGGAACACTAACCACTGGGCTTAGACCAAAGGTATTAGCTAAACAGATTACCAGCCCCAAGTAATGTAGAGTTGGCTGCATTTTCTCAAATTCCTTTTCATTCCAAATTCAGAAGATTCTAAACTGTGAGTGTTTTAACTGTTTCTAAATGCTTCTTCTATCCAAATCTTTCTAGTTCATCCTAAGCAATTTGTAACCTCTAGAAGGGTATTTTGAGCAGACCACAGAAAGTCCAGATACTTGAATTCAGCCTCCTCTTCCCTGGCCACCATGAAATCTGAGAACTAAATTGGAGCCTTGTCCCCAGCCTGAGATATTATCTGCCCAAGGTGTCCCATGGGCTGGAATGACTAGGCATGAACTTTGCCTTTTTTTTTCAGGGTCCTCAAAGTGTTCCCCCTTGCAGGATATGCACTCCAACCTTGTTTCTCCTTCCCTTTTTAAAATTCTTTATAGAATTATGGACCTGGATAGGTCATCTCATCCACCCTCCTGTTTCTGGGCAGAGCCATGCCTAATCCCACTCTAATAAGAAGAGAAAATAATTGTGGAATGGGAATGTCACCTCATGATCTCTTCCTTGTAGAGTGGACAGCTCAGCATTTATTTTTCCTCTGAGCCAAACACATCATTGATCTGCTACATATTTATTTTATTTATATATGTTATATTTTAAAGGCATACTGTAAAATACAAAGCTCTATACAGCTGAAAGGTGATATTAAATTCTAGTCTTTTCTATTGGATGTCATCTCCATATATATATATATGTATTTTTATATATATGTATTTATATATATGTATTTATATATATATGTCATTGACATGCTACATATTTATATGTGCGTGTGTGTGTATCATGTATTTATGACATATGTGTATGGAGAGCAGATCAAATAGAATAGCCAATCAGAAAAGATCCTTTTTTTTTTTTTTGAGATAGGGTCTCACTCTGTTACCCAGGTTGAAGTGCAGTCGCATGATTATGACTCACTACAGCCTCAAACTCCCGGGCTCAAGTGATTTTTCCACCTCAGCCTTCTGAGAAGGTGAGACTACAGACACGTACCACCATGCCCAGCTAATTTTTTTTAAGAGACAGGGTCTTACCATGTTGCCCAGGCTGGTCTCGAAGTCCTGGACTCAAGTGATCCTCCCACCTCAGCCTCCCAAAGTGCTAGGATTACAGGTGTGAGCCATTGCGCCCAGCCAGAAAAGATGTCTTGTATTCAGTAGCATCATGTCATACATGCATTTAATCTAAGTGAATTTGACTCTACATATTTGGCTAGAGGAAAAAGAGAGACAGCATAGATAAGACAAGTGACCATTGTCAAAGACAAAATGCACCAGACAATCAAGGAGATGGTTCGATTCTGGCTATTGCAATAGGGGGTTCATTAGTGAAGGTGGCCCCAAAGGAAGGGGGCCTACGGTTTTGTAGAGGCAGGCAAAGTGGGGGATTCTTCAGTGGATCTTATGGGAATCATGATGAACAATAGAGATGGGTTTTTTCTTAGAATATGCAAGAGTATAGTGGTCCTTTATAGGGAGACCATTACAGGGTGGGGGAGACTTATTCATTGCAGTTTCCTCTCCAGGAGCACAGGGCTCAGGTAAATTGAGTGTTGCACCATTTAAAGAAGACCTCTGCTCACCTTTCCACTCAGGCAGTGAGCTGTGCCCTGGACTGTGTGAGATGGGAGACCTGACCTCGCTGCACTCTGAGTCACTTACAGCTTGTTCTCTCAGTATGCATCGTGCTCCCCTGACCCTGATTTTAGTGTCAAAATATGCAGTTTTTTAAAATGTGGCCCTCATGCCAGTCAGGAACTTTATCTGGTGCTCAAAGAAATAGGAATTTGTTCCCACTGGAAGACAGACTGTCGATGTTGACTTTGGAAAGATGATAGCTGGCCCCCAGCATAGTGCCTCCAAACTCAACTGTCACTGAATTTGCTGATTTAGAACTTCTAGGACTAGGACTCAACTGTAGGGAGGAGCAAGTTGGAATTGAAGTCCTTCCCATGGGCGTTCGTAGCACGGGTGTCACTGGGGTGGGAGCCTTTGATGGTGCCTGACATTGCTGGTTTCCTGAACAGATCCTGCAGGAGTTGGAGTATGGCCCCTCCGTGGACTGGTGGGCCCTGGGGGTGCTGATGTACGAGATGATGGCTGGACAGCCTCCCTTTGAGGCCGACAATGAGGACGACCTATTTGAGTCCATCCTCCATGACGACGTGCTGTACCCAGTCTGGCTCAGCAAGGAGGCTGTCAGCATCTTGAAAGCTGTGAGTCACTGCCCCTCACCCATGGCTGTGCTCTCCTGGGCTCCTCCCCCTACACACACACACACACACACACACACACACACACACACACACACTCCCTTCTCCCTTTCTCTGTCCAGCTTTCTCCCTCCCACCTCTGCTCATCACCACGGAATGGGAAGGATTAAGGGCAGTTGCCACTGGGAGTTCAGGCACAGTGCAGAGGACTGCTGCCAAGAGAATGGGGCCTGAGATGACTTGCTCTTCTGGTGGGAAGAGGAGCGCATGTCTGTGCTTCCTGAGATGAGGCACTGTGTACATCTGTGTCCTCCAGCATTTCAGAGGGAACAGAAGCAACTCAACTGTGCTGACATCACCTCTGCCACTTCCATACCTTCCTTACCTGTGGCCTGTCTTCATCAGGGACCTGTGATGGAGAACAGAGAGGAGGGGAGGGAGGGTGGGCACCGCCCACCTGTGTCCACGACAGCATCACTGTGGCTCAAGAGCCAATCAGAAAAGATCTGGTACACTGGAAATTCATGCAGTCCTGCTGGATTTAGATACATAATACAGAGACTGACCCTGCCCTAGGAATCATCCCTCACATGGGAAAACCCCTTATGCTTTCTCAGCACAGCCATCTCTACGATGTAACAATGCTTGTACTGTGTCAAGCAAGTGATGTTACCTGTCCCCTTTTGAAATCCGTGAAAGCTGAGGTACAGGGAAGTTAAGCAAGCAGTCTGCCCAGGGTCACCCCTCTGAGCTAAGATAGGATGAGGGTGACAACCCAGGGACCATGACTTCTAGACTTGGCTTCTTCCACTCATCTGAATGCCCCAAAATTCAATCATTTGCACATTATAGTCACAAAATTTGCCATCTTCAAGTGTCTTCTGCACTATTACTAGCTTTTCTTGTTCTTTTAATCAACTTCCAATATTTACCTGATTATATGTATTTTACAAAGAAATTTTTTTTTTTTTTTTAGACAGAGTCTCACTGCAATGGCCAGGCTGGAGTGCAATGGTGCTATCTTGGCTCACTGCAATCTCCTCCTCCCAGGTTCAAGTGATTCTCCTGCCTCAGCCTCCTGAGTAGCTGGGATTACAGGCACCCGCCATCATGCCTGGCTAATTTTTGTATTTTTAGTAGTGACAAGATTTCACCATGTTGGCCAGGCTGGCCTTGAACTCTTGACCTCAGGTGATCCGCCCACCTCAGCCTCCCAAAGTGCTGGGATTACAGACATGAGCCACTGCGCCCAGCCTGTATTTTACAAAGAAATTTTATACCATTATCGTAGGTAGAAAATCAGTATCACTTGCCATAATGAATTAATGTAATTTTTTTTCAAGATGGAGTGTTGCTTTGTTACCCAGGCTGGAGTGCAGTGGCGTGATCTCGGCTCACTGCAACCTCTGCCTCTCGGGTTCAAGAGATTCTCCTGCCTCAGCCTCCCGAGTAGCTAGGATTACAGGCGCCCACCACCATGCTCAGCTAATTTTTGTATTTTTAGTAGAGATGGGGTTTCGCCATGTTGGCCAGGCTGGTTCCGAACTCCTGACCTCATGATCCACCCACCTCGGCTTCCCAAAGTGCTGGGATTACAGGTGTGAGCCACTACACCCTACCTAATGTAAATTATTGTATAAAAATTTTTGAAAGATCTAAAACCATTTTGTAGGTATCTGAGGGTGCATGTACCATGTTTTAGAAAACTCCACATCAGAACATGTTACCCTTTTCTGTAGTTTTTTTTTCCTCCTTCCTTTCCTCTTTCCCTCACCTCATTCCTTCTCTCCCCTCTGCCCTTACTCTCCTCCCTCTCTCTTTCATTCATTCATTCAATGAACTACTATCTATTGAGCACTTCCAACATGCTAGGCATGGTGCTAGATGCTGAATAAGTATTGGTGAGACCTGGTCTCTGCCTTGTGAAGTTTCCAATCCTGTGGAATTATTTATTATTTTTAATAAATTAAAAATATATCAATAGGTAGCCACAATTGGGATAAGAGAAGTGAAGGAGGCAAATAGAGTATGTTCATTCATGCATTCATTTATTAAACAAATATTTATTGAGCATCTAGTAAAGACTATTTATTCATTTATTCTATAAATATTTATTGGCAGGCACTATGCCAGGCGCTGGTGATACAAACAACACAGTCCCTGCTTACAGACTAGTGAATAAATGAACAGACAAATGACTGTATATTGTACTAAATGGTAACAAGTGCAAAAAGACACATGCAGAGGCTCAGGAAATGAGGAGCAACAGGCTGCATGGGGTGCTCTTGAGTCTGGAAATGCCTGTCCCATGAGGGGACACTAAGGCGAGGTTTCAGTCAGGTGGCTACTGGGGGAAAGGGCGTCTGTTCAGAAGGAAGAGCAAGTGCACAGGCCTTGGACTAGAAAACATCTGCCAGGGTGGACAACCCAAAAGGAGCTCAGGGAGAGTGGGCACGAGGAGGGTGACGGGATGGCGGTGTCTGAGTATGCAGGGCTGCTTCTTCTTCTTCGTCCTCCTCTTCCTCTTCTTCCTCCTCTTCCTCTTCTTCTTCTTCTTTTTTTTTTTTTTTTTTTTTTTGAGACCAAGTCTCGCTCTGTCACCCAGGCTGGAGTGCAGCGGCACGATCTCTGCTCACTGCAACTTCCGCCTCCCGGGTTCAAGAGATTCTCCTGCCTCAGCCTCCCGAGTAGCTGGGATTACAGGCGCCCACCACCATGCCTGGCTAATTTTTGTATTTTTAGTAGAGGCAGGGTTTCACCGTGTTAGCCAGGATGGTCTCCATCTCCTGACCTCGTGATCCGCCCGCCTCAGCCTCACAAAGTGCTGGGATTACAGGCGTGAGCCTCCACGCCCGGCCTGGGTATGCAGGGCTTCTTATGCCACGAGAGCTTCCATTCGATTCCCAGTGCAGGGCTAACCCTCGGAGGACCAGACAGGGGAGGGACCTGGCTGGTACACCTAGAAGGTAGCTCTGGCTGCTGGGGAGAGCGTGGTCTGGAGGGTGCCTCTCCTGCCAGCCTCCAAAAGTCCTCCACCCTTGCCCCAAGCCAGTGAGGAGGCCTCGGGGGTACTAGTCTTATTTAGGGATACTAGTTTATCCAACTTTCCAAATTCAATGTGTGTTCTGGGCTGGGCCTCTCACTCCGAGAATGGTTCTTGCTACTCGTGGAAATTACTTCTGTTGCACTTCTCTGCCTTGATGTCCTCACGGCCCTCCCCACCCCGCCCCACCCCCCCCAACCCCCCCGCCCGCCGCCGCATTTCTCCTCGGCCCCCTGTGGCTCTTTGAAGCTTTCAG
Source organism: Homo sapiens (assembly GCF_000001405.40). Lineage (NCBI taxonomy): Eukaryota > Metazoa > Chordata > Mammalia > Primates > Hominidae > Homo > Homo sapiens. The sequence continues at coordinate 46,154,526 of NC_000002.12, forward strand.
GACCCCTGCCTTGGAGCCTCCCAGCCACATTCACTGGCTCAGCCAAGCCCCTCCGTGTTAAAGTCCTCCTTGTCCTCGCCCTCTGGGACTGGGTCTCCTCTGGCATTGGGCGGCTGCTTCTCCATCTCCTTTGCTACCCCTTTCTCCTGCTGCCCTCTTAGTGCCAACATTTTCATAGGTTGACTCAGTAGCATTTTCTCAGTGAGGCTTTTTTTTTTTTTTTTACAAAAAACTAAACCTTGTCCCCTTCCCTATCCACCTTTATCCTGCTCAGTTGATACCTGATAGCAGTTTCCACTTTCTAACCCACTATATATATTATGTATTATGTTTATTGTCTATTTCCTTCCACAAGACTGAGCTTCGTGAGGGCAGGAACGTTTTCCAGCTTATTTCTCAGACGCGTCCCAAGGGCTGAGAACAGTGCCAAGCACATTGTAGGAGCTATGTAACTGTTTGATAAAAAACAGAAACAGCTCTTAGCTCTCTGTTCTTTCCATTTTATCACATATTTCAAAGTTAAATGCCTGCAAGAGCCCAGCAGGAGCTGTGGAAGGTGAACAGGACTGGGTGGGGCAGGGTAAACGGAGACCCCTCATGATCCCCCAGCAGCAACGAGGACTTCACCTCACCAGATCTGGCTTTCCAAGAGAAGCACGAAATCCAGATTTTTATGTAAAAATCTCGAAACATTAAATGATTATAACTAGTTCAATTAAATGATTACAACTAGTTCAACTGAGAGCCAAGGAAAACTTTGACCTGGGTGCCTCTTGGGTGAATCTTTGATGGACCCCTTCAAGGAGCTCTTCTCAGCTCCTTGCTGGTGTCACTCGCGGGCCCCTGTTCGGCTCCTTCATGAATGGATTCTGGTCACCGCCTCTCTTGTTCCTCAGGCCTGGGCCCCGGGTCCTCTGGGTACCCTGTGCTCTCCCCTGCACAGCACTCTCCCACTTCCCACCCTGCACTCAGGGAGGGGTATCCCCAGCCAGACCCATCTTCCAGCCTCCAGGCCTGTGTTTCCAGTTCCCTACTCACTTTCTCCCTTCAGCTGGCCAGGGGTCCCTCACATTCAGTATACTCCCAAACAGCTCTGGATGGTCCCCCTCAAATCTGCTCACTCTCAAATTCCTTGGTTCAGTAAATGGCACCCTGTCTTCCTTTCTAAACAGACCAGAAATGGGGTGCAATCCCTCTCTCCCCATCACAGCTAGTCATCAAGTCCGTTCCCCCTGCTAACCTTTTCCATTTGAGTTACCTTTCTCCATCCTTCTCCCCACTATCCCCATTGGAGCCACCACCGCCTCTCCCTTGGTGAACTGCAGGACCTCCTAACGGGCAGCCCTTCTTGTGTCCTTCTCATCTCTGTACGTCTATCAGAGTGATCTCTTAGTGGGTGCAGCGCACCAGCATGGCACATGTATACATATGTAACTAACCTGCACAATGTGCACATGTACCCTAAAACTTAAAGTATATAAAAAAAAAAAAAACTTCATGTACAAAAAAAAATAATAAAATGTTTGTTACGTGGAAAAAAAAAAAAAAAGAATGCAAATCTAGCCATTTCGCGCCTCATCCCCTACTTAAAACTCATCACATTGTGATTAGATAAAGACCTTCTCTTCCACATAGCCTCCAGGGTTCTGCATCAGGCCCCGCCTCCCCCTCAGCCCTTCCCCGTCATCTGCTGGGCTCTGGCCATATTGGACCACTCTCCCCTGTGCCCTTTTTGCCTAGGTACATTCCTCCTTCAGGTCTCAGCCTAGGTGTTGCCTCTCAGGGAATGCTTTGCCAAGTTCCTTGCCCATCACACTGTCAGAGCCTGCTGTGCTTCTCTCAGGGAGTTCATCACAGTCTCAGCTAATTGATTCTCTGGCAGTTACGTGTTTCTTCTCAGCCTCCTTTACTCTTCTACATGCCCCGTGAGGGCAGGGACCGTGTCTCATCACTCACCACAGCACTTGGTACAGAATGGAGACTCATGTGTGTGCAAAGGAAGGAGAGAAGGGATTTTCACCGATGAGTACAGGGCACCTGCTAGGCAAGGCATTCAGCGAGACTGTCTGCATCCAAAAATGGCTCCCAGCCTCTTCCATCCTGACCTTCCTACAGGAAAGCACTTTAGGAAGGGCACGTCACCCAGTGGGAAGGAGCCTTGCTTAGGGGGACTCTGTTGTCCAACTTTTCAAATTCTGTTTTGTTCAGTTTATATATTTAGGCCTTAAATATTTCATTATTTGCTTGCTGGTTTGATCACATGCTATTTTTTTAAAAAACACAAAGCATAAAATCAGATACAGTGAAAGGTCTCTGTCTCATCCTTGCTTCCATCTGCCCACCTCCCACACACTCTCTACTTATGTTTTGAGGCTTTTATATATCCTTCTGGAATTTCTTTAGGTATATACAAGCAATACAAATATAACTTCTTATTTCTTTTTCTGTGTTATACAATGGTAGGAATGCTGTACACGTATCTCATTTTCCTGTCGATGGTGTATCTTGCTTTTTCTACTCAGTGAGATCTTGCAACAGGCATATCTTCATTGGTTCTGCCTCTACTTACACTTTGGAGCTGCAACTCTGAATCACTGCAGAGGACTCTCTTGGGTAATTAACTTGGGGTGGACATGGGAGCTTTTGTCTCCTGATTCCCGGAGCCCCATCTCTTCCCAAGTCAGATGAGTAACTAAAGGAAAACCTCAGCCGCACCCGAGTCCACCAGAACACCATGCCCAGCAGAGCTGGCCACCATCCCAGGCCCCAACACCAGCCCATCACACCTCCCTGTGAGTCCCCTGCCAGCATACCAGCTGAGCCCTTTTATTTTGGAGGCCTTAGAGCAGTGGCCTTTAACTAGGGGCAATTTTGTCCTGTTCCCTTAGACATTCAGTAATGTCTGGAGATATTTTTGGTGCTGCTGGCATGTAGCAGGTAGAGGCCATGGAGGCTGCTAAACTGCCTGCAATGCACAGGACAGCTCCCCCCACCCACCCTGCAAAGAAGTATCCAGTCAAAAATGTTAATAGCATGAAGGCTGAGAAACCTTAACCTACAGAGATCCAGAAGTTAGAAGTCGTGCCTAACCGGTTAACCAGTTCGTGAGGGTGAGACGTTCATGAGAAGAGCATCTTCCAACTGAGAAGAGCCTCTGGCTCAGGGGCAGCTTCTTAAGATGCCCAAACCTCTATGTGTATCCCTGACCCTGATACTTCCCCTCCCAGAAAAGGGAGGACGGGAGGAGCTGAGGAAGTGAGGAATCTACTACACCCTTGGCCTCAAAACACTTCATTTCCTCACACTGTCACTTGACTGCAGGGCCAGGCCAGGATTTCCATGACTCTAGCCACTGAGCTGTGTCTCCGAGGGCTACTGCCTATGTGAAGGTGATGCAGAACTTTAGAGAAGGCCATTTGTATCATAGAAGTATGCAGTGCACAACCTGTGCAACAATAAGCGGCTGTGCCACAGTCTCCCTCCCTCAGTGCTATGCCCTGAGGCCCAGCCTTTAGCCCCTCACTCCATCATCACAATTTGCTGAGTGTACAGTGGGAACCAGGCACTGAGCCAGGTTTGGGGCAGATAAGACAGATTCCTAAATCATAGAGCTCACCAAGGGGAAGAGATGTTTAGACAAATCATAATTTAAATAAACCAGAAGCCTGGGGTCTAAGATATCAACAGAGGAGGGAATGTGGGGAGGCTTCACAGAGGAGGTAGCATTTTGACTAGTTCCTAGAGGAGGCCTAGGGACTGGAGAGGGACATTCAACCAGAGGGAAGAAAGAATGCAAAAGGACAGCAAGGTAGACAGGGTTCAGGCTGAGGAGCTCCTGTGTGCCAAACTAAGGAGTATGGACTTCATGGTGGGGGCCATCCAAGGTGTTAAAGTGGGGGTCACCTTGCTGACTTGTAGATGAGAAAGATGAGGTGCACTGGTACCATTCCTGACTCACACCTACTCTCCACCCCTTTCACTCTTTATCTGGGGCTGCCCCCTCCAATCGCATTGAACTCGAGGCCAGGTGCTTTGGTTCCAAGGGCATCAGGCAAGAAATAGTTAGAGGCTCTCTCCCTTGCTGATGAAGCCTGAAATTCTACCAAAGATGTATTCCTTTGGATTACAGTTTATTCTCTCAAGTTCCTCTGTTTAGATAGATATTCAGCCTTCACACTATGAAATGTGACATTTTGTCTCTAACACTCATGCACATACAATACATACATGCCATTATTTCGGGTAGCTATCAGAAATATTTCCACCTACTGGCACTTTTTTTCCCCAAGGTTTTATTGGTATACGTATGCTCAATTAAATTAACGTTTACCCTCAGGACTGACTCATTTAATAGGAATAACAAGTTCACCTGGGTGTGTAGGGATCGCCAGACACCACCCAGAAAATATAAAACACATCAATGTGATTTTCACCTACAAGCATTGAAAAGGAATAAGCCTTTCTTTTTCTTGTTTTTTATCTTTTGACCTTCATGGGCATTTTGTGTCAAGATTGCAAATTCAAACATAAAAACAGTGGAGAGGGGCTGGGTCCAGGAACAGGAAAGGAGCTGGAGGAGGCATTAGTACATTTGATCATTTACCTGGTCCTTATTCCTTATCTCAAAAAGGACCGTTGACCCCTCCATGTAAATGAGTTTATCAGACCTCAGTCTCCCTGATGAGAAGACCTGAGAATCTGAGGGGGATCACAGAGTCAGTAAGAGCCAGAGTGCATAATCCCAGCTTGGTCCCTTACTAGCTGGGTGACTTTGGCCAAATTAGCTGACCTCTGTGTGCTTCTAGTGCCTCGTTTATAATATAGAGACAATGATAGTACCTCGTAGGGCATTAGGATGAAATGAGTTGATACATGTACCATGTCTAGAATGGTGTCTGGGACATAGTCAATTCTATGTAAGAGTTAAAGAAAACCCAACAGATGTGGCCCTTGAAAGTGCAAAGAACAGACTTGGGAGGCGATGCTGAAGATGCTGCTTTGGCTGACCTCCATCTGTCCCTTATAGCCTGTGCTGGCCAGGCCTTTGTCACTAATTCCGACTCTGTCCTCATCCCTGCAGTTCATGACGAAGAATCCCCACAAGCGCCTGGGCTGTGTGGCATCGCAGAATGGCGAGGACGCCATCAAGCAGCACCCATTCTTCAAAGAGATTGACTGGGTGCTCCTGGAGCAGAAGAAGATCAAGCCACCCTTCAAACCACGCATTGTAAGTTGGTCCCCGTGCACGTTCAGCACCATGGGTCGGGCCCAGGTACTTGCAGGACAGGCTGCGTGCACCCAGGAAGAGTTGGTCAGGGGATGCGTATTACAGTAAAAATGACAAAGACCAGAGGTGGCTGAGGCTCTCCCTAAGACAATGTCTTTAGGCCCCAAGTGTTTACTATTGAAAACATGTAACCTACTACAGCAGCACCCAAGATGATGATTTACGTGGGCCACAGAACACCTTTTGTCTTTACAGAGATTCAATTTATTTATTTTGATTGAAAATGACAAATGATACTAGTTTTCCATGTATGGTAGAGACATAAGGTTTCTTTATGAAGAACTGGGTTTGTTTTCTAAATGGGTCAGTTTAAAGGAAAATATTAACTAAATAATAGCCGTGGTCATTCCGTGGAACTAGCACAGAGCATGAAGCTGGGATTCACTGACTGGCAGCAGGAAGGATGGTGCTGGGGGGAGCTTCTGGGAGGCCCACTGCGTAAAAGTGCATTTCTGTGAGATACCCTCTCCCTTCTCTGCCGCACTCTCCCTTCTGCCTTCCAGATTCTCAGGCCTGCTGTGATGCCAGTTGGAGGGGGCATGTAACACAGGGCAGTTGAAGCTCAGAGCTTTCAGTCTGGGCTCGACTCACAAAATAAAGACCACGTCCTGGCAGTGGCCTTCTGCTGGAATGGGGCGAGGGTCATGTTGCAGTCCTTAAAGTTACAGCGTGTGTTATCTTAATTCTGTTGTGTTGTAGCCCGTTGAAGCAATCAATCATTCAGACTGAAAATTGAGGTAGCCGGCTGGCAGGCTTGCTGGGAGGTGAAGGGGGGTGTGCAATGTAAGAGTTTATTAGGCAGGAGCCCCAGTGCTGTGGGGCTGTGGAACTGGGGTCCCAGGCAGGGAGGATTTGCCATCAGGCAGTCAGCCCTCAGTCACCCAGCATACTGTCAGATGAGCTCCTGCTCCCCTTCTCCAAGTGCAGAAAAGACCTTCCTGTGCCTTGTGAACCATCAGAGAGGAATTCCGTTCTATTCAAGGAGATTTTCTGGGGAGCCGTTATTGACAATGTTGTGATTCTCAGAAATCTTCCACGGTGGGAGTGGGAGTGGGGGTGGGGGATAGTGTCAGTGGACGGGTGTGGTCCAGGCCTCAACCAGACTCGAGCACGTGGGGTTGAACATCCCCGGATGCTTGGTCCCGTTACCACTCCTCATTCGCTTCCTCCTTTGGTTTTCATGTTTTCACTGGATAGCACAAGCTTGGGACAGCCCAGATTTAGGTTCACCTTCTTTCTTTGTAAATATCACTTCCTCTTCAGCCCATCTCCACCACAGCTCCAGGCCCACCATTCCAAGCCAGGAGGGCGTAGACTCTAAGCTCCCTGGGTTAACTGTCCCCTGCTGCCACAGGGCTCCCTGCACATGCCAGCCTGCCCCATTGCTGGGGGCTGAGGGCCTCTGCCAGTCACCTTTAAGGAAAGGATTAACTGTGCCCCTGGTAAAATAGGGGAAGTAGGACCCCAGAGGCCTAAAAAAGGAGGAGGAGAAACTAAAGGCTCAGATGGTAGGGTGAATTTTAACTTCTATTTAATCTAAGTTAATCAACCCAAAGAAAAATTAGAAGTAGTGCTAAGTGAAGAATCGAGGCCCAACTAACAGAAACACAGGATGAGACTGAAGCTGAGGGGATTATCAGTGCAGGGCTACAAGATGACTTAAACTCGAGTCTCCAGGTCTCAGCAAAACCACATTAAACCAGGCTTATGGAGCACCAGGCCCCAGCTGTACTGGCAGAGGCGGAGGAGCAGCCCCTTCCTGCTTGGGGAAGAGTGGGGAGGACAAGTGAAGCCCAGGGGGAACCATCAGCAAGGGGTGTGAGGAGAGAGAGGGTCTGGGGTGTGGCAGAGGAAGCCAGGGGGTTTTTATTGAGAGGCCACGAGGTGGGAAGGAAGTAGGGAAGAACCTTAATCATAAAAGGCACAGAGGAGGTTTTAGAGTGTGGATTCATGAAGAATCGTCTCTCCCTGAGGTATAGCAGATTCCAGAACACTGCCAAAGCCCTTCCCTTCACAGGAATCCCTCACTGGGACTCCCAACTTTTAGTTTGAGACTTTGAGCCAATGAAAGTGCAGGCCTTCTGAGAGGCATCCCTCTTTGAGCAGCACATGGCAGGAAGGGTATGAAGAACAGGGGTGAGGTGAACAGGTGTGGGTCTGAGGGATGGGGAAAAACCTAGACAGAAAGGAAGAGAGGGAAGGACAAACCGGGAGGGAGGCAGGCACGTGACTTACTCCACTAACACGCAGGCATTGCCTTGCCTCAGACAGGCAGGGAGCCCCTTAAAGCTCTCCCTGGCCAGAAGTGAAGGTGTTCCTGTGGGCAGGGGTATGAGGGGGTCTGGGAGCCAGCAGGAGGAAATATATCCCTGGGTCAGGGGTCAGGCAGGAGTCCACCTCTGCCTGGATGTCTAGAGCAAAAGGGACCTGTGCTTTCTGTCCTTGGGCCTCTTGGGAGCTCCCCCTTGGGACTAAAGAGCCAGAAAGACCCTGTTTGCTTTCTTTTGCCTGGAGGGTCAAGGAAGCTTTCAGGGTCCTTATCACCCCCTGAGAGGATGGCAAAGAGAAAGGATGGGGCTGTCCAGGAGCTCCCACCGATTTCAAAACTGCCTCAGTCAGACTTCTTAAAGACTGACTTCATCGTTGCCTTGAAGTGATCTCCTGTGCATGTTCCCACTCTCCCTGCCTCCCCAGACCTTCAGAGTTAACCTCAATGCTCAGTGCTGTGGAGGGGGGCGGGGTCAGGGGAGAGGGTATTGATTAGGTAGGTTTGAATTCAGTTGGGAGGAGAGAATTAGAACATCTGGAAAAAGGAAGGCTAAAACGGAAAGCTGACGTTGTGTAAGAGGTGTTTCTGGCCACACTTTGAGCTGAGTAATGTTGATCCTTAGAGAGTTCTCAGCTGCAGGTCTTTCAAGACTTCTTCAAGTTATTTAAATGTCTGACATTTACAACCTTGGCACTAGAGATTTCTCTCAGGAGAAATACCAAAATTGGGGAAAAAAAATAAACGAGAGTGGTCCACATCTAGTTAGCAGGTTGGAAAAGTGACCCAAATCTGTCCCTAAATCAAAAGCTCTTTTCTGAAAAATGTCAATGGCACCAGCCCGAGTCATCCGTGGGCTTGTGTAGAAAAAGCAGAAATAAATAAAGCCCAAGGATTAAAGCCCATGGCAGTGATGCACATACTGCATTTCTCATCTCAGAAAGCCTCAAAAGACTAGTGGGAAAACTCACTTGAGGTTTTCATACGCCATCGCGCCCCTGTAACCAACTCAGGGTTGACCCCGGGGATGTGGGTGCCTGCCTAGCTCAGGTACCAGCAGTGAGGACAACTCTGTGCTGCATAAGCAGAGTCAGCCTTACCACAGGCAAAACAGATGGCCACCCACAGAGGCCACTGGAGAGCCATGGGGAAGTGGAGGGGCACCCCACAGAGGGCACTGAGAGACACAGGGAAGCTGAGGTGCATCCCCATAGAGGCCACTGAGAGCCATGGGGAAGCTGAGGTGCACCCCACAGAGGCCACTGAGAGCCACGGGGAAGTTGAGCTTCATCCCCACAGAGGCCACTGAGAGACACGGGGAAGCTGAGGCACTCCCCACAGAGGCCACTAAGAGACACAGGGAAGCTGAGGCACACCCCACAGAGGCCACTGAGAGACACGGGGAAGCTGAGCTTCATCCCCACAGAGGCCACTGAGAGACACGGGGAAGCTGAGGCACTCCCCACAGAGGCCACTAAGAGACACAGGGAAGCTGAGGCACACCCCACAGAGGCCACTGAGAGACACGGGGAAGCTGAGCTTCATCCCCACAGAGGCCACTGAGAGACACAGGGAAGCTGAGGCACACCCCACAGAGGCCACTGAGAGACACGGGGAAGCTGAGGCACACCCCAAAGAGGCCACTGAGAGACATGGGGAAGCTGAGGCGTACCCCACAGAGGCCACGGGAAAGGTGAGGTGCACACCACAGAGGCCACTGAGAGACATGGGGAAGCTGAGGCACACCCCACGGAGGCCACTGAGAGACACAGGGAAGCTGAGGTGCACCCCACAGAGGCCACGGGAAAGGTGAGGTGCACCCCACAGAGGCCACTGAGAGACACAGGGAAGCTGAGGCGCACCCCACAGAGGCCACTGAGAGACACGGGGAAGCTGAGGTGCACCCCACAGAGGTTGTGGTGAGGTGGCTTCTATTCAGGGGGCAGATTGCCATCACAAGACAGGATTTCCTTGGGCTTAAGGTATCAAATAACTTGAGGACATGTGAGATGCCTTCCTAGCAGAGCTGGGAAAGAAAGGGCTTTGACAGAGGGAAGAGGGAAAACTGGTTTAGATCCCGACATTGGGAAAAAACCTCCAAGTTACTGGATCACAAGCAGCCAGGGACAATGTGCAGTTGTTGGTCCTGGGTCTTTGACAGACTCCAGGTCAAAGGCAAGACACCGTGAGAAGGGAAAGGATCAAGTCTGTGAGCAAACACCATCAGCCTTGCAATTTGATGGTGGCCTCAAGGAGACATTGGGCGTGTGTTTAAACAAGCAAGGAAGGCAGCTGTACAAGTGCCCTAATCTGGTAAAACTGAATACCTCCAAGGTGACTCAGTCAAGTGCCTGAAGCCCCTGAGGGAGCTCCAGGTTTCCTCTGTCGTGTGTTACCTCCACTTGCTTCCAAGCCATGCCCTTTTGGCATCATACTAGAATGACACCAGTCTCCAGAAACCTGAATTACCCCACTCCTCAGCTGGCCATACTGAATCTGGGTGACCCGGGGCGGGGGGTGCCCTGCCTGTCTGATACAAGGAGGACCTGGTTTTGTCAGGTGGTTGGTGCTGGAGGTGAGGCTGGGAGAGGTCATGTCACTTACAAGAGCCAGGATGCAGTGGCATATTTTTGCAGAGCTCCTGACCCTCTCCACTCTCACTACAAGGACAGAGCCCCTTCGTGGAAGAACCTGCCAGGCACAACAAGGCTGTACTCTGCCCAGGCTGGCTCGCTAGAGGCTGGGGACCCCTGGGTCACCACCACAGAGGCCGAGGATGCAACAGCACAACAGCTTTCAGGCCTGACTTCCATTCCTGCACAGGAAGCCTCGCCCCTCTGAAGCTATCACCAAGGAGATTGTCCAGATTCATAGCTGGAATTTGGCCTCTGGTCAGGTTCCATCACATACCTCAGTTGGCTTCTATTCCCCCCAGGCTTTTGCCTTCTTGAGATGTCTGCTAAGCTGAGATTTCTGCTCCCCCGGCTCCTAAGCCTCCCTTGTCTAACCCCTGCCCTGACTCACCAGCTGTCACTAGTCCAACTGGGTTTCCTGACTACAGGCCAACATCCCTTTGTACTAACCCCCACCCAGTGCAGTTTTCAGTGGCCTCTGCTTCAGCGTGGAGACTTTCCTGTCTTTCGTTCTCTCAGCTCTCTTACGTACTCTCCCTCCTCCACTTTCCCTTTTGTATTCCTCTTGTTCACCCTCTGTCCACCCACATAATGAACTGAGTTTGTGCAAGTGATGTGCCATCAACACCAAACCAAAGACTTTGCACCATCATGTACTCAAGTCAATTTTCCGGGGGTGGCTTGCTTCAGAGCAAGGACACACAGTGGGGGGCTGTTTGGTGGCAAATACTCCAGCACTGAGGGGTTGGGGAGACAGGAAAGCCAGCAAGGCTGGAGCCAAAGCCTTCGATGCTGGAGAAAATCTCCAACCCTAGAATTCACTGGTCTATCCCATTGGGGATTTCATCCCAAGATGATGGCCTTGTCTAATTGCCAATAACAGTAGCACATTTCGCTTTTGTGTTACTGATGGGCTTGCCTTCTCTGGGGACTGGAGGGGCAGAGCGATGTGTTTGGTGTGGTTGAAGGGCATCATCTGACCTTGCAGATCTTGGGGATGTTCTGCTCACTCCTGGCTTCTCCGCTGTGTACCCATTCCTTCCCCTCAAAAGCGTTCAGCTCTGAGACTCTGGCTCCCAGGGCTTCAGCACTGGAATGGGGGGAAGCCAGCGTAGGAGGGAGAGATTTGCCTCCCCAGAAACCTAGTTGTCCTCAGTGAAAGCCAGAGGCAATGAGGGAAATGCTGGCCAAGTAAACTTCTCTTTGTGTACATGTTCTCTTTTTTCAAGTTTGCTTCAGTGTGAATGTCCCTCTTTAAGGTAAGGCCTCCAGAGTGGGGAGTCTCTCCAGGTAGGTGAGCCCTCAGGCCCGGTGACATAGAGGCCCCTCTCAACCTCATGATCCGTTTCCATCCAGCCATCCGCGCTGCATGGCGGGACCCCCGAGGGAGGCCTCTCCTGCATGCTCCTGCATGACTGGGCTGTGCTGAGAGAAAACCTGGGAAGTGGGCTCGAGACCCGCACACTTCACCAACTTAGCGACCTGAGGAGGAGCCCTGTTGAACAGGCAGCCCCTTCCCCTGAAGCCAGCCCACCTGCCTAGGGACCACCTGATAACATGGGTTGTGATGATGGAGGCCAGTCATGACACCATCCTCATCCTCTGTTCTGGCAGAGCTGGGGCAGGAGCAAGGCTGAGTTCTGCAGCCCCTCACGAGGACATCCCCCTGGACTGTGTCCACCACATCCAAGCGGCTTACCATCCAAGAGGCTACAAGAGCCCTCCAAGAGCCAGGACTCTGATCCAGGGCTGGAGGGCATGGGAAAAGTCCAGAAACCTGTTTTTGGTGGTTGACCCAGCGGGTGGCATGGTACAGTGGACAGGATACTGGCTTTGACTTCTGAGAGACTTGGGTTGGAAGAAAATTGCTCTCACAGGAAAGCCATGTGACACTCAGAATTCACCTCACCCCTGGACCTCTGGCTTCCTTGAGCCTCCTTATCTGTAAAATTGGGATACTATGATAATTCTTCACTCATGGAATTATTAACAGGAATAGCTGGGTACTGTGGTTCATACCTATAATTCCAGCACTTTGGGAGGCCAAGGCAGGCAGATCACTTGCACTCAGGAGTTCGAGACAAGCCTGGGCAACACGGTAAAACCCTGTCTCTACAAAAAATGCAAAAAGTAGCCAGGCGTGGTGGCATGCACTTGTAGTCCCAGCTACTTGGGAGGCTGGGGTGGGAGGATCGCTTGAGCTCAGGAGGTTGAGGCTGTAGTGAGCCATGTTCATGCCACTGCACTCCAGCCTGGGAGACAAAGGGAGATCCTGTCTCAAAAAGAATTATAAACAGGAATAGAATAAGTCTAAGCTACTTTGTGCACTGTAGATTCTCAATGAATTTTAATTCCTCTCTCTCCATTCACCACCCCTACCCTGGCCTTTGAACTTCTTCTCATCCCCAAACTCCAAGAATCAAGAGTTAAGAATTGCAGGAGGTTGGTGTGATGTTTGGAGGCTGGGCTTTGGAATCAGATGCAACCAGGTTCTAATTTGGGCTGTGGGATATTGGGAAAGTCACCACTTCTCTCTGAGCCTCGGTCTGCTGATCATAGCATGGGGGTTATAAATATCTACCACCTGGGGTTGCTGTGAAGCATCAACAAACCTAATTGCCTGAAATGAGTAGCACAGTGCCTGATACAGGTGAACACTTGGATGGTGTTGATGGTGTTGATGCTGTTGGTGAGGAGGACAACAGGAGCCTGAGGCCAAGGGAGGCTGGACTGGACAACACTCCTGTCCCAAAGGGGCTGACGGGCCAGGAGTTCAGATGAGGGGATGGCACCATCTAGCAAGGCACCAGCCATTACAGGGCAGAAAGCATCTGAAGGCAGGGAAGGAGCACAGTTCAGAATGCTGAGGCGCCTGCAGGGGCGTCATTCCAGCACAGCCACTGGTATGAGCTGGGGAGTGCCAAGGGGAGGGAGGTACTGCGAGGGTGACTCACCCCAGGTGCCAGCATTCCCAGCCCTTTTTGCCTCTTAGGATGGCACCCCAAGTTCTGCCACATTTTCTCAGCACCCCCCACCCCGCCCCCCGGTCCCCTGCTTTTACTCTGTGACCATGCTTACCACGTTGACGTTCGTTGACGTTCCCTGCCTTCATTCTCAGTAGTGTTTTTGCTGGGTACAGCTGTGCGGCCCTCAGCACCCCAGCCCTGAAGTGGTAGCAGTCACCAGTGAGACCCTGTTCCAGCACAGCAGGCTCCCAAATATTTCTAAGCGAAACAGCCTCAGTGGAGCATCTTTGACTCTGGACAAGTGATTTCGCCATTTTAGAATTCTGATTGCAGGAATTTTGCCATTTGAGAATTCTGATGGCAGGAACAATGATTTCACCATTAGAGAATTCTGATGGCAGGAACGTTCCTGTGGCCTGGGATTGGGAGGGCCATCATTTTCATCCCCTACCCCCACTCCAGGGAAGAGTGTGAGGCCTGGGCTGGCCTGGGCTTTGCTGGGCACTTTCATAAGCTCCTAAGCTTTTCTTTGTGTCTTAATGGCTGTTACTTTGGTATATGCCTTCCTGGGTTCATCAGACTAGTGTTTCTTGAACTTAATCTCCTCCCAGACCCACCTGCACTTGAAGTAACACACATACAACTCACCTGGGAGCATGGGAGGACTTCCTAGGCCACGCCTGATCAAACCAGAGGACAGCAGGAGGAATCAGGGAATGTTTCCTAGAGGAGCTGGAACTTGACAGAAAGCTGGGAGGGATCAGGAAGAAAGAACTATCTGCGAAAGGCATAAAAGGAGAAAGGGAAAGGCAAGATTCAGGTCAGTTATATTCAACAAGTGTTTGTTGAACATGTCCTTTGAGCCCTCTGTGAAGCCCTGAAGCCCTAGAGGGAGAAGCTTGACAAAGGCAAGGAAAGAATCTTCTGCCATCACCCTAACATTGCCACCTTGAAAAGCTTCGATGGCAGAAGACTTGATAATGCAAAATACTTAAGGGATAACAGGCAGTAGGGTAAAATCCGGCACCTGACTCCTAACAGGATGCTCATTTGGAAGAGGAATTTGGAGCTCTGCCTTTCAAGGTTTGAGGACAGAGAGAAGAGGGCCTCTGGGGAGGCTGGGAGCCAGCGTTTCTGTGGGTCCTGAGAGCCTATGTCAGCCCCCTTCTCATCTTGGGTCTTGCAGAAGATCCTATCCAAGTGGGTCTGCACTGCTGGATAAGCAATGCCCTCCTGCCTATCTCTGCGGAGAGGACTAAAGGATGGTCTGGCTGCCAGGAGGGACAGGGGTCAGAGCCTGGTTCGTGTGTATTGAAGTGAAGGCAGACAGAGCCTCAACCCTCCCTCACAGAGGGGCTCAGCCCTCCAGCCAGAATTTGTTCCCTGAAGGGTACAGGCACCAAGGGGCACTTTGCAAGCTGACTGGGGGGGTGTGTTCTGCCCACATCAAGTGGAGGACCTTTGATCTCCAGAGGCATATATGTCATGGAGAAGAGACACTCTGGGGAATCCAGTTTTGCACTTGGGGGATCAGTGCCTTCTTACCTTCCCATTGTTTGTGCTGGGGAGGGGGATGGTAACAGAATTAGGTTTGGCCTAAACTTAACATTCCATTGTTATTCTGGAATTCTGGGATTTGACTAATACACAGTGGGTTTGTGAAGGTTCATTAAGTTTCCACATCAACCTCAGTCTCCTCACTGTGAGAAGGCCTGGCCACATAGCAGCAGCCCTTCACCCTCCATGTTCCTCTGGCTACTCCTTTCTGGACCTATTTCGCCTTAACAGCAGCTTTCTTGGAGCACAGAGCTTGGAGATCAATGGAGTATTTCAGGTGTGAGAGCCCAGCTAGGCGTGGAAGAGGGTGGCAAATGGCTAGGCCAGGGAACTATGAAATATATTTGCCTTAAGTAAGGAGATGGAAAGATAAGCCCTCCAGAGTAGGGCTTATCAACTGAGATGACTTCGAAAATAAACCAGACCCTGACCTAGGACTTTAGCCGCACTCCGTCCCCCCTAGCGCAGCAGCTGACATATCAGCTAGTGTTGGCAGTAACAGGATTTGCAGACTTCCTGGGAGGCGTGGCAGACTCAGACTATAGGGACCTGGGGTGTGGGTGTTCAACCAAATAATTGAGAAGACAGTCACCCCAAAATGTGGCACTTCAGATTGAAGCACCCACCTTGTATCACAGGCAGTGAGCTAAGGGGAAGTGTTAGACAGAACTGGGTGCTAGTCCCCACTGTTACTGTCTGTGAGATGCTGAGAAATTCACTCAATCTCTCTGCTCCTTTCCTGTAAAATGAGGGACTTAAGTAATCCCTAAGATTTCTTCCAGCCCCAGCCATGTGAGAGCAGGGATTTGCAGGGTTTTTTAATCAATTGTATTGCAACAAAATTTACATAGAATAAATGCACCCATTTCAAGTCCACATTCTGATGCATTTGAAAAATGTCATACACCCATGTGACCACCAGCACAATAAGTATATAGAACACCTCCATCCTCCCAAGAAGTTTCCTGCCCATAGCCCCAGGCAACCCTGGTCTGCTTTCTGTCACTGGAGATTAGATTCGTCTTTTCTAGAGTTTCTTATAAATGGAGCCACATAGCATGTACTTTTTTTGTGTCTGCCTTCTTTCACTCAGCATCATGTTTTTGAGATTTGGGACTTATAATTTTAACTTTAGTACGGAAATTTCCAAACATATATAAAAGTAGAGCAAATCATTGAATGAGTCCCCATGTGTTCATCACCCAGCGTCAACAATTAGCAATGCACAGTAATTAGCAATTAGCAATCAAGGGAGAGAGTTACATCTGTTTTGTTCACAAATGCATCCCCAGCAGTTAGAACAATTCCTGGCACATAGTAGGTATTCAATCTATATTTGTGGAATGAACAAATGAATTCCCCAGATATACAGTGTTTTTTTCAGCTCTATCTCAAAATTCTCTTCTCACCTTTTATGGCTCAAGATCAGTTCCAGTATATGCCCGGGAATTTGGGGTCATAAGATCCTGCATTAGGAAACTTGAAATTATTGTTGAATGGTGAGAGAAGGTGGGTGACCTCGTCTTGACTTGAGAGGCACATATTAGAATGTTTACAGTTCCCATTTCACAGGCAGTGCAATAATAAATCCTGGGCCAAGAGAACTGATCTCTATCTAGAACATTTTCCTAAATAAGTGGGGGAGAGATTGGTAAGTGGAGGAACTGGGCCTTTGCCAGGGCCAGATTGGAAAGTTTCTTCTTTGGATACCAAAAATGTCCCTGGAATGGTAAACCCAACAGCTGTCAGCAATAAGACGGCTTTAAAAAGTAGATGATAAATGAAAAAGGTCCCCCAGTTAGAAGCAGAATGAGTCCAAGTTGCCACCGTTTTCTTACCCACTTCCAGCTGGAGACACAGGCTCCTGCTGCATCGCCAGGCTCGGGTCCTGCCACTGCACATCCTGCTGCGGGGGGCCAGCTCACTGCAGGGCCTGGCTCAGCAAGCTCAGGCCCCAGGCAAGCCAGGGCAGGCAGGGTACTGTCTCCTCCTAAGGCTCTTTATTCCTGGATAGCCACACAGCATTTTCTACATCGTGTTCTGTCCCAGGCATCTCCTGGGGTGCCCCTAATGTCTACGAAATAACCCCAAAAGACTTGGTGGTGATGGTGGCCTCTTGCACTGTGAGGGGTACACGGCAGAATGCAGTTGTTTGTTTGATGTTAACACAGCAACACCGCTATTGACAGAAACCATTGAACTGGCAGCTTATGCTGGGCACAGTGCTGCGTGTCTTTGTGCAGATGGCTGCATTGATGCCTCCCGGCAGTTCATCATGGGAGGCAGGATAGTACATGCCAGGGGCACAGCCTCGGGGTCAGAACAAGCTGATTCCAAGTCCTGACCCCACCTCTTGCCCAGCCTGCCTGTTAGACAAGACGTCTAATGCCTCCGAGCCCATTTCCCCATCTTTACAATGGAGATGTGATCACAGCACTCTCCTCCCTGTGGAGTGGGTGTGAGGTTACAAGAGCCGGGTGTTGAAGGCATCAAAGCACTGGCAAAGTCTCCATCTGCAGCTTTGTTATGTTTTCCTCCTAAAGAAGCTAAGGCTGTCCCAGGCACTGAGCTGGTGCTAAAAACACAAGGCAGATGCGCATGTGGAGCTCCGGTCCAGTGGAAAAGACACCTCAGACTGAGTCATCATTTAGCTCCAGTTATGAGGAGTACCAGGAAACAGAACCCCAGCACAAGGGTCAAGGTATATATAGGAGGGGACTAGCCTGGTTTGGGGATCATTCCCCCAGGAAGAGGCATTTCCTTTGCTGTACAGCAGCAGCAGACACGTCCCTTGAGTGGCCTCAGGAATGGTTTCAGAGCTCACGTGCAGCATCCTCTCAGTTCGACTCTTGGAGGGCCAGTGGGCTCAACGGTGGAGAGAATGGCTGTGGCTCTCTGCCGTCCTCCAGAGACTCTGCAGCGTTCATTCCATTAGCTGGGAGCCTGCAAAGCCAGGCTGAGCTGGGCCCTGCTAGTGTCAGAAGCGCCAGGCCCTCTTTCCCCCCAGGCACTGCCAGCCTCTTGCGGGAGCCAAGACTCCTGGGGCACTTAGCGACATATCCAGGCCATTCCTCAATCCCAGACTGGATGTCATCTGGGGCCAGTGTGCACTGGATGGACAATGTGGACTCATCCATAATCAGGTGGCCCCATGTGGCTGGAATGTATACTTTATATTTTTGTTACCAAATTTCAGAATCAACGTGTCACAGCCAAAGGAGTGTATAGGTGTGGGCCTGGGCAGGCCTGGGCGGGCCTGGGCGTGCCTGGGCGGCCCTGGGAGGGTTTGAGGAGCAGGAATAAGCGCCATCCCTCAGAACTGCCCAGAAATGCCTCCTTCACTAACAAGAATGGAGACATAATGTGTTTGGAGCTAACGCTTTGAGACTATTGACTTCACCTGCACTTAGAAGACACCTCTGGAAAGAGGCTTAGATACACAGTCTACATCCGGGGGAGTGTTCTCAGCCATTTTTACATGAGACAGCCTTCCCCACAGAGCACTGTATAGTCACTAAGTCCAGAGGGGATGCCCTGTGCTGGGGACCCTTGTGGTCTGAAAGACTTAAGCAAAAGGGGACACTTCAGGTCCTGAAAATACTTCTCAGGGCTTTCTCCTTTATGTGGATTCCTCAGAGACAGTTATTGTACCACTTAGAAAGCCAGGCTTTTTATAATGGAAATGTTTAAATCAGTGGTTCTTAACTTAGTGGTATCACTACCCCCTTGGAGAATCTGATACAGTAAACTCTGTCTCCAGGAAAACCCCAAGGTGTCACAAACACAGTACACTGTTCTATATTCTACCAGGCTCATGGAAACCCTGAAGCCATCCTTTGAGGCAGGGGTCTGCGAACTGCAGCCCAGGGCCAAATCCAGCCCACCACCTGCTTTTGTGCAGCCCTAGAATAAGAATGGTTTCAACATTTTTTTAATGGTTGAAGAATACTATTTCATGACACATGAACACTGTATGAAATTCAAACATCAGTGCCCATAAAGTTTTATCGGAACACAGCCACCGTCATTCATTTACACAAGTTCATGCTGCTTTTGGGCTACAGTGGCAGAGCGGAGTGGTTATGACAGAGACCATATGGCTCACCACATCTAAAATATTTACTACCTGGCCTTTCACAGAAAAAAATGGCAACCCTTGCTCCAGGGGTGGGAACCCCATTTAAGAAGCTTACTTTATATTCCTTACTTTTGCTTACAAATGATTGAGCCGTGGAATTTAGACATAGAAGCAGCATTGAAAGTCTCCTTGAAAAGCTTCTCACTTTACCAATAGCAGACAAGGAACATGTTCCTCAGTTTCGCAGGAGCAAGAGCCAGGAAGGGGCTCTGTCCTGGGCCCTCCCTTTCTTCTGTAGGTTTCTGAATTGGCACTGCCTTCCAAAGGAACCTTCGGGTAGTTGCCCTGAAGTTTTGTTTCAAAGCATCATAACACATGTTAGAAGTTTGGTGGCAACTTCTTTATAACAGGGACACCTGCTTGCCTCTGTGATGGCAATCCCTGAAAGCTGTGTCTATAGACCCCAGCTAATTCCCAGACAAACGATAGTTGGCTGAACTCCTTTGATCTCTATTTGCTGAGTGTAGGGGAGGAGGTTTGCTGTTAGCTAATACCTGAAGTAGAGTTTTCTTTTTTCCTAAAGTAACTTCTCACATGGAATTTGTAAACAAATTTTTTTTTATAGTTTAGCAAACAATAATGAGACTGGAGATGGGAAATAGTTGAATTCCGTCAAACAGCAGACCTGATAGAATTCAGCTGTGGTTGATTGTTCAGAATGCCTGGCGGTCTGAGAGAATTTGGTCCATTTAGAAAATAGATATGTGTGTCTACTGACTGCCTCCAAAGGAATGAAGCAACTTTCCCTCAGAAGTGTTTTAGCGAGGAAACCAATGAGATTGTGGGGAAGGGGCCTGTGAGGCCCAGCCTGAGGCTTGGGCAGCTTGTCCCTACGACTACAGGGGCCACCTAGCTGCCAGGACCCTTTCCGTTGGGCTGGGGAATGGTGGGCCAAGTGGCCTCCCATTTTAACTGCCATCTGTGCCATCGTGCTTAAAAAGCAAGTGGGTCTTCATTTTCTTCTCCCTTAAAAGGTGGAAGCAGCAATCTTTTCAATGATGTAAAGGTCGCAAACTGGAGGATTGTGAGACCCATTCAGCCAGGAGATAACTTTTTTAAAATCGAATTAGTAGGCAACATTTAAAAAGAGATGTAAGTGAAAATGTAGATTGGGGCATTTCGTGGCAACTCCAAAGACCTGGGACCCCTGGGTCGGTGTCCCCGACAGGTGGCATCAGCTGGTGAGGCATGCAGCCCTCAGCTTGCTGGGCTCCTCAGTTCCCGGTGCGCCCAGGCTCCCCCATGCCACACACAACACACACAGACACCCAAAGACACACACATGCCCCACTCATTAGAGAGAAAAGGAGATATGATGCTTTTTAATTTTTTTTGAGATAAGATCTGGCACTGTCACCCAGGCTGGAGGGCAGTGATATGATCTTGGCTCTCTTGCAACCTCTACCTCCTGGACTCAAGCCAACCTCACACCTCCGCCTCCTGAGTAGCTGGGACTACAGGCACGTGCCACCGTGTCTGGCTAATTTTTGTATTTTTTTGTAAAGGCAGGGTCTCACTATGTGGCCCAGGCTGGTCTCAAACTCCTGGGCTCGAGCTATCCACCTACCTTGTCCACCAGAAGTGCTGGGATTACAGGCATGAACCACCACGCCCAGCCGAGATCTGGTGTTACAGCCTGCAATTTTAGCCAGCAGGGCTAAAATTGCTTCCTTCCTTCCTTGTTTTTCTAAAATCCTTCCTTCCTTGTTTTTCCTTTCTTATTCCAGAAAGTTTAAAGATGTCCCACCAGTATATATAAAGTTTACTATGAATGTAATGTCAGCGAAAAGAAAGAAAGAGAAAACAGCACAGGAAGGCAAAAAAGCATCAGAAATGTTCTTTTGGGTGGGTCACATATTTGGCTATTTGCCTCCAGTGAAAACTAATTGGTTCTAGATTTCATGTGCAGGGGAGATAAATGCACACAGGTGGCCTAGGTGAAACAATGATTATTCTGTGAACTGAGACCAAATAGAAAGTTCTCTCCTGGATCATCCCAAAGACAATTCTGTTTGTTCTAACCATACAGTTGTGATCTTAGATATATTGAGGAAGGAACAATGCCAATAATTTACTCGATGTCACCTACTGTTCTCGCCACTTGATTGTATTCTTTCATTTAATCCTCATAACAAATATATGGGAAGGCCTACTAATGTCCCCATTTTATGGATGAGAAAATGGCGGCACAGAGATTACATAATTGGCCCAAGGCCACAAAGTTAGTAACTGGAGAAGCAGGCATGGAATTCAGGCAGTCTGGCTGTAGAGCATGAAGGCTAAGCCACTAAGCTACCTCTCACAGATCGGCATTTAAAGAAACCAGTCTGATTCCATGAGAGTTCTCAGATGTCCTGATTTTATAAATACCAATATAAAATAGACCAAGAAGTCATGAAGCTGAGAAGGAATGCCAGTATATAGCATGAACTTGCTATGTGTTGGAGGAGGCCAAATCTAGTATGGTCTTAGGCTCCTGAAAAAGCCTTTGGACAACAATGAAAACAGGCCTTTTGAAATTGTTAAAAGAAGAAAGAAAGAGACCCACGGCCTTTATATGGAGGGACTCCACCAGGCTGCCCACCAGAATCACTTATGGAGCTTTAAAAACTCACCGTCTGGAGATTCCAATTCATCAGGTCTAGGATGACTCTCAGGTGTCTAAATGGCTGTGTTTGGTTTTTATGCACAGCCAGGATTGAGAACCACTGTGTTAAAAAATGGCAAAAAGCAGACCTGTTATTTTGCCTCCAATTTTCCCCAAAGAGAAATAGCTCCAAAGTACAAAGATAAGGGTGAAAACCACTAAGAGGAAATTGAAACCCAAGAGAGGCAAATTACATTTAATAAAGCTCACCTGGGGAGCCCTATTATTCCATGCCCAGACCAGATCCCAAAGCAGTTCAACAGAATCCCTAGAGTGGGACGAGCAGCTCCGTGCGTTGAAGCTCCCCCAGGTGACTCCAGTGTAGGCCCAGGTGAATTACATTCCAGGTTACGGAAGAATCTGCTCTGCCTACTGCTTGGTAAATTGGAAATGATGGGATAGAGTAATGATACCAAGTGATAGGAGAAAGGCAAACCGTCTCCCAGTATTCAGAAACTGGGAAAATGTGAACTTAGGACACTTTGAAATTGATATTATTAAAGGAAGTTTCTATAAATTCTTAATGAGAAGATAGTTTGTGGACATTTAGGGGGCAGTAGTAATCACTTGAAGCAATTAACTTCATTTCCAGCAGAGAAATGCTCAGCCATTTGTATCTTTATTCCAGCAAAGCAACTGAGCAAAATGAAAACAGTGACCATGGCTGGTTGCTTCTCAATGAATTTCACAACCACACCCCAAAGAGTGCTGGTGGGACTTGATGTCACCTATGTGAGAGGGCTGTTTCAGGGGCCAGGTCAAAGGGCTCTGGTCCTGATCCTGTGCTAAACAATATTTGCATGAGTGTCCCAACAGAGAGATAGGAGGCATGCCAATCAAATTTTAGGATGACATAAAGCTGGAGGATACAGCAGATAAGATGGATGATAGAATTAAAATGGCATTTGCATTGTATTTTAGGGTTTATCTGAGCTTTACCTATAACCCTCAGAAAGCTAGGTATGTCTGTTATCTCTACTTCCTAGGTAAATACACTGAGATTCAGAGAGGTAAGTTGCAGAATCATGGTGATCTTGACAGGCTAGAAATATGTCCCAAAATAAGAAGAAATCAAGTGTAAAGGATTACGTTTGGATTTTAAAAACCAATTTCAGGCCGAGTATGGTAGCTCACACCTGTAATCCCAGCAGTTTGGAAGGCTGAGGTGGGAGGATCACTTGAGCCCAGGAATTCAAGACCAGCCAGGACAACACAGCGAGATTTCATCTCTCTACTTTATATACTTAAAAAAATTTTTTTAAATCAATTTCAGAAAAATAAGATTGGAGTTTGTATTAGTTGCCCAGGGCTACCATAACAAAGTACCAAAACCTGGGTGGCTTATCTAACAACAGAAATTTATGATCTCATGGTTTGAGGCTAGAAGTCTGAAATCAAGGTGTTGGCAGGGTCTTGCTCCCTCTGAAACCTACAGAGGAATCTTTCCTTGCCTCTTTCAGCTCTGGTAGCCACAGACTTTCACTGGCTCGTGCCACACAGCTTCAGTCTTCACACATATGTCCCTGTGTCTCTTCCCTCTGTGCATGTCTGTCTCTGTGTCCAATTTCCCCTCTTATAAGGACACCAGTCATATTGGATCAGGGCCCACTCTAATGACCTCATCTTCGTTTGATTACGTCTGCAAAGAACTTATTTCCAAATAAGACCACATCCTGTGGTACTGGGGGTTAAAACTTCACATATCTTTTTGGGGAGACACAATTCAACTCATAACATGGTAAAATTGGATTGATACAACTAAGATAGTGTCAATGTTTTCTCATAGCTACTTAAGAAATTATAAAACATTGATACTATCTTAGACAATGTTAATGTAATTTAAGGGTTCACGCCAAGTAGAAAGTAACACCACTGCACTTGGCACTGTTCAGACCGCAGAGGCAGGAACTGAGCAGTCACTTCTGGCCACTACCAAGGATATGGATTTAAAAAAAAATGGCTGGGCATGGTGGCTCACACCTGTGATCCCAGCACTTTGGGAGGCTGAGGCAGGTGGGTCACCAGAGGTCAGGAGTTCGAGACCAGCCTGACCAACAGGGAGATACCCCATCTCTACTAAAAATACAAAAGCTAGCCAGGCGTGGTGGCACATGCCTGTAATCCCAGCTACTCAGGAGGCTGAGGCAGAAGAATTGCTTGAACCCGGGAGGCGGAGGTTGCAGTGAGCCAAGATTGTGCTATTGCACTCCAGCCTGGGCAACAAGAGCGAAACTCTGTCTCAAAAAAAAATAGAGCACTGCCATGGACTCCCAGTAGAAAGTTCCATGGGCAGTCCAGTGCCAGATGACCCCTCTATACATTTTGACCTGTTTACTGTAAAGAAAATCCAAAAGTATGAACATTTCTTGGCTAACAAAATTATAAAGAGGAAGAAGGGATGACAGATGATTATGTTTAGAGAAATTTTTAACTTGAGAGTTAGATTCTCATTTTTGCCAGGCAGGGCACTATGCAGTGATACCTTCCTTATTTCATTTAACTTCACACATCAGTATGTGTGTGTAAACATATACACATATATTCTTTTAATTCGAATGTATGGCTATGAAGAATATATGTATCTATATGAGGATCTAGTTAATGGTGAGGAAGTGTTCTAATTGTTTAAATTCTTTTTCTTTTAGAATATTTAAAAGAGAAAAGTGGAGCATAGACAAGAATATGGACATTTCAAAGCTAGGACGGACTTGGGATTTGGCTGTTATAGTGACTAAAATTATTTCCGGCCAATGAACGTTAAGTATCTGCTGTGTGCCCTGCCTTGCAGTAGGTACCTTGAGGGGTATGATGGGGAATATAATACACATGAAATAGCAGAAGGGGCTAAATGCATGATCCAGACAGTGCCATAGGAGCCGGGAGGAGGGCAGGGTGGAAGGAGACTGGAGTTACGGAAGTCATAAGAAGGAGCCTCACGTGGGACCTAGAAGGATGCTGGCATTTAGGAGACCACGTAGAGACAGCATGTCTCAGTTCAGGTCACACCCCATGAGGCAGAGGACCTCTGGGTTGGGGTCACTATGCTACTTGTGCTGTTGCTGTCACGCCAAGCAGAGTTAAGGGGGAAGGCAGGGACCAATAAGGCAGCCACATGAAAGCTAGCCCTATGCCCCAGCCTGTAAGATCAGGGAGTTTTCTCAGTGCTTTAAAACAAAGTCATCTGTTGATCTCCTGGGAATCAGATGAAGACAGAAGCAGACACTGCTGGCTCCTCCGAAAGCTCAAGTTTATGACGTCAGCACAGTGAGGGCTGTGAGAGATTGTGCTGGCCAGACAGGAAGTAAGCATTGACGCTGCCTGCCTACCTCTGCCCTGGGCTCCCAACACCACCACAGCCGCTGAGTCTCTAGGCCTCAGAGCTGCCTGAGCTCTGAGGCAGGCCCAGTCTCTGAGAGGGATCTGGACTGACCTGAAACTCTTATTTCCTCCCTTCCTGACTACAGACACCAAAAATGTGCCCTTCCCCCAGAGTCAGTCCCAGATTTCTCAAATCTAAGACCTTATTTCTGAAATGATGCCAGAGGGAATCGGAATGTTGTTTTCCTCTAACATCAGCCACAGGGGTCAGACATACCCACAAAGTCCCTAAACATATCTGTCTTGATGGAATTTTCCCAAACCCTGGTCGAACCTGTTTGTTTCTATCTTGTGTCAGCAATTAGAAAACTCTAGTGCCCCAAGTCCTGGGAGAAGAAATTTCATTAATTGGGCCTAAGCCTACCTGTTTTGCAGACCCCATGGGCCTAGTGATGGTCTGGGATGCCTGGCTCTAGGCCCTTCATGAATCAGACTACAGCCATCCCCCCCAACTCCCTGCCTCCACTTCCCAAAATCAAAACACCCCCTGACAGCACAGCAGCCCCTGACCCTGAACCCAGATCACGTTACTGGCTCTAGATAAAGTAGCAGCAAGAGAGGTGCATTTATTAATTTTTTCTAGCAGATATCTATGGAGTATGCAGTATGTGCCAGGCATTGTGCTAGGCTGGGGATAGAATGGTGAGTTCAACCCAGTCTCTGCCTGCAAGGAGCTCATAGATTAGTTGAAAAGAAGAGGCCTCCTCAGTGTGGTGAGTACTAAGTTAGGAGAGATGGTGAGGGCACCCACAAGAAGCTTTGCTCAAGCAGCCCTGGAGGGATGAGGAGGGTTCCTGAAGAAAGGGCATGTACATGGAGGTGGGGAAATTGCATGGATGTGGGGCAGAAGGCAGGGATAGGGGAGGGCATTCCAGGTAGAGGGCTAGCTATGCAAGGCTGGAGGCAAGAGAAAGCAGGAGGAAGCCCCATGGTTGGGCAGTGCCAGGGAGATGAACCTGGGGGATGAGGCAAGGACAAGCTCCTGAAGGGCCTCAGAAGCAGGTGAGCGAAAGAACTCAGGACTTTACCCCAAAAGCCGTGATGTGCAATGAAGCATCTCAATTGCTGGAGGAAGCACTAGGATGTTCAGGCAGGCCCAGGCTCAGTCCTAGTTCAGGATTTGGAGGCACAGAAAGAAAGGTAAGACTCAGCCCCTAACTTCAGGAAACTCACTGATGGGCAGATACCATGCACTGTGTTGGGAAACAACCAAGCTGTGCATGATGCATGCCCATGGCACACGAATGCTAAGATTTGAAGGCATGATGGGAGCTATCATTTATTGAGTGCACTCTGTATGCCAGGTTCTGCAGAAGGAACCTAATATCACATCTCACTCAGTCCTCAAGGAAACCTATAGTGTGCCTGTTACCACCCCCGTGTGACAGATGGAAAGACCACGGCTTAAAGAGGTTAACTTCACAGCGTCAATAACCAGGAAAGGATGGCACCAGAATGAGCTCAGCCGGTGATCTTCCTCCTACTCTATTCAGCCTTCCCTAAGTGTGGGCCAAAGGTTGTAGAAAAGGCTTCACGGATTAGGAAGGGACTGGCGAGTTAGAATGTTGTTCCCTGTGTCCCACTGTCATCTCTCAGGCTCTGCAGTGGGGGCCAGGAGCCTGACATTTAGGCATTAGGGGAGGCAGGGATGACTGAGGATCAGGATAAACAAGTGTCTCTGAGAGCCTGCCCCTCAGAATCTTTAAGTCGAGTCCAGTGCCTGCTCTGTGCGGGAGGTAGCAGCTTTTCAAAGAATAAAATCAGCGAGTAAAGAATATAATCTGCAGTTCTTTGCAAATTTGACGATGCTGTGCTGCCTACATACCATTAATAGGGGATGGGTTTTCCCAGAGATGTTTGCTTTGGAAAACTCCCAAGCCTCTACTGTTAACAGTTAGAGATTGCACATAGTGGGGATGGTTATTTGAATTAGAAATGGGTAACTCACATGCACCTGAAATGTCTCCAAGTAAAGTAGGGTAGGGGCCAAGTTGTATAAGGAGATGGGTGAGCCAAGTCTGTAACGATCATGAAGAATGGCATACTCTCTCAAATGCCACAGATGATTCTGGAACCTCAAGAATCTCAGAGCTGAGCTAAATGGCTCTCCAAGATAGCCCACCATGGAGCTAAGGTCCTCTGGAATGACACCACTAGCAGTATTGACTGAGCCTGGTTCCCTGATTCACAACAGCAAGTCGTGAAATTCAGACATCCTGTAGGATCTAGCTTTACCACTATGCTCAGTTGACCTCAAGAAATGAAACCAGCTTCCATGATTAACAGACACTAATGACCAACAGGTGAAACACAATCAGGTAAATGGGGAGAGCCAGTGCCAGAGGGCTTACAGATTTTCTGAAGTTCTTCATACACAGGTTCCCCTCATTAGCAGCCATCTGGGAGGGAGCTGGGGATGATTCTGAAACCTGGAGAATCCCGGTCACTATATCATACATTAGTTGAAAAGAGGGAGCCTCCTCAGTGTGGTGAGTGCCAAGTTAGGAGAGATGGTGAAGGCATCTCCTGCCTACACGCCTTGTACAGCCAGCCCTCTGCCTGGATTATACCGGTCTACCACATACCTGGGCAAGGCTCGTCCTTAGTGACGTTACAAATGGAATATTCTTCTTGCCCTATTCCTTGACTCTCTTTTTCTCCTTACTGCCACCCCTACTACTCCATTATCCCCTTCGGCTCCAGCTCCCCCGGCGTGGATGCTCCTGGCTTGCCTTCTGGGATGATACCCAGGGCTTCCCTAATTGTTGCCACAGCCTACCCAGCCCGCTCCTCCCTCTGGACTGACTCACTTCGCCAGGCACAGAGGGCCCATAGCCTGCAATCCTCCCCAGTCAGTGAATCCCTCCCCCTTCCACAGAGATCTTCAGAAGAGGTGTCGCCACACCCTTTGCCCAGGCGCCACCCTCCCGCGTCAGTGTGCGTCACCGTGGGGATGGTCTTTGTTGTTTCCCTCTCAAGCAGGGCCCTCCTTTTCCTCTTGTTCTGTACACACTGGAGAGGGAGAACAGATGGTCCTCCTGCCGGGGGCCAGCCCTCCTGGCAGAGGTGACCAAACCACCCGGCTTTCCCATCTCAGGGGCATCATGGACACCCCTCAGCTATAGGTTCTGTTTCTGGGGATCCCTTGGGTTTTCTGTGTGTCCCCCCCTTCCCCCTTCCAAGGTCTCTGAGACCTGCTGACCTATGCAGCTCAAGCCCAGAGAGAAGACACCAGGCAGGACTGGTGGTGCTAAAAGATGGTAGAAATCAGTTTGTCCCTCCTCCGTGCTGTTTGTGATTTTGATTTCAACCTGGGACGAGTTGAAAACAGTCCCCCGCGCAGCTCACCCGGCCCACGTTACCCACTATCTTCCCGGACTCACAGCTGTCTCCACCCATGCTTGCCTACTGGCAGGCCTTTCCGGCTTTATTTTGCCTAGTGGTGTTACCAAAATGTCTCCTGGTTGAACTTGACTCTTGTTATATCTTCCAATTTCTCCCGTGTCCAGATTTCCAGACCTTACCCACTGTGGAAGGCATCACACTGAAGCCCAGACATGAGTTCTGGGTCTGCTCTTACCCAGTCCAGTGACCCTGGGAAAGTCAACAAACCTCTCTGAGCCAGTTTCCTCATCTGCAGGATCAGGATGTTACCAGCCTGTTCTGAGGATCAAATGAGCGAATAAATGCAAAGATTCTTTGTAAACTGTAAACCAACATTCTCCAAACTGCATTCTGCAGACCCTGCTCTCAGGAGAGGTGTTCATAAACTATTTAGGAAAACAAAAAAGTTTTAGGTCAAGTTTGAGGAAGGCTAGCCTAAACAAAGCAAACTAGATTTCCTCACTCTAGAATTTCTCAGAGACTAACTTGCCAATGTGCATAGCAAATCTCCAAGAGCAGGGTAGAAAACATGGCTTTATGTCAAAACTGCTTTTTTCATGGACTACTTATTAACTTCTTTAGGTTAGTGGTTTCCACAGAGCATAGCATATATTAATATTATTTCTCCTACAAATAATAATGTGAATCTTTCCACAAGATTTATTCCATCATCCAAGTCACTAATCCTGGGTAATACCAGTTAATCAGTGTCTGAAAAAAGTATTGCTGGAGTCCCTGCCTTTAATCTTCTGGGCATTGTGCTCTGTGCTGTGGGGGAGAGGGGACCTGCTATTGAAGGCCTCTGCCATTGGACTCCAGCCCTAACTCCCGCCATCCCCATGCCGCACTCTGCCCCTGCAGCTTAGTGAACCCGCTGCCCTGTGTATGCATCTTTTGTCTTCCTGTTCCCTGCCTTTGTTCCATCCTTCTCCCTGCCAAGGTGCCTCCCTCCCATTTCTACCAGTACAGTTGTCACCCATTCCTCAAGTCTTAGCCCAAATCCCAACTTCTCCATGGAAATTTTTCTAACTAAAGCGATGTGTTCTACACAGGACTACTGACCCCTTGAACTCAACTCTAAGCCCCTAAAGGCAGAGAGCATTACTTATACTTCCTGATTTTCTCCAAAAACCAGCATTCATTTGTGGGTTGATTGATTGCTCCCTTCCACCCCACCCCCCAAGAACCATAAGGCACACAGTTGTACCTTGGGAACTTCAACCCAGAGGTATGGGTCCTTCAGAGCTGGGGAGTCAGTGGTGAGTTTACTTATTTCATTCAGTAGACACTTATTGCTGGGGAACTGCTGGGAACTCAAAGTTGAACAAGACAAGGTCTCTGCCTTTAAGAAGCTCTTGGTCTAGACAAAAGCATAAAAACGTCATTGCAAGTCAATGTGCTGAGTTTAATAATTGAAAAAATACTGGAGCACAAAATTGGGTTCGTGGTGAGAGTAAGTGGAAATCGAGGCAGGCTTGTGGAGAGGATGTCACCTGGAGCAGATGTGGCCGGGTTATGGGGAAGAAGGACCTCTGAGAGGGGATTCAGATCTGTTCCCTGGGTCACAGGGAGGAATGTTGTAATGGAGCCAGTAGGTTACAGCAGTTGCTGAAAGAGGGTGTGAGATGGGACCTTTGCATCATACACACACAAACACACACACACACACACACACACACACGTCTGTGGGAATCCCACTTCCCTGCTTTTCCATCATACCCTCTCACCCCTTCTTCCTTCTCACCTTGACTCATTCTTCCTCTCCTCGTCTCTCACCTCCGGGTCCTGGGGCCATCCATCGTTACCTCATCGGGACAGCCCCGTGTCTGCTGTCTGTTGGTAGCTAGAGGCCTGCTTTGGTGACAGGCTGGTCAGTGCGGTGCCCACTCCCCATGGGGGGCCCTCAGGAGGGAGAGCAGCCTCAACTCACCACTTTCTCTTTTCTTCCCACAGAAAACCAAAAGAGACGTCAATAATTTTGACCAAGACTTTACCCGGGAAGAGCCGGTACTCACCCTTGTGGACGAAGCAATTGTAAAGCAGATCAACCAGGAGGAATTCAAAGGTTTCTCCTACTTTGGTGAAGACCTGATGCCCTGAGAGCCCACTGCAGTTGGACTTTGCCGATGCTGCAAGAAGGGGTGCAGAGAAGACTCCTGTGTTGGAGACACTCAGCAGGTCTTGAACTACTTCTCCTCCTCGGAGCCCCAGTCCCATGTCCACTGTCTATTTATTGCATTCCCTTGCCCCAGGCCACCTCCTCCCCCTCCCACCTGGTGACCAGAAGGCGCTCTCGGTTCTTGTCTCACCAGTAATGCAGACTCATTGGGTCAGCAATTAGCTGTATACACTGCCGTGTTTGGACCATTGGCAAGCCTGGTTCCACTCCTCAGGGGCTCCTGGCAGTGAAGCAACTTCAGTTCTTTTACTGCAAAGAACAGAAAAAAGAAAGAAAGCAAACAAGAAGACTCCGGCTCTGCTATCGGACACAGATCCTGATCCCTCTTGCTTCTTTTCCCTCCTGCACCGCAGCTTGCCATCCCTGCCCTTCTGTCCTGGAGAAGAGACTGGTGCTTCTCCGCACACACGAGGGAGGGCGCCCTTGAGGCATGCCCTCTGAGGGAGGGAGACCAGAGATGCAGGGATTGGCCAGCTGGGTTGGTTTGCTCTGGAATGGCTAACTCTTGCCTGCTTTGGTTTTAGCTTTTCAGCATGCCAAAGTCATGTAAGTTTGTGTCTTGTGGAAGAAATCCTCTTTGTGGAAAAAGAAACAGGGTTTTGAACTCTGTTAACATTTGAAAAATATATTTTCAAATTCACTTTCTAATTGGCCAAAAGAGATGAGTTCCAGTCTGAATACAGGTAGATATTAAAGGGCTAATAAAAAATGAGAAACCGGTCGTCCAAGGTGGATGCTGTCAATGCCCGAGTGACACATGAGAGCTGTATGAATTGAGAGAAAAGGCAACAAGTAGCATTCTTCATCATTCAAGTTCTACCTGGACACAAAGGCGAGGACCCTGGGGTTCCAACAAAGCTCAGCTCCCAGATTCTCTTTCCAGTTTCATCCTAAGTTCCTAGCATAAACACTATTTATTTTCTGCAGCAGTGTGTTATTTTTGCGCACTTATACAAAATGGTAGTACTACTGTGTTGTGGTTTTTAAACATTAAACATGTAAAGTTATATACGAAATATCTGCTTTTGGAATAAGCAGAATGAGGCTAAACATGGGTTATACAAAGGGTATCTGGAAACTGAAGAGCAACTTGTTAGAAAACTGACAATGTCGCAAGATGTACTCAGTTTTGTTTCTGTGTGACATGCAATGGCAACTCATGTGGACACTATTGAAGGGATGTGACATTACCTCCTGTAGATATGCTAACAGTGTTATTCTTTCATTTCCAAGGGTTCTCTGTGGCTTTGTGTATATGTTTCCCAGAGGTCATTTGATTACCTAATTTACTGAACTGATTTAGCAGGGAATGGAATCCATTCCAACTATTGCACGTGGATTTCCCAGCTGCCCCTAAATATATATACTTGTGAGTGGCAAAGTGGCACTAATGAAGCTTTTGCCTTTTGTACATTTGAGATTTTTGTATATAGTGTTTGCTGCAAGGCCTGTGGAATTAATTCGTTGCATATAGAGGTATCAACTGCTGCATGTTCAGGCATATTATAAAACTTTAGTCTATGAAAGAATAATTATAATAATGTCCAGGTGCAATACTCTGTAAGTCTATTGGTTCAAGTTACCGAGAGATAGGTGTGTTCCTTTATGGGGGATGGGGGGGTGTGTTGGGGATTCTTTGTATTGTTTATTTCATTTTGGTTTATTTTAAAAGATGTAAACATATATTAAGCTATATTAAATCTCACATACAGTTCTTCTGTGCTCTATTATACCCTGATAGAGATGGGGGAGAGAAAGGAATGTTTTTGATGGTGGTTTCAAAGCTCGGACAGTAACTATCTTGAGCCCATTAGAGAGTCTGTGTCCATATTTGCATCTGGCTGGTCATAGCCTTTGTTACTAATGATGACATTCAGTTCTCTTTTGTTTTTATTTTTTAAAAACTCAGGTGTAATTATTATCTGTTCTTAAGATAATTGCAAATATTAAATATTATGATATATCAATTCATGTGTTTGGCATACCAGTGAATGATGAAGAACATGAGATTAATTTAATTTATCTTCGGTAACTTGACATTCTGGAGAGAGACTATCTTCTGGAGTTGAGTACAAGCACAGAAACATCTTTACGGTGGCATCATCTCATTTTTTAGGAAGACATGATAATACTGCCCATCATATTCATGTGTAACTACTGTTCTTTCTTCTGCTTTCTTCACCATAATAAACTTTGGACAACCAAGCAAGCTCTAACCGCAATGCCAGATGGCCTTGTCCGAGGGCCTAGTGTTTGCACGGCAGTGGGAACTGGGCCTTTCCTACAGGACAACTGGCAAGTTTGCTGGGAAGTCAAATAATACATTCCACCTGGCAGCTGAAGGCAGCCAGTCAGTCTGTCCCAGAAAGGGCCCTTTTCAGCACCCAAAGCTGGGCTGGCTGGGATGCCTCTGGCTGGTGAAGTTCTCACATAGGCTGATTTAAATCCAGCAAAGGTCTATAGAAAAAGGCTTGCGTGTTCGTTGAGTAATCATTGTTTCATTTTCATTTTTACGAGAGTTTGAAAATAGACACACTGTTAACACTTCTGCCAGTTTTTTCTGATCTTTCCAGCCCCACCCCCTTTCTCTTTCTCTCTCTCTCTCAAAGAAAAAAAAAATGGGAGTGCAAAAAAAACAAAGCCAAAAAATATATGAAGGATAGCTGTTCTTCTGTGTTCTCTCATTATGGACTTTGTGAAGTAGAAACATAATTTTTTTTCCTCCAAAGGTGAAAAAACAATGCATTCTTGCTTTAAAAAAAAAAAAGAAGGCTAAAAAATTACCTCTTTTTAAATTATGTGCAAAATAATTCTGGCTAACTGTAAAATGTATTCAATTTTAGGATTTTTTTTTTTTGTATTGTGATGCTTTATTTGTACATTTTTTTCCTTTCTGGATGTAATTTTAATCTCTTGCCATTCATTAGTGTTATTTCATTGTAAACGTTATTGTGCCAAATGTACTGTATTCAAAAGGATGTGAATGTGTATTGTTTCAGAACCTAATAAATACAATGACGTTAAGTCTTATTTTCAGTGCCAATAAGAATTTTTCATCTCCGTTGTGAGTGGCAAAGTGGCACTAATGAAGCTTTTTGCCATTTATATGTTAGAGATTCAAAAATTTCCAAACCTAAACGTGGTTTCAGCTTTCCTTTCTCCTTGGAAGATGCACAAAAGCTGCAAATGACCATATTTGCACATTCCCCCTGCCTCTGTGCTTCTGGGCTGTCAGAAGGAATAAGGGGGACCCGTGCCAACTGGACATGGCTCTCAGCTGCCTTGGCCTGTCTGCCTTGAGGTGCTGGGTGATAGGAAAGAAAGCAGGCGGCACCTGCATTTTTGTCTTTCCAGAGAAGCAAATGCTGGACCACCTTGCAAACAATGCCCACTTGAGCCTCCTCATGACTCAGTTTTGAGCCTGATGCTTGGAACTATAGGCCTTGGGGTTCCAGGGACTCCTCCTAGGGTGAGAGTTCCTTGCAGGCTGGCCTGGAGCACAGACTGGCCAGCGGGGCTCCATGCTTAGCTCTTGCCCGCCTCCCCCATGCAGCCCATGTCTGTGCCCATCCTGCCGACTCCCGGGCTCTCCAGGTTCCTCCTTCACTCTGGGACTCCTTTTCTGCCATTCCAAGCATGTTGCCCTGGTACTGCAAGACTCCTCCTCTTTCTCCAGCACAAACTTTTCAAGAATGTTTGAAACTCAAAAGCACCCTCTTGAGTACACCAGAAATTTCCATTGGCCAAAACTTCCTGTTCCTTAAAAGTTACAGAAATGGGGCCGGGCACTGTGGCTCACGCCTGTAATCCCAGCACTTTGGGAGGCCGAGGTGGGTGGATCACCCGAGGTTGGAAGTTCGAGACCAGCCTGACCAACACGGAGAAACCCCACCTCTATAAAAATACAAAATTAGCTGGGCAGGGTGGCACATGCCTATAATCCCAGCTACTCGGGAGGCTGAGGCAAGAGACTTGCTTGAACTCGGGAGGCGGAGGTTGCGTTGAGCCGACATCGCACCATTGCACTCCAGCCTGGGCAACAAGAGCAAAACTCCGTCTCAAAAAAAAAGAAAAAAAAGTTACAGCAATGATTGCAGTTCTACTATTTCTTATCCTAAGGTAAGGGGATGGACTACCTTGTCACCCTCTCGACTTCCTCATAAGCCCTCCAGTGACTGGCGTATCTGCCTGCAAGGCCTCTTCTCTCACAGTTTTTCCTCTCTCAGCAACATCTCCTGCCCACCTGGAGATCGAAGCATGAATTTCCAGACCCACCCCAAGAAGGATGTGTTTAGCACATAGTTTTCTCTCTGATTCAAGAGTTGTTTCTAGGTAAGTGACCACCCAAGGAGAAGCAACCGTCCTACCAGCTTGTCTGTCTTATCACGAACTTAAAATTAGGAGAATCATCAAACTCATAGAGGCAGAGAGTATAATGGCGGTTGCCAGGGTCTGGGGTGGGGGTGGAAATGGGGAGATGTTGGTCAAACTACAAAGTTTCAATTAGGACAAATACATTCCGAAGCTCGATTGTAGAACATGGTGACTATGGTTAATAATAATGTATAATTGAAAGTTGCCAAGAGAGAAGATATTATGCGTTCTCACCACAAAAAAGAATGGGCCAGGGCCAGGCACAGTGGCTCACACCTGTAATTCCAGCACTTTGGGAGGCCAAGGTGAGAGGATCACTTGAGCCCAGGAATTCAAGACCAGCCTGGTCAATAAAGTGAGACCTCATCTCTACCAAAAAAAAAAGAAAAGAAAAAGAAAAAAAAAAATAGCCAGGCATGGTGGTGCACGCCTGTGGTCCAGCTACACAGGAGGCCATGGCAGGAGGATTGCTTAAGCCCAGAAGGTCGAGGCTGTAGTGAGCCATAATTGTGCCACTGCACTCCAGCCTGGGCAAGAGAACAAGATCCTGTCTCAAAATAATAGTAATGAGGAGGAGGAGGAGAAAGAATGTGAAGTGATGGATATGTTAGGTTGGTGCAAAATTAATTGTGGTTTTTGACATTTTTAAAAGTAATACTAACACTTTTACCTATGTAACAAACTTGCACATCCTGTACATGTACCCTGGAACTTAAAATAAAAATTAAATACTATATACTATTTTAACAAATTTTAAAAAGTAGTGGCAAAACTACAATTACTTTTGCACCAATCTAATATCAATTAGCTTGATTTAATCATTTCACAATGTATACCTATATCAAAACATCACATATACCACAAATATACACAATTTTTACTTGTCAGTTATAACTTAATAAAGCTGAAAAACATTCACAGAAACAAAAGGAGCTGTTGTAGGAAGGTCAGGAGGCATCTGCAAGCACTTGACTGAATGAAATGTGACCAGCCTGCCCTTCCCTTTACCTAGCGCTCTGGAAGAGAACAGCTCCAAAGTCCTGGAGACAAGGGACTGGTCCTCTCAAATCTCTATGCTCCACAAAGCACTAAGAAAGGTCAATTGCTGTCCGTATATCTGGTTTGGAGCCTCTTTTCCCACCCCCAACCACATTCTAGATGAGAAAGCCAGGTGCTGACCCACCTGTTCCAGGGGAGCGCTGGGCAGGGTCCCTAGCAAGGTTCAGGTGGCTGCAGAGCTCCTTGAGGAGAGTATGTGTGGCTGTGCCCTGAACTAAGAAAAAGCCAGACTAATAGATTTCTTGCCAAGGAAATCTATGGGGATATTGTCCCTTCTCTACTACCTTGTGCCTAAGTGCAGACCATCACTCGGGCTACCAGAAGCCTGAAGATCCCCATGCAAGGCAATCTCAGAAGCATGAGGCATGTGTTGTCCTAGTGTTTGCAGTGGCAGAGAGGGGTGGAAATAAGGCTTGAAAGCCACCTTATGAAGTCTGTTTTCTACTTTAAAGTACTTTAGCCCAGACAGTGACATTACATATGTGGTGTGTTCGTTTTAAGCTATACTTGAAGGATGATCTTTCACGTATAATCAGAAATACATTTTTCAGGGGTGAACAGCAGGCTGAATAAATAGTATTTATTCAGAAAGCTACTGCAAGTGCTTCAGCCTTCTTTTACCTCCCAAAGCACCTGGGAGTTTTGTCATCAACATAAGGGATGCTAGAAAACTATTTTCTCAAGGAAAATGGTGGCTTCTTAATTAGCATAAAGAATGTTAGAAAGGTGACA
This sequence comes from Homo sapiens, assembly GCF_000001405.40. Taxonomy (NCBI): domain Eukaryota; kingdom Metazoa; phylum Chordata; class Mammalia; order Primates; family Hominidae; genus Homo; species Homo sapiens. Next base: position 46,191,126 of record NC_000002.12, read on the forward strand.
TTAGTGGTGTCTGAGATAAGTAGACTGGAAAAGATATCTCAAGATCAATCTCCACATTTCAAAACACAGGGTATACAAACCTAGAGGACTTCAACTTTTCTAGTAATTGGAAAAATGCACATTTAAATCGAACTGTGATACCACTTTACCTCCACCCAAATGACTAACTGAAAAAGGCAGACATAAGATGTGGAACAATTGGAACGTTCAGTGTTTCTAGTCTGAGTAGAAAATGGTACAAGTACTTTGAAAAACATCGTCAATATCTGTGAAAGCCAAATTGTATACCTTTGACCCAGGAGAAAAATCTATCCACTATGGAAAGGAAAAATGAATTGTGAAATATTCCCACAATGGAACACTATGTAACCATAAGAATGAGTGATTTAGAGCTACACACAACAACACAGAGGACTCTCTTAACATAATGTTGAGGAAAAGAAGCCAAGCCGAAGAGTACACACTGTGATTCTATGGATATGAAACACAATCTATGCTCTTGGAAATCAGGCTAGTGGTTAGCCTTATGGGGAGGCGAGGTCGTGACTAGGAGGGGGCACAAAAGGGCTTCTGGGGGGTACTAGTTTTGTTTTCAGAATGAAGAGCCGGCAAACAGATGGGTTCACATTGTGACGGTACATTGAGCTGTATCCTTAAGATCTATGCACTTCTCTGTAGGTGTGTTATACTTAAATTAAAAGAACCCCAACCAAACACCGCATATTCTCACTCATAGGTGGGAATTGAACAATGAGAACACATGGACACAGGAAGGGGAACATCACACTCTGGGGACTGTTGTGGGGTGGGGGGAGGGGGGAGGGATAGCATTAGGAGATATACCTAATGCTACATGACGAGTTAATGGGTGCAGCACACCAGCATGGCACATGTATACATATGTAACTAACCTGCACATTGTGCACATGTACCCTAAAACTTAAAGTATAATAATAATAAAATAAAAAATAAAAATAAAAATAAAAAATAAAAAGAACCCCATGGCCGGGCGCGGTGGCTGGTGCCTGTAATTCCAGCACTTTGGGAGGCCAAGGTGGGCAGATCATAAGCCCAAGAGATCCAGACCATCCCAACATGGTGAAACCCTGTCTCTACTAAAAATACAAAAATTAGCTGGGTGTGGTGGCACATGCCTGTAATGCCAGCTACTCGGGAGGCTGAGGCAGGAGAATCGCTTGAACCCAGGAGGTGGAGGTTACAGTGAGCCGAGATCGCGCCACTGCACTCCAGCCTGGTGGCAGAGCAAGACTCCGTCTCAAAAACATAAAAAAGAAAATAAGTAAATAACCCCCTGCCGGGTGCAGTGGCTCACACCTGTGATCCCAGCACTTTGAGAGGCCAATGTGGGCAGATAGCTTGCACCCAGGAATTCAAGACAAGCCTGGGCAACACGGCAAACCTTGTCTCTACAAAAAATTAGCCAGTCATAGTGGTGACACCTGTAGCCCCAGCTACTTGGAATACTGAGGTAATCACCTGAGCCCAGAGATTGAGGCCACAGTGAGCTGTGATGGCACCACTGCACTCTAGCCTGGGTGGCAAAATGAGACCCTGTCTCAAAAAAAAAAAAAGAAAAGAAAATACCCCAAATCTGGAAAGACCTTTGCCTATTGCCCTTGGAGACAGCAACCTAGGCTGAACCCCTAAATGGCCTGTGTTTCCTGCTGCCTTGTAGGTGTCCTGGTTGTCTTAACTCCCACAGACAGCCTGATGCTATGGGGGAACAGGGTCACATTTGCCACAGGAAATCTTTCCTGGGAGGCACTATCAAAAACACCCAAAAGGACAGGGACCTGGGACTTGATGGAGCTTTCAGAGTATCCACAAGCCTCTCTGCCTACTTGCTAGTAAATTGTCTGTATTGGTCTCGGAGGGTGGGCTGAGAACTTGTTATGGAGTAACTACATCTCCCCTTCCTGCAGATGTAGGAATCTACCAAAAAGAATGCAAGGATGTGCACCAAAAATTGGCTTAGGGAGCTTGCTCACCTTTGGTAGGTAACTGTACCTTTCTAAACCTGTATCTATATTTATAAAATGGTGGTAATGAGACCTACAGCCTCAAGACCTGTTGTGAAACACCAGTGAGATCAAAAGTTCCAAGGCACAGTTTCTGGTTCTATTGCCATCATTTCTCCTCCCTGAGGCACTCACACCCCCACTTCTTGATCAGAGTGCAGGCTCCACCATGGGAAAGACTGGCTTGGTGTAACGAGGGCAGCCTTTCTTTTCTGTTTTCTCGTCTTTCAGATGTCCTGCTCCTCAGCATTCCTGGGGGCTCCTGACACAACCCACCCCCCCCAATGAGGGATCCTCACTGCAGACAGAAAGGAGCATAAGTCTCCAAGGCAAGGTTCTGGCCCTCAGGGAACTGACAACCAGCATGAAACAAAACAGGCCCCATACAGGAGAGCAGCAGAAGGCAGGCAAGAGAGACAAGAAAGCCCTGCAGACGATACCAGGGAAATCCAGAGAAGGGGGTAGGTTTGCCTTATCGAGGCAGGTTTCCTGGATGAGGCAGTGCTGAGAGGGCACTGAAGGGGGAGGAAGATGTGGGCAGACAAAGAGCAGGGAAGGGCCTTGCAGGGAAGGGCCACTCAGCTTTGCATGGCATGGAAGGGCTGGGAGCTTGGGGGGCTTGGGTTCCAGGACAGTCCTGAAGCAGTCTTCTTCATTTCTCAACATGAGTGTCAAGTCATGGGAATTGTTTATAAAGTGGTTTGATGGTTTTTGTAGGGGGCACAATCTTTGAGAGCTCAACCCACCCCTTCAATAAAGACACCCTTGTCTCTGTGTATGATGGCAGAGTTCATGTTTTACTGCTTACTTTCCCCAGTTGGATCAGGTCAGTGCTGCCGGAGGGTTGAGATCAGACCAAGCTCAGCTTTGGAACCCCCGTGCAAGGTGAACAATTATACGTGCCACTGCCTCTCAGGCCTTATGTACATTGGAGCAGGAGGCCACCCATTGGCTGCTTTGGGAGGCTCTGAAAAGGCTGACTTCCAGGAAACCAAATGCAGAATCCACCATTCATGCTTCCTTCTTTAGGTTATTAATAACTTAAATAATCTTCTTTGTTTCAGACATTATACTAAGTATGTCACATAAATTAGCTTATTTAAACCTCACCAAAATCACATGAAGTAGATACTCTAATTATCCCCCATTTTATAGTTGAGGAAATTGCGTCTCAGAAATTATATCGCTTATTTAATCCTTACAACTTCATAAAGCTGTTGTTATTTGTATGTCAGTTCTACAGTTAAGGAAACTGAACATTGCTCAGTTCACAGACCTAGTGACAGGCCAGATCTGGCTGAACCCCAGAGACCATACAAAAAGTACTTGCACACAGGATAGATGATACACAGAACTAACTATTCATGCACTCATTCATTCATTCACTTATTCCACAAATTTTCGTGGAGTTCCCACTAAATTTAAGCCATCTATCTAGACATCAGTGAACAAAGACGAAAATCCTTGCCCTTACACAAGGCAAGGATGTTGGCAGATAATAAGAAACTGTAAACACGACCACTAAGTAAATTACATAATGTGTTAGAAGGTCCAGGCTGCCCCTGACATTTAAGGAGTAGTATAAATGGACCAAAAGGCTAAATATTTTTAAAGTTATAAAGCAGGGTATTGTTAAGTAAAATACATCCTAGCTTTGTCCCTTGACAAATACATTTTCTTAACAACCTGAAAGGCCAGGTTTGAATTTGGAATAGGGCTCCTTGGAGTCCTGGCTCCCAGGAACACGGCTGCCTGGGGAAAGCTGGCCCTGCTTGTGGGCTGCTCCTTCTCTTCCCACTCCAAGCTGTGTCTCACACCAGTAGGACACCCCAGTCATCATGTCCAGATTCCATCCACACTCCTTGGCCAAGGGTGCACGTGCTGGGGGTTGGGTCACCCTGGGAGGATGGGCCCAAGGACAAAGTCTGTGCAGACTCTGACAGCAAACTCTGGACCATGAGTTTGCTCATGGCAGGGAATTCTACATCCTAGGTACCCAGAGGTAGTCTAGCAGCAGGGCTGCTGGCTGCAGCTGCTGGCTCCTTGGCCCTTGGAAAGGGGGAGCAGCTAGGGAAGGGATCCCTCTAAATTGCAGGGCCTGGGCAGAGCCCCTCCTGCCTGGATCTAGGACTGTCCTGAGAAGGTGGCATATGCTATGGAGAAAAGAAAGAAAACGCCGAAGAGATCACAACGTGGGATGAAGTCGTTGTGATTTTCCCTAGGGCTGAACTATATTTATATGTAATTAAAAGAATGAATGAATGAATAAACCAATGTACAGTCATTCAGGGCTCCCAGAAGCATCCCAGAGAGAAGACTGTTAGGATGAGGGGTGGGAACCGGCCTGCTGAGATTCACTCAGCCTTCCTCTTCCTGCTGGGACCAAATCAAATAAATAGACCCTCCCAAGGACCCTTCTTTGGCATTTGATCCCATCTGGGTGGTGGTTTTTCCTGGAGCAGAACAATGTTGTGATCATAGAATTATCGGCCACCCTCAGCTCTGAGTTCCCAGGGCTCCAGCAGAGCATGGTTTTCTGAGAGCACTTCCCCCAGGAATACATTCACCCAGGGACAGCAGGCCTGGCTCTGCCTTCACCCCAGATCTTTACGTGTGCATGCATAGAGACATTTTCACATTATTTCCGGATTTCCTAAATCTACCTCACTCCTACTTTATTGTCCTGAGAAAGGCAGGAAGGCGAGGAGGAGAGAACAAGGAGAGACTCAGGTAGGAGGAGAAAGTCTACAAGGGCAGAGTCCGAGGCAGGCTCAGCTGTGTCCAGCTGTTCCCTGCTCAGATGAGAGCGGGCCTCAGGCGGCCTCTGTTCTGGGCGGTTGTCAAGTCACTCGGTGCCTCCAGCAATTCAGCTGCTCCAAAGAGGCACCACTCCAAAGGGAAAGGTGAGGGCCCATCTTAATGGACGCTGTCCACCCAGAGGCAAGGGTGGTGACACAAAAGACAGCAGGCCAAGGGCCAGATGGAATCTGAGCAAGGCTGGGCTGGCGGGCCCTCCCCGCCCTCCCCTCCAGCCTTCCCGTCTAGGCCAGCTCCTCCGCACCTGGACCCACCATGGGGATGGGAGCTGTGGGCCTCATCTGGCCAACACCTTCTTAAAAATTGTGGTCCGTGTTAATGACCTTCGTAAATGGCCTTACTTTCTACCCACTCTCTCCCACCTGTGCAGGGGGCTATTAATCTGCACTCTATGTTGATGCTGGGGGTTGGGGGTCCTAGGTGATCCCTGGCCGGGGCAGAGGAACTGACAGAGTCTAGCATGGTGGGGATAATGGGGACCAAAGTCAAGGCATGTGGGGCCAATCAGGAAATTCCATCCTCTCCCGATCCTCTTTGCACTCACCACCCAAAGAGGCAATACAGGAGAGCCAGAGCTGGGCAAGTGAGGGGCTGGGGACCAGCATGTGCCTGTAGGGTCGTAGAGAAGGCAGGAGCAAGGGCTTGGGGAGGGGCAGCAGCACCAGCCTAGGGCCTTCACTTTGGCGGAAGTGGAGCTGATTGCCTTGTTTGGGGAACAGATGTGCCTCTGGACCCTTCTCCCCCTGCACTCAGTTGGAAGGAAGGAGACTGGCTTCCACTGGTGCCTGGGAGGGGCTTATTTGGACCCCATTCTAGAAATGAAGGCTCTGAGGTTCAGAGAGGCCAGGAATTTGTCCAAGCAACATACCCAGCCTCAGGGACAGATGAGCAGTCAAGCCTGTGATTTGAATCTGGGTCTGGGTGGCGCCAAAGACCCGGCTCTTTCAACATGCTTCTGGTCACCATGCCAACATAGGTCCTGCATACTTTTTGCTTTTCCTCTCCAGAGAACTTTCACCTCCATGTGAAATACACACAATTGTTTGAGGTATGATTATGCTGGTGTTGCTCCCTCTAAGGGCTCTGGATGTGAACACAAAGGCACAGCCAGGAAACAGGCTGAGGTGTCCAGGGGTTCTTGCTCTCCTTTCCCACTCGTCTCTGTGGGCCACCTCCTACCAGAGCCCTGAGAGCTTGTCCTCAAGTCCAACAAAGCCTCTGCCCCAAGACACCCTGCCCACCATCAAAAAAAGAAACCATCCTTATGGACTGTTCTAAGCCGGAAGCTGAGTTTTCAGTTCACTGGAAAACAGGAAATGCCTCCAAGGGCCTGAAGTCTTTTTAGTGGCTGTGCCCTTCATGCAAGGGCTGTCTCCCAGGCCAGCTGCTGAGGACAGCCCTAGAACCAGGGCTATGACAACTCCAGCCCGGAGAGCCAGTTCCTTGGTGCCACACCTGAGCCCCCTCTACCCCTGGAGAAGGAGCTGACCCCTCCATCCTCTGCTCAGGACAGTGGACCTTTTGTACTAAGGCAAGAAGGCTTGGGATGTCAGGGATGCTGCGCGACGCACCAGAGAGGTTGATTAGCATTGCAAGAAACAAACAGTGGCCATGGACTGACACCACCCCAACCTAAGGCTGGCCTCTTACTCCAGCCAGATTGACTTCTAAACCCCATCAGAGACAGGCTGAGCCTCAACAATGACTGACTTCCCCATCCTAGCTACAGGCCGACCCTCTAACCTTGACCTTGTCAGAAACCAACTTTTAATCACAGGAACCTAACCCTGGCCACAGACCAAACCTAAAAATTTGTCAGCCTCCTCATTCATTCTCAATCATTGATTGAGCTGCTACTGAGCCCAGCACCACCCACGCAGCCCCTGCAGCCTCGGGTGGGGGTGGCAGGCCCCTCATATGAAGCTCTAATCTGAGGCTGGTTGTGAGTGGGGATGGGGGAGGAGAGCAGAAGTTTTGTTTGAGACCTGATCTTATCTCTGTCTTGCTACGTGACCTTGGGCTGGTCACATCATCTCCTGGGCTGGGCTCTCCATTTGTTCTTCCACAGTGGGGTGACAGGCCTAGATGGTCTCCATGTCCCTATCCTCATGGCACCATGTCAGTAGGGGAAAGCCAGGAGTGATCTAGAATGGAGGTATCATGGTCAGGATTGATGTTACTCTTGGAAGTAGGAAGATATAAGAGATCAGGAACTTCTGCTTTTGCATAGTAATTAATAGGGGTTAAAGGAATTCCTCCATTTGAATGTTGTTTTCCTGGTTCTGCCACAGCCTCTGGAACCCTGACTGGATGCCATTGATTCTCCTTCCTGCCTCAGCTTTTCCATCTGTAAAAAGAGGTGTGACATCAGCAGTTCAGGAATTTGGAAGGATGGACAGATGGGCCTGTGTGAACATGAACATCTGCAAATTCAGACAGAAGACTTCAACTGGAAGACAAAGTCAGATTCTGACTATGTATGTTGCTCATCCCAAAGACAGGAGCAATAGGATAATTTGCAGTGACGGCCCTCCAAGGCCCAGTGCATGAGTTGTAGGGTTGCAGTTTAATTCCCCAGACAGCACCAGGATGGGGGTGGGCAGGGTGTGGGTTGGCTGAGGAGGGGACAGACTCTACCTGGAACCTCCCATGATCTGCCATCATGTCCCCGAGTAGCTGCACACTGCCTGAAATTCCACTCTCAGGGAGCAGCAATGCGATGTGCAGGCACCGTCCTGACCTGGGACTGGAAATGCACCCTATCACCTGTTAGTGCTCACCTGCACAGGGCCTCATCCCTATACCAGTCCTCTTCCTCCTCTCAGCTGAGAGCAGGACAGTGAAAGAAGAGGCAGATACGGACTTGATAAAATCCATAAGAGCAGTTGAAGAGGGATAGTTCTAGAGTAGCAGTTCTCAAAGTGAGGTCTGGGAACTCCTGGGCATCCCTAAGACCCTCTCATGAATATATTAGTTGTCCAATGCTGTGGAAGAAATTACTCAAAAGCACAGCAGCTTAAAACAACGAATATTTATCTGCAAGTATCTCACAGGCAGTCAGGAATCTGGGCAGGCTTAACGGATGCCTCAAGGTCCCTCACAGGCTACATTCAAGAGTTCAGCTGAGGCTGCAGTCTCATCTGAAGGATCTACTAGGGGAAGATGTCCTTCCAAACGCATTGCCGTGGTTGTTGGCAGGATTCAGTTCCTCGCTGGATATGGGCCAGAGGTCTCCTTCAGTTCCAAAAAGCCAGTCTTATTGTAATGTAATCGTCAAAGTGATATCTCACCACTTTTGCCATATGTATTCCTTAGAACCAAATCACTAGGTCCAGCCCACATAGGAGGGGAGGGGTTTACACAAGGATATGAATGTTGGGGGGCAGGATCACTGGGAGACATCTTAGAGGCTGCCTAACACAGGATCCATGAGGTCCTCGCTTTTCCAACTGCATATCTCTGTGATGCTGGCTTTTCGTCATATGCTTTGACCAAAGCATATCTTAAAGTATTTAATGCAAAAGCAGATATAAGAATCCAGCTGCCTTCTACTCAGCTGCACATTAAAGAGATTTATAAAAATATAAAACAATGCCGCTATGTTGATAGACACAGCTCAATAAATACAAGCTCTTCGGGGCCCTCATAATTTTTAAAAGTATAAGGTGGTCCTGAGGCCAGTTGTGGTGGCTCACGCCTGTAATCCCAGCACTTTGGGAGACCAAGGCAGGCGGATCACCTGAGGCCAGGAGTTCGAGACCAGCCTGGTCAACACGGTGAAACCCCCATGTCTACTAAAAATACAAAAATTAGCCAGTGTGGCGGCGGGTGCCTGTAATCCCAGCTACTAGGGAGGCTGAGGCAGGAGAATTGCTTGAACCCGGGAGGCAGAGGTTGCAGTGAGCCGAGATAGTTCCACTGCACTCTAGCATGGGTGACAGAGCAAGACTGTCTCAAAAAACAAACAAACAAAGGGGTCCTGAGATCAAAAAGCTTGAGGACTACATGTCCAGAAAAATAGAGCTAAGATACTGCCCAAGGAGGGCTGCCCTGCGTGGGCATGGGGGACAAACCTGTAAGAAGTCTTCCAGCAGCCAGACATTACCAGAGGGACGGGGGTCAAATACAGCAAGGTACAGCAAGGGAGAGGAAGGGCCTAGATTCCAGCTTTTGCTTTCTTTACACTTTTACACACTGTCTCTATGTTTATCTTTTATACATTTGTGTGCATAGAGGTTCACTGTGCACACACATTTCTTGGCATGAGCACATGTGCATGTACACACATGGGTGTATCTGGGCACCTGTCATGGTTGTCATGCGTGTGCATACATGTGTGTACATATGCCTGTTTAAGCACAGTGTGCCTGGAGCCCCTGAGAATGAGCAGGTCCTGACCAGCAGGTCCAGGGGCATCCTGTGAAAGGAAGGGGCAGCAGAGGGTTGGGTGTCATGGGCCACTACCACCTGCACAGCTGTGTATCCCTGAAATCCCCCAGCCCTCAGCCCTCTGCTCTCAGCATGACTCTCAAATATTTTCATCTTCTATGGGAACTTCCTGTCCAACTTCCTGTTGTTCTTGGACTTTTCTTTTTTAGTTTTTTTTTTTTAAAGGTTGTAATTCTTTAATCTGCCTTTTTATTTTGCCCAGAGAGGCACTGTGGTCTCCAGCCACCTCTGAGGAAGGGAGAAAAAAATCTTGCCAGAGCAGGCCAGGTCCTTGGCTGGAGTTAAAGGCTCCCAGGAATTGACCACAGGGACTGAACTCCTTTTTCCATCAAGATAAACGAAATAGTTTAAAAACCCCAATTTGTCTCGTAGAAGATATTCAAGAGCTTCTGCCTGCTGTGCCCCAGAGTGAGGGGTAGTGGGAGAGAAAGAGGCCTCAGGACAGGTTTCTTGGGGGCTCAGAAAGGGCTGCCCTGAGATTTACGGGGCTCAGAAAGGGCTGCCCTGAGATTTACAGGGCACAGGGTCCCATCAGTTCTGCCCCTCCATTCTCCTTTCCTTCAGAACCTGCCAAAGGGAGACCAGCTAACAAAGAATCCAGAAGCACCTGCCAGCCAGAGCCCAGCCTCAGCTCAGCCCAACCAAGTCTCCAGCCTCATCCCCCTGATCAGTGCCCTCCCCACAAATGGCAGTTCCTTCGCAAAGTCTGGTGCCTGTTCCCTTGCTGTCCTTCTATGCCCTTCATTTTCTATCCAGCCTCTACTTCATCAGATTATTCTTTCCAGCTGTCATCAAATGGCCTCTGGGAAGCCTTCCCTGGCTCTCCCAGGCCAAGGAAAGTGCTTCATCCATAATGCTTCCTTGCCAGGCCCTCCCCAGGGCTCCATCAGCACTGGCGTACCTCCCTGGTATCCCTCAGCACTGCTCCTACTGCCGCCCCTGTAGCTGGTCCTGTGGTTGAGCCATCCTTGTCTTCGTATTCTGGACCCTCTCTGTGTCCCAGCAGACCCCAGATGCCTGCAGGCCTGCCGCAAGCCTACTTCTCCCAAGGTGAGCCGGGGTTCTGAACACCATCCCCTTTTCTCCTCACTTCCTTCTAGCTGCTTTCAAAGGGCAGCTCCCCCACTTTTCTCAACTAGTCTCCCCTGCCCAGGCTGGGACCTAGCACAATTAGTCCTGAATAAGTATTTGTTACTTGTGTTGTTTCATCTCCAGCAGTGCATTGCTTTGAAAAACTCACCCTGTTCAACTGTTAATAGGTGATGTGTCTTTCCCTCATCAAGCCTTCCCTCCTTCCCCAGCTGAGAGGTGTTTGCATTTTAGCTAGAGACAAACCTTAACCGAAAGAAACAAATGAATCTGCAACAGTGAGATTTTAGGGCACCCTGAAGAAGGTGGGGGTGGAGGGGAGCGCCCCTCAGGCCTTGAACAGTCTCTTTCACCCTTGCTTAGGGCTGGGCTCTTCCCAGCTGCAAGATGCCAAAGCTAGACCACTCCACTTCTCTGGGCCTGCCCAGAAGGCAAACCAGTCTCCTCTAGCAGGAACTTCCGTAAATATGTTCAAGTGAAAATGCGACTCTTGGGCTCCATCCTTTAACTCCTGAAGTCGGAATTGGAGGGTGGAGGGTTTCAAAGGTGACCTCATGTGTAGCTGGGGCTGTTGAACTCTGTCCTCACAGTGTCCTCAGTTTCTAGCTGAGTGACTGCCATGGTAGGTACCCCATAAATGTTTGAAGAACTGAATGAGAGGCAGGGAAATAGAGTGCAAGCAGTCAGGGTCTAAGGGATCTGCCATGTTCTATGGGATCTGGGGCGCATTCTGTGCACTGCTGAAGTAGAGACATTCTCCCCTGCCTTGCAGGGTTGCTGGAGGGGCCCCTCAAAGGCCAGGACGTACAGTTGTGCCCAAGGAGGGTGTGTACAGAGAAACTGCTCAGCCCTGTCTTCTGGAACTAAGGAAAACCAGCAGGAGCCATATCCTGGGGCTTTCCCTCCCCAGCCTTGGCCGGAGGGGCTCCTTGGAATCAATGTTTATGGTACTGGGATTGTTCCTTGGGCCAAGCTCAAGCAAGTAGCATTCCTGGAATCTGTTGTTTATTAGCAGGGATGAGAGGACAGGACACCACTTGCTGGTTAAACCATCTCTAGACCTTATCTCTGCCCAGCACCTTTAAACACAAACTTTGCCCTGGGGCTGCAGCCCTCTGAAGCCACCGGAGCTAAATGAGGTGCATTTGGGTTTTGAGCCTGTTGATTCACACTTATCTCCAGAGAGTTCTCCTTCCTCCCCTAAAGCTCCCTCTAGAAACTTCCCTCAGGACCCAAGAGGGAACCTCTGCCAAACCAGCTCAACCTCCACCATCTAATTCCACTGGTATGGATAAAGCTCACATCATCCCAGGCCTCAAAACTCACAAGACAAGGAGTTCAGATGGTAGTTTAAAATGTTTCCCTTCTCCTAGCCCTGCCCAAGAGACTAATTCCCTGTTACTTCAGCCTTCACCAGAAGCCCAGAGTCCTCCAGGGTCTTACTGCTCTGATCCATCCAGGCCTAGTTTTATCTAACCCCCTACCTATTCCCTCCTTGTCAAACCCTCCACTGGCCTCTGTCATGGACTATTACTCTTAGCTCACTGTTTCTCTCTCCTGACTTCATTCTATGAGGCTTTAACATCCACGTGGCCACCCCACCCAATACCTCGATCTCCCCGTTCCCTGCCCATCTTGCCTCTAACTTTTCTTCTACCCCAACTCAGCCACTTCCCTGCCCCCATGGTCGCCCCACTCCTATTCAACACCAGTGACTCCAGCACCTCTGAAACTCAACCACAAACATCCCATCTTCTCACCACAACCTTCTAGCTTTCTAGGCAAAAGTGCATCGACTTTTGCATCCCATCAATGTGTTTTCAACTTCATTGAGACTTCTAATCCATTGATCCCATCACTTTTTCACTATCATCTTTCTTTTATCTTCAATTCTCTTTGTACAGCTTAAATTCTATAATTACTACCTTTCAAACACTCTCAGCTTCCTTGGGATTTATTGTTTCTTCTCTGGTAAAATCCTAAACTGGGTAAAACCCAACAATTTCACCATGCCTATCCCTGAGCAACTACATATTGGTTGAGAAAATCACAAACTCTTTTTTTTTTTTTTTTTTTTTTTTTGAGATAGAGTCTGCCTCTGTTGCCCAGGCTGGAGTGCAGTGGCATGATCTCGGCTCACTGCAACCTCCGCCTCCTGGGTTCAAGCAATTCTTCTGCCTCAGCCTCTCGAGTAGCTGGGACTACAGGCACGTGCCACCATACTCGGCTAATGTTTGTATTTTTAGTACAGACAGGTTTCACCTTGTTGGTCAGGCTTATCTTGAATTCCTGGCCTCGTGATCCACTCACCTTGGCCTCCCGAAGTCCTGGGATTACAGGCGTGAGCCACCACGCCCAGCCGAAAGTCATAAACTCTTATAGGTTTCCTCTTCCATTCATGATCACCAAACACAGTGGACATTTAACTTTTTCTCACAATCCTTGGATGGTTCCCGAATAAGTTTGCTCTCCCACTCTACAAGATGCTTAGTCAATACCTTCCCTTCTTACCAAACCTCTGACAGCTTCCCACCCATGTTCAGCTGATAACATTGCCTCATGCTTAATGGGGAAAATTAATGTCATCAAAGAATTCTTCATCTTCCTACCTCCCAACCTACCCTGGGAAGGACACAACCAGGACAATTTGAATAGAAACCATTATTATGGACATTCTTGATTTGATCCTGGTTTTAATGGAAAATCTCTCATACTTCAATATTAACCATAATGATTGCTATAGGTTTTAGAAAGATGTCTCTTTTCATGTTACCTTCTAGTACCAGTTGGATATGAGGTCTGTTTTGTTTAACATGAGTGAGTGTTCAATTTTATTAAGTACATTTTCTATATTGATTGATATAACTACATGGTTACAGAGATCCACAGACAATGGAGTGAGAAGTGTTGTAAGTTACTGAGATTTGGCATTATTTGTTACATGACATGAGTGAAGCAAAACCTAACTAATACATTTTGTAAAATAAATTGGATTTTTTTTCTTTTTATATTCTCCGAAATAATTTGTATATTTTTCTATTCTCTGAAATGAAGCTTTTGTGTAAAACCATCTGTGCCTGGTGTCTTTTGGGAGAAGGCTTTTGGTTACCAATTCACCTTCTTTCAGTCTCATTTTTTTTTTTTTTTTAATTTGCTTTATGACTCAATCCTTATCATTTATATTGTTCTAGGAATATATTCATTTCATTCCAGTTTTCAAATGGTTTCACATTATCTTTATTTTTATATAAGTGAGGCATTCACAAGGCCCACAAATCAAAAGGTATAAAGAGCTTCTCACTATATAACTCTTTATATCTTTTGATTTGTGGGCCTTGTGTTATCAATGGAACTGTTATCAGTTCCATTTGATAACAATGGACTAGGTAACTCCTACCTACCCTGCTGCTGAGAATAAAGAAGATACAATATTTTTAAAAATCATAGATGTATCAAAAAACTTGCCGCAGGCTGAGAAATCTTTGGGAGACAAGGGAAACCTGGAGAGTTAAGCCTAGTGATTCCAAACTATGCTTGGCCCTGAGATAATTTACCTGGGTAAACAGCTGTGAAGCAGATCCTAACTCCTAGTTGGTTGCCTTGTATAATTCACCGTATTAATAATTATAAGCCAAAACCCATATAATAGTTTCAATCGATTCAGAAACATATTTGTTAAAAATAACGATTTATGATAAAGACACTTTAAAAATGAGGCAGACAAGAGGCTCATAGAACACTGCAAAAATGCAGATTTTTCTGGAGCTCTTAGTGGGCAAGGACATCATTCCTCCCCACTTCACCCAAAGATCAGCTACACTATGAAGAATATCAAAGTCAAAATTCAAAAAGAGGAAGGAAAGCAATCCTTCTAACCAACAGCTTCTGATTTTTGCTAGCAAGCTGCTCAGGGATGAACTTACTCTTCACACTGAAAATATCTAAAGAGAATTTATCTACCATGTATCTGGTGCTGTGTTTTGGGGGCATTATCACTGGGTCTTCCTCTGCCAGTCTATCCAGAGATATCACTGCAACAATTATCTATTGAAAATATTACACCTAGCTGAATACCTTGCTTCAACACAGAAAAAAAGTGCAGTCATGCCAACAATTTATCCCCAAAGAAAGTCAAATAAAGGCCTTTTCCTCATTTGCCTGACAAAGGTGATCTCGTTTCTGAGCTTCGTAAGACTGAGGTCTCAATAAAGCTCCCCTTTGGTTGACAGTAGTGATTAAACAACAAGAAGAACTATAACCTCTTAGCAAATTAGGAAAAGAAGAGAATTCCCTAAATTTGGCAGCACATTTTACATTCGATAAGTAAAATGTTGAAAGTTCTCCCTTTGAAATTGTGAGGAAGACAGATACCTGCTGCCACTATGTAATCATTTCCTCTATTCAGCATTGTACCAGGATGTCCTAGCTTGTGTAACAAGGTAAAATAACTAACGAAACTAATACCGAGAAAAAAGGAACACTTGTAAAAGTAGGAAAACAAGAAACAAAAGTCATTTCCAAAACAGATAATTGTCTGTGAAGTAAGTCCAAAAGAATCTACAGCTAAATAATTTGAATTAGTATGAAAATTTTACAAAATATCTCTGTACACATTCATTGTGCAAAACCAAACCGTATTTCTATATATCAGCAATAAACAGGTAGAAAATCAAATTTCTAAAAAATACTATTTTACAATAACACCAAAAAACATGAACCAACTAGGAATACACAACAAGTTGCATACAATACCAAGAAAACTACAGAATATTAAGAAACATTAAAGAATACTTTAAACAATGGAGAAACCTACTATGGTCAAAGATTAGAAAATTTAATTTTTACAATGTTGCTGTAGAGAAATCTGAGCCTACTTAGGTTTTTTCTCCCTTATAAGTGATTGAGTCTTTTTTCATGGCTGGCCAGAAAGATCTTCTTTCTCTTGGTTCTCTTGAGGTTTATGTGATATGGTTTGGCTCTGTGTCCCCACCTAAATGTCCTGTCACATTATAATCCCCACATGTCAGGGGAAGGACCTGGTGGGAGGCAATTGGATCATGGGGGTGGATGTCCCCCTTGCTGTTCTTGGGATAGTGAATGAATTCTCATGATATCTGATGGTTTAAAATGTGTGGCACTGGGAGGCTGAGGCAGGAGAATGGCGTGAACCCGGGAAGCGGAGCTTGCAGTGAGCCGAGATTGCGCCACTGCAGTCCGCAGTCCCACCTGGGCGACAGAGCGAGACTCCGTCTCAAAAAAAAAAAAAAAAAAAAAAAAAAAAAAAAAAAAATGTGTGGCACTTCCTCCTTCACCCCAGTTCTCTCTCTCCTGCCACCATGTGAAGAAGGTCCTTGTTTCCCCTTTGCTTTACTCCATGATTGTAAGTTTCCTGATGTCTCCCAGTTATGCTTCCTATTAAGTCTACAGAACTGTGAGTCAATTAAACCTCTTTTCTTCAAAAACTACCAGTCTCAGGTAGTTTTTTGTAGCAGTGTGAGAATGGACTAATACACTTTGTCTTCATATTGACCACTCTGTCAGTTTGCTATGGCATATGGTGTGCCCTTTCATTATGTAGACTCAAGCTGCCGTTGATTGCAAGGTTTCAAAATTTTCCTGAATTCTGCATTCTAACTTAAGATCATCTAAATTTCTGTTCTACTCCATTTTTCTCTTTTTAATAAACAATGACTCCAATTACACATATGTTAATTTCCTTCTCCTGTCTTCTATATATCTGCCCCTCTCATCCTTTGAAAACCTTTATTTCTGTCTCACTGTGGTCACAGTTTCAAAAATTTCTGACAACCATGTAACTCACTTATTTTCTGCCGTGCCTAGTTTGTCTCATTCCCCTTTTAATTTCCTCTTTGTTTCCAGGATAGTTTTTCTCTCTTTCCTGAGTGCGACTAGCTCCTGTTTTATCCTCTCTATCATTTTACCATCAACTCTTGATTTCTTATCTCTTTCCTGAATTCTTATGTTTTTTTCTTTGTGGTTTTTTTTCACAGAAACTATTGCTTTGTTAGGTTTTAATTTTTAAATTATAATAATGTGTTTTCATAGGATTTTTGTCTCTCCCTTGGCAGTATTTTTCTGATGAGTGTTCTGCATCTCATCTAGTAAATATTGCTGCCCTTTCCCAAATGATTTGTACTTTCCTGGCCCAGCTATTTCTAAGAGACTGTTTCATGGAGTTATTTTTGCTGATATTTTTCACAATCTGCTACCCTGAGGCTATATTACCATTCTCTGCATTTTCCTGTGCCTCATACCCTATCCACCCCTGCCCGTGATTTCTGTCTCATATCTGCCCTGTCCTTCTTGGATCTTGAAACATGTATTTAAAGATACACGATCATCACTACGGGGTGGGGTTCTTATCCACACGAGTAAGTTTTTAACAGAGTTCTCTCAGGCCTGCTGCACCTGGGCTGTCTGGATATTGTCAACAGCCTATGGTACACTCTTCCAGGTGTTCAGAACTTTGGGGTTTTAGAATGTGGATAAGGATTATGAATCTTTATTTCTTTTTTTATGTCTACCTGTAACTGATTTTTGCCTATGTGTGTTCTATGTTACTAAAAGTCATTTTTTATTTTGTTTCTTGAATATCCTAAACTACTAATTTTTAAAACCATTTTAACTTTCATTTTAGATTCAGAGGGTTCATGTACAGGTTTGTTACATGGGTATATGGTGTGTAGCTAAAGTTTTGAGTACAATTGATCCATCACCCAGGTACTAAGCAAAGTACCCCAAAATTAGTTTTTCAACCCTTGTCCCCCTCCCACCCTCCCACCTCTAGTAGTCCACAGTGTCTATTGGTGTCAACTGTATGTTCATTTAGTACCCAATGTTTAGCTCCCATTTATAAGTGAAAACATGTGGTATTTGGTTTTCTGTTTCTGTTATTATTTCACTTAGGATAATGGCCTCTGGCTGCATCCTTGTTGCTGCAAAGAACATGATTTTGTTCTTTTTTATGGCTGTGTAATATTCTGTCGTATATGACATTTTATTTAACCAATCTACTGTTGATGGGCAGTTAGGTTGTTTCTATGTCTTTGCTATTGTGTCTAATGCTGTAATTAACGTATAAGTACATGTGTCTTTTTGGTAGAACGATTTATCTTCTTTTGGATATTGACCCGATAATGCTACTCCTGGGTTGAATGGTAGTTCAGTTTTAAGTTCTTTGAGAAATCTCCAAACTGTTTTCCACAGTGGATGAACTAATTGACATTCTCACCAATAATGTATAAGCTTTCCCTTTTTTTTGCAGCCTCATCAGCACCTGTTTTTTGTTGTTGTTGTTGGTTTCTTTTTTGGACTTTTTAATAATAGCTGTGGTGTGAGATGGTACCTCATTGTGGTTTTGATTTGCATTTCTCTGATAACCAGTGATGTTGAGCATTTTTTCATGTTTGCTGGTCACTTGCATGTCTTCTTTTGAGAAGTGTCTGTTCATGTCTTTTGCCCATTTTAAATAGGGTTGTTTTTTTCTTGTTGAATTGTTTACGTGCTTTGTAGATTCTGAATATTAGACCTTTGTCAAATTCATAGTTTATAAATATTTTCTCCCATTCTGTAAGTTTTCTGCTTACTCTGTGGAGAGTTTTGTTTTTGTTTTTGTTTTGGTTTGTTTTGTTTTGTTGCTGTACAGAAGCTCATTAGTTCAATTAGATCCCACTTGTCAATGTCTGTTTTCATTGCAGTTGCTTTTGAGGACTTAGTCATGAATTCTTTCCCAAGGCTGATGTCCAGAATGGCATTTCCTAGGTTTTCTTCTAGGATTCTTATAGTTTAAGGTCTTATGTTTAGATATTTAATACATCTTGAGTTTATTTCTGTATACGCTGAAAGGTAGGGGTCCAGTTTCATTATTCTGCATTTGGCCATGGCCAGCCAGCTATCCCAGTACCATTTATTGAATAGGGAGTCCTTTCACCATTTTTTATTTTTATTGACTTTATTGAAGATCAGATGGCCGTAGGTGTGTGGCTTTATTTCTGAGTACTCTGTTCTGTTCCATTGGTCTATGTGTCTGTTTTTTTGTGCCAGTACCATGCTATATTGATTACTGTAGCCTTATAGTAGAGTCTGAAGTCAGGTAATGTGATGCCTCCAGCTTTGTTCTTTTTGCTTAGGATTGCTTTGGTGATTTTGGTTATTTTTTGGTTCCATATGAATTTTAGAGTAGTTTTGTCTAGTTCTGTGAAAAATTACATTTGTAGCTTGATATGATAGTGTTGAATCTGTATGTTGCTTTGGGCAGTATGGCCATTTTAACAATATTGATTTTTCTGATCCATGAGCATGGAATGTTTTTCCATTTATTTGTGTCATCTTTGATTTCTTTCAGCAGTGTTTTGTAGAACTCCTTGTAGGGATCTTTCACCTCCTTGGTTAGATGTATTCTTATATAATTTTTTGTAGCTATTGTAAATGGGATTGTGTTCTTGATTTGGCTCTCAGCTTGAACGTTATTGGTGTATAGAAATGCTACTGATTTTTGTACATTGATTTTGTGTCTGGAAACTTTATTGAAGTCATTTATCAGTTCCAGGAGCCTTTTGGCAAGGGTTTTCCAGGTATAGAATGATATCAGTGAAGAGAGATAGCTTGACTTATTTTCCTATTTGGATACCTTTCATTTGTTTCTCTTGTTTTATTGCTCTGGTAAGAACGTCCCATACTATGTTGAATAGGAGTGGTAAGAATGGACTTCCTTGTTTTGTTTCAGTGTTCAAGGGAAATGCTTTCAGATTTTGCTCATTTGGTATGATGTTGGCTGTGAGTTTGTCATAGATGGCTCTTATCATTTTGAGGTATGTTCCTTTAATACCTAGTTTCTTGGGGATTTTTATTATAAAAGGATGTTGGATTTTATTAAAAACTTTTTATGTGTCTATTGAGATGATCATATGGTTTTTGTTTTTAATTCTGCTTATGTGATGAATCACATTTATTACTTTGCATATGTTGAACAAACCTTGCATCCCAGGAATGAAGCCTACTTGACCATGGTGAATTAACTTTTCCGTATACTGTTGGATTCAGTTTACTAGTACTAAAATACTTATTTAAAGGGTTGATGTAGCTCAGAAAACAAACAGAAACAAGAAGTATTTGGGAGGGAAAAGAAAACCTCACAAACGCAACAAATACTATTCTTAATATCCTTAAGAGAGAAGACATTTTTCAATTTTAAAACAAAAAAAAAGTATGTTTTATTTAAAGAGAGTAAGGAATATTTGAAGAACAACAACAACAACAACAAGAATTTCAGAAATATTTTTTAATGGTAGTAGGAAAAAAGGCCCAATAGAATGTTTGGAAAATTCTTGACCATTATTTCTTTAAATATTGCTTCTTTTCCCATTCTAACTTTCCCTTCTTCTTCTAGGACTCCAATGATATGTATGTTGGATATTTGTTACTGTGTCTCATATCTCTTTTATGCTCCTTTCTGATTTTTTCCCATTTCTTTTCTTTCTGTGTTTCAGTTTAGATATTTTTTTCTTGTGTGTTTTTTTTTTGTTTTTTTTAATTGAGACAGAGTTTTGCTCTTGTTGCCCAGGCTGGAGTGCAGTGGTGCGGTCTCGGCTCACTGCAACCTCCGCCTCCTAGGTTCAAGTAACTCTTCTGCCTTAGCCTCCCAAGTAGCTGGGATTACAGGCATGTGCCACCACACCCAGCTAATTTTATATTTTTAGTAGAGACAGGGTTCCTCCATGTTGGTCAGGCTGGTCTCAAACTCCTGACCGCAGGTGATCCGCCTGCCTCAGCCTCCCAAAGTGCTGGGATTACAGGCATGAGCCACCTCACCTGGCCTAGATTTTTTTTTTTAATCTCTCCTTTAGTTCTCTAAATCTGTCTTCTCTGTGTCTAGTCTATTGTCCAACTTAAGAATAAAAAATATTCCTATTTTCTTAAGGTAAGAATACACTCTCTAGCAATAACCAATCACCAAAAGTGGTTTTATATTCATTATTCATGCTAATTGACTGATTATAACTTGTTTTAGTAACTATGCTTCTGAATGCCAGCAAATCAGCAACAACCTTCATTTGAGAATCTATGCTGCTATAGCTAATGATCAGCCATTTCCTGAATACATTTACTTCTGAAACTCTGCCAATCCTGAACTCTACCCTTCCTCAAACTCTATACAAGAACAGCTGTAAGCTCTACTCAGAGATAATGTGTCTTATAATAATAGCACAATACATTCAGCTTTTTATCATATAGTAAATGATGATCTCTTACTTTGACGATCTAATCCAATGAGTTCTTCTTTTTTTTTTTTTTTTTTAGAGTCTCATTCTGTCACTCTGTCACCCAGGCTGGAGTTCAGTGGCACAATCTCAGCTCACTGCAACTTCCACCTCTCAGATACAAGCGATTCTTCTGCCTCAGCCTCCTGAGTAGCTGGGTTCTTTATTTTGTTCCATTGGTCTAAGTGTCTGTTTTTATACCAGACCATGCTATTTTTGTTACCATGGTTCTGTAGTATAATTTGAAGTCAGGTAATGTGATTCCTTCAGTTTGGTTCTTTTTGCTCAGGATACCTTTGGCTATTCTGGGTCTTTTGTGATTCCATATAAATTTTAGTATTGTATTGTTCTATTTCTGTGAAAGATGTCATTGGTATTTTGATAGGGATTGCATTGGTTCTGTAGACTGCTTTGGATAGTATGGATATTCAAACAATATTAATTATTTCAATCTATGAACATGGAATTCTTTTTCACTTTTTGGTGTCCCCTTCAATTTCTTTCATCAGTGTTCTATAGTTTCCATTGTAGATTTCTTTTACTTCTTCAGTTAAGATAATTCCTAGGTATTTAATTTTATGTGAGGCTATTGTAAATGAGATTACTTTTTAAATTTATTTTTCACACCGTTCACTACTGGCATTTCAAAATGGTTTTTGTATGTTGATTTTGTACCTGCACCTTTACTGAATTTGTTTATCAGTTCTAGTAGTTTTCCTGCATAGTCTTTAGGTTTTTCCAAATATAAGATTATGTCATCTGCCAACAAAGATAATTTGACTTCTTCCTTTCCAATTTGGATGTCCTTTCTTTTTTTTTTTTTTTTTTTTTTTTTTTTTTTTTTTTTTGTCTGATTGCTCTAGCTATGACTTCTAGTATTACGCTGAATAATAGTGGTAACAGTGGGAATCTTTGTTTCATTCCTGATCTTAGAGGAAAAGCTTTCAGTTTTTCCCCATTCAGTGTAATACTAGGTGTGGGTCTGTTGAATATGGCTTTTATTATGTTGAGGTATATTCCTTCTATCTCCATTTTTTGAGGGTTTTTTTCATGAAGCGATGTTGAATTTTATCAAATGCTTTTCAGCATCAATTGAAATGATTATATGGTTTTCATCTTCATTTTGTTGATATAATGTATCACATTGATTGATTTGCATATGTTGGACTATCCTGAATCTCAGGGATAAATCCCACTTGGTCATACTGAAAGATCTTTCTAATGTATTGTTGAATTTCATTTGCTAGTATTTTGTTGAAGATTTTTGCATCAATATTCATTAGAGATGTAGACCTGTGTGTGTTGTTTTTTTTTTTTTTTTAATGTGTCTTTGTCTGGTTTTTGTGTCAAGGTAAATACTGGCCTCATAGAATGAGTTTGAAACTATGTACTCCTCCTCTATTTTTGGAATAGTTTGAGTAGGATTGGTATTAATTCTCTTTAAATGTTTGGTAGAATTCAGCAGTGAAGCCATCAGGTCCTGGGCTTTTCTTTAGTTGGAAACTTTTTATTATGGTTTCAATCTTGTTACTAGTTATTGGTCTGTTCAGGTTTTGGACTTCTTTCCAGTTCAATCTTGGTAGGTTGTATGTATCTAGGAATTTGTCCGTTGATTATAGATTTCTAATTTATTGGCATATAGTTGCTCATATTAGCCACTAATGATCCTTTGAATTTCTGCAGTTTCAGTTGTAATGTCTCCTTTTTCATTTCTGATTTTCTTTATTTGAATCTTGTGTCTTTTATTCTTAGTCTGGGTAAAGATTTTTCACTTTTGCTTAACTTTTCAAACAATGAACTTTTTGTTTCATTGATCTTTTGTATCATTTCTTTCATTTCAATTTCATTTATTTCTGCTCTATTCTTTGTATTTCTTTTCTTCTTCTAATTTACATTTGGTTTGCTCTTGCTTTTCTAGTTATTTAAGAGGCATCATTAAATTGTTCACTTGAAGTTTTTTTCTCTTTTTTAATGTAGATACTAATAACTATAAACTTCCCTCTTAGTAGTGCTTTTGTTTTATCCCATGGATTTTGGTACACTGTGTTTTCATTATCATTTGCTTCAATAAATTTTTCAATTTCCTTCTTAATTCCTTTATTGACCCACTCAGGAGCATATTGTTTACTTTCTATGTATTAAAATCATTTCCAAAATTCCTCTTGTTGTTAATTTCTAGTTTTATTCCATTGTGGTCAGAGAAGATGCTTGATATAATTTTAGTTTTTTGAATGTTTTAAGACATGTTTTATGACCTAGCATATGGTCTATCCTTGAGAATGATCCACGAGCTGTGTAAAAGAATGTGTATTCTGCAACTCTTGGGTGAAATGTTCCATAACTATCTATTAGATCCATCTGGTCTATCGTGCAGATTAAGTCTGATGTTTCTTTGTTAATTTTCTGTCTGGAACATCTGTTCAGTGCTGAAAGTGGGGTGGTAAAGTCTCCAGCTATTACTGTATTGGGGCCTATCTCTCTCTAAATAATATTTATCTCTCTCTAATAATATTTCCTTTATCTGTCTGTGTGCTCCAGTGCTGGGTGCATATATTTATATTTAAAATTGTTATATTCTCTTGCTAAATTGACCTGTTTATTATTTTATAGTGACCTTATTTGTTTCTTCTTATAGTTTTTGTCTTGAAATTTATTTTTTTCTGATATAAGTATGGCAATTCTTGCTTTTTTTGGCTTCCATTAGCATGGAATATTTTTTTCCATCTCTTTATTTTCAGTCTATATGTGTCTTCATAGGTGAAGTGTGTTTCTTGTAGGCAACAGATCAATGGGTCTTATTTTTTCATCCATTCAGCCAGTCCATATCTTTTAATTGGAGAGTTTAGTCCATTGACAGTCAATATTATTATTGATAAGTAGGACTTCCTCCTCCCATTTTGTTATTTGTTTTCTGATTATTTTTTGGTCTTCTCATCCTTCTTTCTTTTCTCCCTGTCTTCCTCTAGGGAAGGTGATTTTATCTGGTAATATAATTTAGTTTCTTGCTTTTGTGTGTGTGTGTGTGTGTGTGTGTGTGTGTGTGTGTGTGTGTGTGTATCCATTGTATGATTTTTGGTTTGTGTTTACCATGAGACTTGCAAATACTATCTTATAACTCATTATTTTAACCTGATAACAACTTAACACTATTTGCATAAACAAACAAGCAAGCAAATAGAAACTCTCCTTAACTTTGTCCCCCTGCTTTTTAACTTTTTGTTGTTTCTATTTATATTTATTGTACTGTGTCTTGGAAAGTTGTTGTAAATATTTTTGATTGGTTAATCATTTAGTCTTTCTACTTAAGAGTAGTTTACACACCATAGTTACAATGTTATAATATTCTGTGTTTTTCTGTGTACTCACCAGTGAGTTTTATACCTCCAGGTGATTATTTATTGTTTATTAATGCCCTTTTCTTTCTGATTGAAGTACTCCCTTTAGCATTTCTTGTAGGACAGGCCTGGCATTGATGAAATCCCTCAGCTTTTGTTTGGGGAAGTCTTTATTTCTCCTTTATGTTTAAAGGATATTTTTGCTGGATATACTATTCTAGAGTAAAAGGTTTTTCTTTTTCCCTCTAACACTTTAAATATGTCACTCTCTCCAGGCCTGTAAGGTTTCCACTGAAAAGTCTGCTGTCAGACATATTGGGGCTCCATAGTATGTTATTTGTTTCTTTCCTCTTGCTGTTTTTAGGATCCTTTTTTAAAACTTGACCTTTGGGAGTTTAATTATTAAATGCCTTGAGGTAGTCTTCTCTGGGTTAAATCTGTGTGATGTTCTATAACCTACTTGTACTTGGATATTGATATCTTTCTTTAGGTTTGGGATATTTTCTGTTATTATCCCTTTGAATAAACTGTCTACCCTTATCTCTTCCTCTATCTCCTCTTTAAGGCCAATAACTTTTAGATTTGTCCCTTTAAGGCTATTTTCTAGATCTTGTAGGCATACTTTTTTTTTAATTCCTTTTTCTTTTGTCTCCTCTGACTGTATATTTTCAAAAAGACTGTCTTCAAGCTCACAAAGTCTTTCTTCAGCTTGATCAGTTCTGCTATTAAAGAACTCTGCATTCTTCAGTATGCCAATTCCATTTTTCAGCTCCAAAACTTCTGCTTGATTATTTGTAATTATTTCAATCTCTTTGTTAACTCTATTCGATATAATTCTGAATTTCTTCTGTATTATCTTGAATTTCTTTGAGTTTCCTCAACAAAGCTATTTTTTTGAATTCTCTGTCGAAACATCACATGTCTCTGTTTCTCCAGGATTGGTTTCTGGTGCCTTATTTTGTCCTTTTGGTGAGGTCATGTTTTCATGGATGGAGTTGATGCTAATAGATGTTCTTTGCTGTCTGGACATTGAAAGGTTAGGTATTTACTGTAGTTTTCACTGTCTGGGCTTATTTGTAGCCATCATTCTTGGGAAGGCTTTCCAGATATTTGAAAGATCTTAGGTGTTGTGATCTAAGCTGTATCTGCTTTAGGGAACATTCCAAGCCCAGTAACACTGTGGTTCTTACAGACTGACTCATAGAGGTATCATCTTGATGGTCTTGGCCCAGATCTGGGAGAATTCTCTGGATTACGAGACAGAGACTCTTGTTTTCTTCTCTTACTTTCTCCCAAGCATACAGAGTCTCTCTGTTCTGAGCCACCTAATGCTGGGAGTGGAATGACACAAGCACCCCTGTGACCACCACTACTATGACTGTGCTATGTCAGACCTGAAGCCAGCACAGCACTGCATCTTGCCCAAGGCCTACTGTAACCACTCCATGGGTACTGGCTACATTTACTCAAGGCCCTGGGGCTCTACAATTAGCAGGTGGCAAAGCCACCCAGTGTCCTTCATTTCAGGGCAGCAAGGTCCCCCAGGCCCTGGGTAAGGTCCAGAAGTGTTTTCCAGGAGTCAGGGACTAGAGACAAAAACTTTAGAAGTCTACCTGGTATTCTATTGCACTGTTGCACTCAAACCACAAGGCATAGTCCTTCCCACTCTTCCCTCCCCTTTCCAAAGCCAGAGGAACCTCATCCTATAGCAACTGCCACCCCAGGCCATGAGGAGTGCTGCCAGACTACCACTGATGTTCCCTTAAGGCCCACGGTCTCTTAAATCAGCTTGTTGTGAATGCTGCCTGGCCCAGGACTCATCCTTTAGGGCAGTGGACTCCCCTCTGGCCCAGGGCATGTCTAGAAATGGCATCCGAGAGTCAAGTCTTGGAATCAGGGATCTCAAGAGCCCACTCGGTGCTCTTACCCCACTTTGGCTGTGCTGGTATCTAAGATGCAAGACAAAGTCTCCTTTACTTTTCCCTCCACTTTTCTCAAGCAGAAGGAGTTTTGCTCCATAGCCACTATAGCTGGTAATGTGCAGAGTCTCACCTGAAGCCAGCAAGTCTGAGGTTCACCAATGCTCTCAATGCAGTATGTGGGTGTCAGTGCTGGTTATTTAAGGCCCAAGGGCTCTTCAGTTAGCAGGTGATTAATGCTGCCAGGACTTGGTTCTTTCCTTCAAGGCAATAGGTTCCCTTCTGGCTCATAGTGTGTCTAGAAATGTCATCTGGGAGCTAGTGCCTGGAACAGGAGCCTCATGACTCTGTGCTCTATCCTGATCTATCATCTGGCTGAGCTGGTATCCTAGATGCAAGGCAAAGTCCTTTCCACTCTTCCCTCTCCTCTCCTCAAGCAGAAGGAAGGGGTCTCTTTTGGAGCCTCAAGCCTGGGGTTAGGGGAGGGGTGACGCCAGCACTCCCTTAGCTGCCCCAGCTAGTGTTTCAGTATGTTGTGTGTCTCCTCAGTCCACTGTCTTTGGGCCTAGTTCAGCACTAGGATTCACCTAAAAGTTGCAATCCTTATGGCCTAGACTGCCTTTCAAGTTTACTTGGAGACGCAGAGTGCTGTAGCCCTTGGTGGTGAGATTTGCAGGCACTCAAGTTCTGACTGTTGAGATTGGTGATTTCCTTCTGGCTAGAGCTGGTTTAAATGCTGCCTCCATGGGCAGGCATCATCTGAGTTTGGTCTGGGTTTCCTTTCTGCTCTAACAGGACAGCACTGAATCCAATGCATCACAATTATTATGATCTCCCTCCCCCAGTGCCCAGAGATGCTCTCTGCACCATGCTGCTGCTGCTGCCAGGGGTGGGGGTAGTGTCAGCAATTTAGGACTGTTTTTTCTATTTCTTCAGTGCCTCTTTCAGTGATATGAAGTTAAAATCAGTTACTGTGAGTGCTTTCCTGATTTTGGGTTCTTATGAAGGTGGTTTTTCTCTGTGTAGATAGTTGTTAACTTATTGTCCTTGCTAGGGGTATGATCAGTGGAGCTTTCTATTCTGCCATGTTGCTCCCCGAGCTCTACCATCTTGCTCCCCCATCTGATTCTCTGTTGAAACACACCATTATTCATCCATTTATCCATTGTCCCTATATATTTTTCTTCTACCAGTTGTGGTTATTTAGAAATCCTTGTCTGCTAACTCAATGACTGTTACCTTTTCTGTGTCTACTTATATTGACCCTTCTATCTCTTGGTCAGTGCTTCCCATTTCCACAACCCTCTCTTTTTTTGCTTGATTATGAAGTTTTTAATGCAAGCTAGATATTGTAGGTGACACATTTTAGAAGCTCAGGATTATGTTATCTTTATCTAAAGCAGAGATATACAAACTACAGACAAAACTGCTGCTTGCTTTTAAAATAAAGTCATATTGGAACACAGCCATGCCCATTTGTTTGCATAGTGTCTATGACTGCTTTCATATTACAGTGGCAGAGTTGAATAGCTGTAGTAGAAATCTTCAAAATCCAAAATATTTACTCTCTGATTTTTCATAGAAATATTTGTCAACCTTTGGTCAAAAGAGTGTTGAGTTTTATTTGAAAAGACAGTTATTCATATATTACTGTGAATCCCCTTGACCCAATTAAGGGTTGATTTTTACTTTGTCAGGGCAGGTCTATTTTAGTTTTGCTTTCTTAAAGCATAGCTCTGGGCCGGGTGTGGTGGCTCACACCTGTAATCCCAGCACTTTGGGAGGCCGAGGTGGGTGGATCATGTGAGGTCAGGAGTTCAAGAACAGCTTGACCAACATGGTGAAACCATGTCTCTACAAAAATACAAAAATTAACTGGGCCTGATGGTGGGTGCCTGTAATTCCAGCTACTCAGGAGGCTGAGATGGGAGAATCGCTTGAACCCAGGAGGCAGAGGTTGCAGTGAGCCGAGATCATGCCATTGCATACAGCCTGGGCGGCTGAGTGAGACTCCATCTCAAAAACAAAAACAAACAAACAAACAAAACACATAGCTTTTACTCCTAGGACATGGCTTTTTTGTGGTCTCTATCAAATGCCATGGATGCTCATCAAAGTTTCTCCACTCTGGCCAGAGAGAATCTCTAATGTCTCTCCAACTCTAGACAATCTCTAAAATCTCTATTCAGTTTCTAGGGCACACTCCAACAGCTCTTTTCTTTAGGTTTTCTGGGGTCTCAATTTGTGCATGCACATCTGAGGATTAAGCTAAGGATTCAAGAAAACCCCTACACAGATTTTTGATGTTCCGTCTATGTAGCTGTCTTAAGCATCATGCCCCTCCAAATCCCATCCATCACCCTACCATCCCCAAGCTCTGAAATCTGTTTCCTCCACCCACCAGACTTCCTCTCTGTGCTTGGGCTCTACTTCCTTGTACCATAGCTGTGAAATGCTTCCAGGAAGAAAGCCAGAGTAAATGTGGGGTTCACTTTGCATGCTTCCTTTTTCTTAAGTCTTGCAACCTTGCACTGTTAGGTATCCAGTGCTTATAAAAATTGGTTGTTACTACCAGTACCAGCCACTGCAAAAATATGCCAAATTGTAAAGACCATCAATGCTAGGAAGAAACTGCATCAACTAACGAGCAAAATAACCAGCTAACATCATAATGACAGGATCAAATTCACACATAACAATATTAACCTTAAATGTAAATGGGCTAAATGCTCCAATTAAAAGACACAGACGGGCAAATTGGATAAAGACTCAAGACCTATCAGTGTGCTGTCTTCAGGAGACCCATCTCATGTGCAGAGACACACATAGGCTCAAAATAAAGGGATAGAGGAAGATCTACCAAGAAAATGGAAGACAAAAAAAAGCAAGGGTTGCAATCGTAGTCTCTGATAAAACAGACTTTAAACCAACAAAGATCAAAAGAGACAAACAAGGCCACTATATAATGGTAAAGGGATCAATTCAACAAGAAGAGCTAACTATCCTAGATATATATGCACCCAATACAGGAGCACCCAGATTCATAAGGCAAGTCCTTAGAGACCTACAGAGAGACTTAGACTCCCACACAGTAATAATGGGAGACTTTAACATCCCACTGTCAACATTAGACAGATCAATGAGACAGAAAGTTAACAAGGATATCCAGGAATTAAACTCAGCTCTGCACCAAGCAGACCTAATAGACATCTACAGAACTCTCCACCCCAAATGAACAGAATATACATTCTTCTCAGCACCACATTGCACTTATTCGAAAATTGACAACATAGCTGGAAGTAAAGCACTCTTCAGCAAATGTAAAAGAACAGAAATTATAACAAACTGTCTCTCAGACCACAGTGCAATCAAACTAGAACTCAGGATTAAGAAACTCACTCAAAACTGCTCAACTACATGGAAACTGAACAATGGAAACTGAACAATCTGCTCCTGAATGACTACTGGGTACATAACGAAATGAAGGCAGAAATAAAGATGTTCTTTGAAACCAATGAGAACAAAGACACAACATACCAGAATCTCTGGGACACATTTAAAGCAGTTGTGTAGAGGGAAATTTATAGCACTAAATGCCCACAAGAGAAAGGAGGAAAGATCTAAAACTGACACCCTAACATCACAATTAAAAGAACTAGAGAAGCAAGAGCAAACACATTCAAAAGCTAGCAGAAGGCAAGAAATAACTAAAATCAGAGCAGAACTGAAGGAAATAGAGACACAAAAACCCCTTCAAAAAATTAATGAATCCAGGAGCTGGTTTTTTAAAGGATCAACAAAATTGATAGACCGCAAGCAAGACTAATAAAGAAGAAAAGAGAGAAGAATCAAACAGACGCAATAAAAAATGATAAAGGGGATATCACCACCAATCCCACAGAAAAACAAACTACCATCAGAGAATACTACAAACGCCTCTACGCAAATAAACTAGAAAATCTAGAAGAAATGGATAAATTCCTGGACACATACACCCTCCCAAGACTAAACTAGGAAGAAGTTGAATCCCTGAATAGACCAATGACAGGCTCTGAAATTGAGGCAATAATTAATAGCCTACGAACCAAAAAAAAGTCCAGGACCAGACAAATTCTCAGCTGAATTCTACCAGAGGTACAAAGAGGAGCTGGTACCATTCCTTCTGAAACTATTCCAATCAATAGAAAAAGAGGGAATCCTCCCTAACTCATTTTATGAGACCAGCATCATCCTGATACCAAAGCCTGGCAGAGACACAACAAAAAAGAATTTTAGACCAATATCCCTGATGAACATCAATGCAAAAATCCTCAATAAAATACTGGCAAACTGAATCCAGCAGCACATCTAAAAGCTTATCCACCATGTTCAAGTTGGCTTCATCCCTGGGATGCAAGGCTAGTTCAACATATGCAAATCAATAAACGTAATCCATCATATAAACAGAACCGAAGACAAAAACCACATGATTATCTCAATAGATGCAGAAAAGGCCTTCGACAAAATTCAACAGCCCTTCATGCTAAAAACTCTCAATAAACTAGGTATAGATAGTACATATCTCAAAATAATAAGAGCTATTTATGACAAACCCACAGCCAATATCATACTGAATGGGCAAAAGCTGGAAGCATTCCCTTTGAAAACTGGCACGAGACAGGGATGCCCTCTCTCACCACTCCTATTCAACTTAGTTTTGGAAGTTCTGGCCAGGGCAATCAGGCAGGAGAAAGAAATAAAGGGTATTCAATTAGGAAAAGACGAAGTCAAATTGTCCCTGTTTGCAGATGACATGATTGTATTTTTAGAAAACCCCTTAGTCTCAGCCCAAAATCTCCTTAAGCTGATAAGCAACTTCAGCAAAGTCTCAGGATACAAAATCAATGTGCAAAAATCACAAGCATTCTTATACACCAACAACCAACAAAAGGAGAGCCAAATCATGAGTGAACTCCCATTCACAATTGCTTCAAAGAGAATAAAATACCTAGGAATCCAACTTACAAGGGATGTGAAGGACCTCTTCAAGGAGAACTACAAACCACTGCTCAGGGAAATAAGAAAGGACACAAACAAATGGAAGAACATTCCATGCTCATGGGTAGGAAGAATCAATATCGTGAAAATGGCCATACTGCCCAAGGTAATTTATAGATTCAATGCCCTCCCCATCAAGCTACAAATGACTTTCTTCACAGAATTGGAAAAAACTTTAAAGTTTATATGGAACCAAAAAAGAGCCCACATTGCCAAGACAATCCTAAGCCAAAAGAACAAAGCTGGAGGCATCACACTACCTGACTTCAAACTATACTACAAGGCTACAGTAACCAAAACAGCATGGTACTGGCACCAAAACAGAGATATAGACCAATGGAACAGAACAGAGCCCTCAGAAATAATACCACACATCTACAACCATCTGATCTTTGACAAACCTGACAAAAACAAGCAATGGGGAAAGGATTCCCTATTTAATAAATGGTGCTGGGAAAACTGGCTAGCCATATGTAGAAAGCTGAAACAGGATCCCTTCCTTACACCTTATACAAAAATTAATTCAAGATGGATTAAAGACTTACATGTTAGACCTAAAACCATAAAAACCCTAGAAGAAAACCTAGGCAATACCATTCAGGACATAGGCATGGGCAAGGACTTCATGACTAAAACACAAAAAGCAATGGCAACAAAAGCCAAAATTGACAAATGGATCTGATTAATCTAAAGAGCTTCTGCACAGCAAAAGAAACTACTATCAGAGTGAACAGGCAACATACAAAATGGGAGAAAATTTTTACAATCTACCCATCTGACAAAGGGCTAATATCCAGAATCCACAAAGAACTTAAACAAATTTACAAGAAAAAATCAAACAACTCCACGAAAAAGTAGTGAAGGATATGAACAGACACTTCTCAAAAGAAGACATTTATGCAGCCAATAGGCACATGAAAAAATGCTCATCATCAATGGCCATCAGGGAAATGAAAATCAAAACCACAATGAGATACCATCTCACACCAGTTAGAATGGCGATCATTAAAAAGTCAGGAAACAACAGGTGCTGGAGAGGATGTGGAGAAATAGGAACACTTTTACACTGTCGGAGGGACTGTAAACTAGTTCAACCCTTGTGGAAGACAGTGTGGCGATTCCTCAAGGATCTAGAACTAGAAAATACCATTTGACCCAGCCATCCCATTACTGGGTATATACCCAAAGGATTATAAATCACGTTGCTATAAAGACCATAAAAGTTATGCAATTGTGGTCTCTTTCTCTCTCAAAATGCATAAAGTTTTCAGACTGTGGTTGACCATGGATAAGTTAAACTGCAGAAAGTGAAGGTGTGGATAGGGTTGGGGGAATACTGTGCAAAAAAGGCAACAGGAGGGATCGTTGTGGCGATGGAAGTGTTCTGTATCTTGACCGTATGAATGTCAATATTCTGGTTGTGATATTGTACTATATGTTTGTAAAATGTTACCACTGGGGAAACTATGCAAACGGTATATGGAATCTCTCTGTATTACTTCTTGCAATGCATGTGATTCTACAATTATCTTAAAACAAAATGTTTAATTAAAAAAAAACCCACAAAACTTGACTGTTCCTCAAAACCTTCACTGAGTTAACCACTTCCTCTTTGAAACCACCTTATACCCTATACAACACTGATAATATAGTATTATTGCCCTTCCATGTTCTACTGTAATTAGTCTATCTCCCTTACCAAACTGTGAGCTCCAAGAGGAGGTTTTAAAGGCAAGATATGTTTTGTTCATCTATGTATGCCTAGCATCTAGTAGTGCCTGATACATTGAAGATGTTTTGTAAATGCTTGTTGAATAAAACTGGATGTGACAGACATAAAAAAAAAAGACACATGCACACGTTTATTGCGGCACTATTCACAATAGCAAAGACTTGGAACCAACCCAAATGTCCATCAGTGATAGACTGGATTAAGAAAATGTGGCACATATACACCATGGAATACTATGCAGCCATAAAAAAGGATGAGTTAATGTCCTTTGTAGGGACATGGATGAAGCTGGAAACCATCATTCTCAGCAAACTATCGCAAGGACAGAAAACCAAACACCGCATGTTCTCACTCATAGGTGGGAATTGAACAATGACAACACTTGGACACAGGATGGGGAACATCTCACACCAGGGCCTGTCGTGGGGTGGGGGGAGGGGGGAGGGATAGGAGATATACCTAATGTAAATGGTGAGTTAATGGGTGCAGCACACCAACATGGCACATGTATACATATGTAACAAACCTGCACGTTGTGCACATGTACCCTAGAACTTAAAGTCTAATTTAAAAAAAAGAACAGTGCTTTTCAGAAGAAAGTGATATTCCTCTGCTTTAATTAAAGACATGCATGTTTTCAGTAAAAAAAAAAAAATTGGTTGTTACCTTTTCTTAATATTTTAGTGTTTTTTCTGTGTGTGTGTGTGTGTGTGTGTGTGTGTGTGTGTGTGTGTAGCAAGCAGGTTATTCTGATGCTGACTACTTCATCATGATCTTAAATAGAAGGATTTAAAGATAAAGATGAGGAAACCTCCAGAAAAATTGAATGAAGAGACATTGAGATAATAAATAGGAGTAAAACAATTAGAAAATCAGAGATCTAGTTCAGGAGATCTAACACCCAATAATTAGAGGTTACAGAAAAAGAGTATATATTAATGATCTATTTGGGGTGACAAATTACCTCAAAACTTAGTGGCTTAAAAAATTGTAAACATTTATATCTCTTTCAGTTCCTGTGGCCACGAGTTCAAGAGTGACTCAGCTGAATGGTCTGCCTCAAGGTTTCTCATGAGGTTCAGCTGGATGTTGGCCAGGGCTGCAGTCTTCTTAAGACTGGCTGTAGCTGGAGAATTTGCTCCAAGGCAGCACACTCATGTGACTAGCAGGTTTATGTTCTTTCTCAATTTCTCACTATGTGAATCTCTCCACAGGGTCACTTGAGTATCTTCATGACATGACAGCTAGCTTTTCCCAGAGAGAGTAATCCAAGAGACCAAGAAAAAAGGTGAAAGGTCTTTTATGACTACCCATTGATGTCATCCATTGTCACTTTCACAATATCCTACTGGTCACACAGGTCCTCCCTTTTAATGTTGAAAGGGAGTACACAACAGCATGCATAGCAGGAGGCCAGGATCATTGTAAAGGGGCAAAAATAATCAAAGAAATAATAGAAGAAAATTTCCTATATGAGAAGAGCATGAAGTTTCTACTGCGGTGGATTAAAATAGACTCTACTCCAACGAACAACAGCATGAAATTTCAGAACACTGAAAGTCAAGAGAAAATTTCACAAGATTCTAGGAAGGAAAAAAAGGATGTCACATACCAAATGTTTAGAATCAAAATGGCTTCATAGGAGTGGATGCAGTGGTGTGCCCATGTAGTCCCAACTATTTGGGAGGTTGAAGCAGAGGATCACTTGAGGCTAAGAGTTTGAGGCCAGCCTGGGCAACACAGAAAGAACCCATGTCTAAAAAGAAATAAAGAAAAAAATAGCTACATACTCCTCAAAGGCAACATTGTAAGACATAATATATAATGTCAAATAGAATAAATGAAGACATATCCTAAAGCAATATATTTAAAATTCTGGGAAAAATTACTTTAAACCTATAATTTAATACCCAAGTCAAACTATCAATTAAGTTTTAGTGTAGAATAAAGACACTTTAAGATATGCAAGTTAAAAAAATTATCTCCCACACACCCTTTCTCAGAAACCTTGGGAAAACAGAGGATTCAGGAAACAAGGGATTCAATACAAGGAAGAGGAGAAGGAAATCCCCAGAATGATGAAGAAAGGATTTCCCAAGACAACAGCTATGTGCCAAGTGCAGAGGGCAAACAGAACGGACTTTAAAAGGGCAGAAGATTCAGGAGATTGTTTCAAGGTTAAATTGATAGAACACCTAATGTGTTTAAACACACTGAGAGATTTACACAAGTGGGGAAGAGTTTAAAGTTGAACTACTTCAGATAGTGAACTTAGTGATAAATTCTTCAAAAAGGAAGGCAATGGAAAAATAAGCATTAATTCCAGACAAAACAATAAACTGTGCAGGAAAGGTAACACAACCAAAGTTTACTATATATCTCTGCTGCAACTGGCATTTACAAAGTCATAAAAATGTGAACACAGAATACTGATCTAGTGAAAAATCATAATATAATTATACTGAGAGGGCAGAGGAATGAAAAGTATGCATGTATGTGGTGGTGCAGACCAGGGATTAAAAGACAGCTAAATCTTCATTTTCCATAGTGGGAAATCAATAGGTACTATCTTGAACTGAAAAATCAATAAATAGCAATATAAGCATGTTATTTAGAGATGTGGAATTAAATACCAAATGAATCAACTATAGTTGCTGAAATTGGTTGCCTCTGGGGAGCAGGAATTAATGAAGGGTATGGCAAAATTTGTGCTAATTTTCTTAATAAACCTCATAAAACTGGCCTATTCTTTCAACTATGTTTGTATAAATTTTCATCAAAATAAACCAAAAACAATTAAACTTGAGAAAAATAACGGAAAAGCAGGGAGTAGTCAGTTGTTTTGAACACTGATGAATAATCAAGAAGATAAGAACAGAGAATGGTTCATTAAAGGTGACAAGATGTAGATCATTGGTAACCAGAGGAGTAGTCAGTGTGGAACCCATTGGTAACCGGAGGAGTAGTCGGTGTGGAAACCCCCTTAATATTCAAAGAGAAAAATACGCAAGGGATATAAATAGACATCACAGAAAATAGGTATATAATCATCCGTAGTCACATGAAAAAATACTCCATCTCATTCATAATAAAAGAAATGCCAATTAAAGTGATATGATATTTTGTAACATATTGGCATCAAATAAAAAAATAATGTACTCGTCATTGGTAATGGTGAGGACAGAATGGCAGCCTCATACACAGTATATGAGAGTGTGAATTGGGAAAGACTTCACTGAAGGCTAATTTGGAATATCTATGAAAATGTATAATTCACCTGCTCTTTGAGTAACCCCTCTTCTGGGGTTTTATACTACAGATAAACTCATGGAAGTATGCAGTATGTTTGAAGATACTCAGTGGAAAATAATACAAACGTCTCTCAGTACAGAACTTGCTAAACAAATGATACGTTCTTCCCACAGATTACTAGGTGCATCATTAAGAGTGGCTGTTCTGCACGTGCTCATGTTGAAAAGGGGACAAGATATCTTAATTCAGAAAAAAAAATGTTAATAGTATTTATAGTTATGAGTCTGCATGTGTGACAAATGAAGACAAGTCATTTGTAATGATCTGGCACCTACTGGATGGTCAATAGAAAGTTCTTAGCTACTGTTCCTAATGCAAGCTGTAAAACTAAACAATGATTATGATTCCAAATAAAAATGCATTGGATAATAAAGCTCACTTGGCTGCAGAGGTCATGCACATCGAACTTTACATTTTTCTGTGTGATTTACAACAGTTTTGCTGTTCTCATTGATCAACTTAATCATGATTAAATGTAATAAATTTGAACTTACAAAATAATGTAACAGTCTGCTGTCATATGTTTTGTATGTTTTGCCTATTGGACTTTTTTTTCAGAACAAGCTTTCTTTAAAAGTTATATAATTCTTTGGCTCAAAGAAAAAACCTAGAAAATAATATTCCCCACTGACCTGTACTTTCCTGACCCAGCAAGCCTTCAGCAGATTTGTCTTGGACTAGAATTCAAGACACCTGGGTGCCAGTCCTGGCTCGGCTACTCAGTAGGTGGGTGACCTTGAGCAAACCCTTCGGCCTCTCTTAGTTCTTCTTAGCTGTCGTATGGGATACAGCGCCTTTCCTATCTACCCTGTGGGACTACTGTGAAAAGCAAATGAGGCAACAGGTATATAAATTTGTAATCTGTGAAAGCATGCACATGAAAGAACTTTTATTTTGATAGCTAGAAGTATCCTCTCACAGGTTAAATATTTCTGGTCCTCCCAGCAGAGAGACACGCCTGGGTATTTATTCAGTAGACCTTGAGTGCCTTTCTGGACCAAGCAGGGACTGGTGAGGCAGAATTGAATATGATGCAGTCCCCGTTCTCAAAGAACTCACAGTTTGATAGGAGAGGCAATTACAGTAAAACGTGAGAAATACAATATAATGGTTATAGACAAAGACTGGTGGGACTCACAGGAGTCAAAATGTCTGACTAGAGAAGGCATCACTGACAAGTGACACCTGGATCGAGTCTTCAAGAACATGTGAGAATTTACCAGGCAGAGAATTGATTGATTGCTGGGTGGAACCCAGGCAGTGCCCCAACTGTGGAGCAATTTCTCACCCCTCTTTCTTTATCAAGTCTTACCTCTGCTGTGAGATAGCAGACCATCAGAAACTTGCTCTCAGCTACCTATCCTATTGGAAAATGTTTGAAAAAGATGTTAATGACAGGTTAGGTGTGTGCTTCCCTCCAGAATAGATGCATTTGGGTCCAGAGGGTGAGATGGTTCTCTATACACAGAAATACCAATAATTTTAGCTAAATAGATTTACTTTTAGGGAAAGTACCTAAGTAATTTTTTTTGAACCTCACTCTTTTACTCAAGTTAGAGTGCAGTGCTATGATCACAGCTC
This sequence comes from Homo sapiens, assembly GCF_000001405.40. Lineage (NCBI taxonomy): Eukaryota > Metazoa > Chordata > Mammalia > Primates > Hominidae > Homo > Homo sapiens. Next base: position 46,228,716 of record NC_000002.12, read on the forward strand.
ACTGCAGCCTTGACCTCCCGGGCTCAGGCAATCCTTGCACCTCAGCCTCCAGAATAGGCGGAACTACAGGTGTGCCACCACACCTGGCTTTTTTTTTTTTTTTTAATAGAGACAGGGTCTCATCATGTTTCCCAGGCTGGTCTCAAACTCCTGGGCTCAAGTGATCCTCCTGCCTAGGCCTCCCAAAGTGCTGGGATTACAAGTGTTAGCCACCATGCCTGGCCAATACCTAAGTAATTTCTATGGCCACCAGCTGGTACCAGATCATTACAAACATTACTTTTCTTCATTATCACAACAACCTTGTTTTTTTCTTATTATAGGTGGCAGAACATAGGACGAGAATCACCACCCAGCCAGTTATACCAGAGCCAGGATTCAAACTCAAGCCATGATCTTGCATATCCATTGACAAACTGGTTCTCATAACCGCCCTGGGAAATGAGCAGGAAAGGAATGTTATCCCCACTTAAGATGGGGAATCCGGGCATGGAAAGCTCTGCTGGGGACTCCCCGCTGGGCTTCCTGACTCCTACCCTGACTGAGGTTGTTACCTTGCAATGGAGGCCAAAGTCCTGACAGGCAGTGGGAAAGATATTTTGGGGTAGGGCTGTCTCCCTGGTGCTTGTCAGATCTCATCTTGTGAAACAATTGGTTCAAGTTCACTGGGCCCGGGTGCGCAGCCTTCCCTGGCTGGAGCTGGGACCCTGCTGTTCTGAAAAGCTATATGGAAGGAGATTTCTTTCCTTCTCTGATTATCCTCACCACTAGGTGGGATGGAAGCTGTCTACCAGAGTCTGCTGCAGGTTAACCCTTCCCCTGCCCTCATTCAAGGACATGACAGGGATGTTCCAGGTAAATGTGCCCCCTTGGCTTGAGACAGCACTTGTGGTAATGGAATAGCTTCCTCTGCTATGGCCTGCTTGTGTTAGTTCACTGAGAATGGACTCCCTGTGGGTTCGTAGAGTGCAACAATTGAAGAGCTTGAATAATGGTTAACCAGGATGAAGTCACATCCGAATATGCGTCATCTCACCACCTCCTTTGCTGCAGTCCGAAAACCCCACTGAGTCTTTGTTCTTTTTCCATCCGTCTGTCTCTCTTGGTATCTGTCTCTCTCTTTCTCATCACCCCTTCAGGGTATTGATGCTTATTGATACTGGATTTTCTTTCTCACTCCAGTTTTTCCTGTCTCTATCCACCTGTCTTTCTCCCTCCAGCTCTCCCTCACTCTCTCTCCCTCCCCTTTTCCTCCCTTCTAGTTCCCCATTTTGCTGGTCTCATTGTAGACCTGCATTCATTTACGATTCATTATTCTTACTGAAGAGATCCTTTGATCTTGTCTGTTAAAAAGTAAGTGAGTTGCACTCTATACACCAAGAAAAAACAAAATCATCTTTATTTAACTTTTTTTCTGGCCATGGGCCTGTGGCTGGGGCAAAAATAGGTCTCCCTGTTTCTGGCACACACACCAGCCTCCCCAAGCTGCAAGCCAGCCCAGTGGGCAGACACAGCTGCGAGGCAGGAATACTGTTACCCAACTCAGGGTGGTGCCAGAGCTCCGAGTGCCCAGGCAGGCCTCCCCGCCAAGGCAGGGATCGCTCTGAGGCCAGAGGAGGCCCAGGGGACAGAGTCAAGGCTCCTGCTCACCTGGCCCTGGGGCTGTGGCTGGTGCTGGTTAGCCACTTCCTCCCCTTCCCCAGCAGGGCAGCAGGAGGGTTCCACTGGAGCCCAGCCCTGTCTCAGCTTGACCCCTATACCTGGTGACATCCCGCAGCCTGGGTCAAGCTGTCAGGTTAGCACGCAGCCCAGTTAAATGCACTGGGCTAACATCTGGACTTAGAGTTATGTAATGTTTTTACCTCATAATATTGTAACCTAGTAGAGGACATTTTATGGAGTCTTTAGAGGTGACCAAACTGAGGCTCATGGAGGTTGAGTTATCCAGTTAGTCAGGGATGAAGCTGGTGCTCAGGACTCTGGAATTCCTTGCCCAGATGTTCCCAAACCAGGTTGCATGGGCTGCTCCCCCAGGCCTGTTTCTTAGGGTAAGTGGTAACAAGCATCCCCATCATCTCCAGTTTGGAGAGCAGCCATGGGGCAGTAGTTTGCTGGGGGGAGGGTGGAGCTTGGACATGTAAGCTGGAGTGTCCCCTGGCATGAGTGTGAGGTCCTCTGCAGGACAGGATGTTGCTGGGGACAGGAAGTAAAGGCGGGTGGGATGGAGGCTGGGGGCTGGGGACCTGCTTTTCCTGAACCACCACATTCAGGCATGGAACTCCCAGGAACCGAATGTTCTGAATTTCAACCTGGCCTTCCAGGTCATAATGAATGTGTATTTGCAAAATTAGAAGGATAGAATGTACTTTACTTAATGATTGTTAACTCAATAATTTTGAAATATTAAGATGTGAATTGGGCTATCACTAGACTTAGGGGCTCTGAGCCTCACAGATATTAGAACTGGGCCTGTGAAGCACCTTTTCACCTGTTGATTGGCTATTTGGTTTCCTCTTATGTGACACACCCCACAGCTGCTGTCCCAATTCCCCTTCAGATCCTCTCCTCTGGGGCCCGGGAGCTCCTCCTGACCACTGTCCTAACCCCAGGCTGGCTCTGCTCTATCCCCTTCTCCATTCTGCTGCCAGAGACATTCCTAAACGGCTCAGAAATTTTCTAAGTATCCCACTAGCCATGAACTAGAACTCCAGCTCCCAGCCTGCCCTTCAAGGCGTTGGTTCCTTATGGAGCTAACTGTAAAGACCAAGTTGCTTTCTGCAGTGAGTTGGGGAGGCCAGGTGAGGATGCACAGGGAAGTCAACCGTGTGGCTAGACCTAGTCAACACTGTGGCTAGGCAAAGGCCAGGAAGCGCCACCAAGAAAGAGCAAGGAGAAGAGCAGGGTCAGGGCTTGTGGAGACTGGGGTACAGATGAGGGGCTCAGAGGTAGGGCCACCCTGTTACCTCCTCAGCTCTGTGCTCTACTCTCACAGAAGGACACACAGCCCTCTGCTGCTCTCTTTGCTTTTTTCCTTCTACTCTCAACACCAGCCAGCTACCTGTCTTTTTCTATGTCTCCACTTACAATCCCCCAGGGGAAGGATCTATTGATCCAATTAGTGCCAATATTCCTTTGGGCCGAATGTTCTTGCCTGGCCGCAAAGGAAAACAGAGGTACCCAGGCTGACCTAATCAACTGAGAGCTAGGAGGTGGGGTCACGTGGTTTCTGAAGCTGGTCTTCTTGTTCTGGGGTGAATGGGCAGGTGTTCCAAGACCTGGCCTACCCCGTTCATCAGCCAGGCTCCAAGGCACCGTCCCCAGAGGTCCAGCTGCTGAGCCCACACAGTCTTTGCTTATGCCATTCCTCTCACCAGGTACACTTAGCTTTCAAGCTCAGATAAGTGCTGCCCCTCCTTCCCTTTCCCTCCCAGGAAGCCTTCCCTAAACCCCTCCAGCTAGAATGAACCCCTCACTCTGGGCCCGTGTTGCTAGTGCTTATAACCTTTTGTTAGCACTGATTTCCTTCTTTCTGTTATTATTATTATTGAGATGTAATCTCCCTCTGTTGCCCAGGCTGGAGTGCAGTGGCTCGATCTCAGCTCACTGCAACCTCCACCTCCCAGGTTCAGGTAATTCTCCTGCTTCAGCCTCCCAAGTAGCTGGGATTACAGGTACCCACCACTACGCCTGACTAATCTTTGAATTTTTAGTAGAGATGGGGTTTCACCGTTTTGGTCGGGCTAGTCTTGAATTCCTGACCTCATGTGATCCACCCGCCTCAGCCTCCTGAAAGTGCTGGGATTACAGGCGTGAACCACTGCACAGGGCCCCTTCTTTCTGTTATTATTGTGAGTTGTTACTGATCTATCTCCTTAATTGGGCTGTAAACATCATGGAAGTGGAGACTATTTTATACATCTTTGTATAGAGAGTCCAAGTGCCTAATACAGAGCCCTGCATAATAGGCTTTCAGTTCAATATTTTGTTAGATAAATGAATAAATGATCTGGAAAAATCAGCACAACAGATGATCCCAAAATTAATTCTCTATTTTCTTAGATGCATCTTTTAAATGTTTTAAACACTAATAACGGATTTTTAAATGCTGGGGGCTCAAATACTGCCCCTCCACCCCCATTTCACCCTGCACCAGCTCCTCCTCAGTCAGGTCTAGGGTCCTGCCTCTGTCCCAGTGGCCACCTGGCTGTGGGGGCAGGGTGGGCCACCCAGGAACCTGTGTGGTCAGGGCTCTGCATGGAGGGTCTGCCAGGGCAGCCTGGGATGTGGCTGGGCTGCTGCTGTGGACTGGGTGGGGTGGGAGGCGTGGACAGCTCCAGCGTGCTCTCCCTCACGTCCTTGAAGTTTGCCCATCCTCTGACTCAGCTCCAGCATCTCAATTCGTGGATGAATGCCCTGGTCCTAGACAGAGAGCCAATTCAGCCCAGCAGGGTTTCTGGAGGGCTCCCAGGAGGGGGAGTCCCGGAACATGGCCCGGGACAGTGAAGTTGGGGTGACGGCCAGTTCACTCCAGCTGCAGCCTAGGACACATTCCTCTCCATTCCCACCCCCACCTCACATTCTGCTGGAGCCCTCCATAGTGCCCAGCTCTACGGGTAAACAGGAGACTCAAATATACCTTGGGGGCTCAGCTGCTAGTGTTCTGCAGCTCCTCTGCCCTGTTCCTCTGTTTCCCTCCATCTGGCTTTGTGTGTGTGCATATGTGTGCTTGTGTGTGTAAGGGTGTACACTCCTGATGGCAGATGAAGCCTCCATTCAGGGTTCCTACAAGCCCCCAGGACTGCCATACACAGAGCTGCAGAGGGAGTTCAGGAGTTCAGCCTCCTATTGAGCTGAAAAAGGCCCCAAAGGCAGGCTTAAACTTTTTTTTTTTTTTTTTTTGAGATGGAGTCTCACTCTGTCACCCAGGCTGGAGTGCAGTGGCACGATCTCAGCGCACTGCAACCTCTGCCTCTCAGGTTCAAGCAATTCTCCTGCCTCAGCCTCCCAAGTAGCTGGAACTACAGGCTCCCACCACCATGCCAGGCTAATTTATTTTTTGTATTTTTAGTAGAGATGGGGTTTCACTATGTTGGCCAGGCTGGTCTTGAACTCCTGACCTTGTGATCTGCCCTCCTTGGCCTCCCAAAGTGCTGGGATTGCAACTTAAATTTTTTTTTTTTTTTTTTTGAGACAGGGTCTCACTCTGTCTCCCAGACTGGAAAGTGCAATCATGGCTTACTGCAGCTTCAACCTCCTGGGCTTAGGTGATCCCCTCACCTCAGCCTCTGAGTAGCTGGGACTACAGGCACACACCATCATGCCCAGATAATTTTTTGTATTTGTTGTAGACACAGGGTTTCACCATGTTGTCCAGGCTGGTTTCAAACTCCTGAACTCAAGTGATCCGCCCACCTCAGCCTCCCAAAGTGGTGGGATTATAGGTGTGTGCCACTACATCTGGCCTATTTTTTCTATATAATTGATATTATATTAAAATGATATCATTTGATAAACATACAATAAAATGTACATGTCAATTGATAATGTTTGACAATTTGGGTGCAACTATCATCCAAGTTATAGAATAGTTCATCTCCCCAAAATGTCCCTCACACCCCTTTCTACTCAACCCTCTCCGTTTTCAATCAGTATCTGATTTTTATATATATTTATATATATATATATACATATATATATGTATACCTAAACCAGTATTAAGGTTTAAAATTTAAAAAAGATCTTCTTCAGACAAGACATCACATACTATGCCACTTAAGTATAGAGACAGCCACATGGTACTCAGTCCTCCTGAAGCTAAGGGGTCCTGACCTCCTCCCACCTTTCTTCCAGGTATCCCTACTCCAGGGCTACACCAGGGACTGCATGACAAGACAGTGGCATTTATAAAAGGTCCAGGGAAAGAGCCCAGGACTTGAAGTCGGAGGCTGGGCAGGGGTCCTGGGTTTGCCCTGTGTGGTTGGGAAAAGGCACTGGATCTTTCCAAGGCTCAGGTTCCTTAGCTATACACTGTGGAGGTGATGGTCACCCCCAGGGATGCTAGGAGGATTAAAGCCCATTTTGCAGCCAACTTTATTCTTCTGTAGATGGAGGCAAGGCATCAATCTATTAATTACATAACACAAATAGCTAACATACACTGAACTCTCTTTGGGTGCCAGGTACTAGGCTACCAACTTCCTTTTAACCCCCAAGTAAGGGAATGGGGACTATTGTTTATCCCCATTCTACAAATGAGAAAATGGGCTCAGAGGAATTAAAAGATTTGCCTCAGTTCAAACAGCACACCATAGAGTTAGTGTTTAACCCTAGGGAGCCACTGCAAACTCATGCTCTTGTGTACTGTACCAGTCTTCCTCCCAGATGAATACGGTAATAGATAAAAATAAACTTTAGGCCGGGCACAGTGGCTCATACCTGTAATCCCAGCACTTTGAGAGGCTAAGGCAGGAGGATGGCTTGAGTCCAGGAGTTCAAGACCAGCCTGGGCAATATAGCAAGACCTTATCTCTACAAAAAATTTAAAAAATTAGCTGAATGTGGTGTTGCATGACTGTGGTCCCAGCTAGTTGGGAGGCTGAGGCAGGAGGATCACTTGGGCCTAGGGGCTCAAGGTTAGAGTGAGACCCTAGATGGCACCACTGCACTCTAGCCTGGGCAACAGAGCAAGACCCCTATCTCAAAGAAAAAAAGAATGAACTATAGCTGACAGCAGTTTGGAAACAACGATGTGCTGTGCATATGCTACTTGTAACTATTTCTACCAAAAGGTTTTGAGACCCAGAGAAGTGGATGACACCCGCAGGTCCCACCCTCTGAGCTGGTCTGTCCTAGTACATTTCAGAATCATGGCTGCTGCCTCCTCTTCTTGGATCCACGGAGTATTGCATCTCAGCTTCTGAGACAGAAAGTCCTTTATATCTAACTTCAGTCTCACCTGCAGTGGCATAGCCAGCACCGAGCTCACTCCTGGCCTTATACAAACTAATGCGCATGGGTGCCAATCAGATTTTGTACCCCAGAATGCTCAGACCTGATAGGGGCTGGTCTCCATAGTGCCCCTCCCAATCCTGAGCTGCCTCATCTGCTCTTCTCAGCTCCCGTGGTGACCGCTGTGTCTGGCTCCTTTGTCTGCGAATTCTCCAGCCACCATAGACTTAGCCCTCATGTCTTTGGGGTATTTCTGCAAGTCTTAGGGAGAAATGGGTATGGGGAGAAAGGAGAGCAGGGAGCAGGGAGAAATGTCCTGCCTTTGAGAGAGAAGGCCTTCTAGCTTGTCACTTGACCTTGGTTGGCCAGGGCCTGTCTTCATCCCCTGCCAATGGAGATAATGAGACCTACCTCCCAGGGTGAACACCTCTGAGCTCAGAGGCTCAGATAATACCAAAATGCGAGAAGGACTTGGCAGAGAAGAAAGACTTGAAATTCAGCCCCAGGGATTGCTTGAAGAACACCACGTAGTGGAGAAGGGCTCTGATTCACCTAAGGGAGCTCAGGGCCAAGGGCCTGGCTTGCTGACCACTGGTCTGGGCTTCTCATGGACACGTGCTGTGCCAAAGCATGAGGCAGAAGGACAGACAACCCACCCCAACCTCAAAACAAAGGGCCCCCTGCCATGCTGTGTGTGGGTTGGTCTGTGGGCCTCTATATCTGCACACTAGTCTGTGCTATAGGGTGCAAGTGGAGGTCTCTCTGTGATTACAGGGGAGGCTATGTTGAACCATGCAGCTCTCTGGGCATCTCTGTGTGTCTGCTGTGTGTCTGTGTGTCCCACTTCATGTCTCATGTGCATCTCTCTGTCTGTGTAGGTTGAAACATCTGTTTTTTATAAAGCAGTCTAAGATTTGTTATCTGTTAAATGGAAATGAGGCATCTTAGTCTCTAAGCATCTGGAAGCATGGTGATTGTTTTGTGAAGTGAGGGTGGGATGTCCACAAAGGCTTCAAAATCATTCCTCAATGCAAAAGTCTTAGCCTGGTATTCAAGGTTCTCTGCAGCCTAACACACACAGGTGTCCCCAGCACAGTTGTGCATTCTTAGTGGGCACAGGCAGGAGAGGCTGCCACTTCCTGGCCGTGTGACTTGAGGCTTGTCATTTCTCCTCTGCCCCTTATTCTGTCAAATGTAAAATGAGCTATGAAAAGTTGATTGCAGAGTGTAAAGTGTGGTGTGTACACAAAGGATGTTTCCTGGAGCCCCTCCTGGACTTTGGGTCCTCTATGCCTTTCCTCCTGTTGCTCCTGTGTCCTCCCTGCTTGAGCACCCTCCCCTGTTTCTCTGAATACTCAGGATCTGCCCAGCTTTGGCACTCAGCTCCCCTCTGCCTGCACTTCTCCTCACCCCACACCCTTCCCCAGGTCCCCTCTGTCCTCATGATTTCATGAGGGTTTCCGTGTGTGTGTGTGTGTGTGTGTGTGTGTGTGCGCGTGTGTGTATCGTGGGTATCTCTGTGTATGCATTTGGGTCTACCCTCTAGATATACCTTCAATTCATTCAGCAAATATTTCTTGAACACCTACCAGACATGGTGCTAACTGCTAGGAATTCAGTGTGAACAGGGCAGATGCAGGGCCATCACTAGCCCATTGGGCATCTGTGCAAATTAGAAACAGGTACCGTTGGGTAGATGCAGATCTGTGGCTGAATGGCTTGATGAGCAAATGATGCTTTTGTGCAGAGAAAAAGAGTGTTTTCCTCCTAGCAGGCACAGCCCCAAATTAAGATGCAAAGCTTGGGAAATAGAGGTGGGGGTGAACTTTATCCTCCGTTCACCCCACCCCGGCTAAGCCAGGCACCTTTGTGCATTGAACAAACATACATCTAAAAAAGCAGCCCAGGAAATCTCTTACCTACCCTTGGCAGGTAGACCTCCAGCTTGGGGTGTGTCTGTGCACCTGTGTGCTGACTGTGTCTATTTCAGCCTATGTGAGTCTGTGAGGTCTGTTGCACCTCTGTGTGCACATGTCCCTCCCTCTTGTGCTCCTCTTTGGACCTGTGTCTGTGGGGGTGGGGACTTACATGTAGTATAAGTGTATATGTGTGCACCTCCAGCTCTGACAGCCATTTCCTCAGCAGCCTGCAGATCTGTTCTTGGATGGCCACCTCATCTTCCCTAGTTGTTCCGTGTTCCCCAACTGAACCCCATGTTCTCTGAAATCTTTCTTGCTGTCTCCCGCCAACCCCCCACCACCACACACTCCACAGCCTCAGGAACTCATACAGCAGAGGGGAGTCGAGCCACTGGTACAGCCAGACCAAAGCTGGGTCCCGTCCTCCTGCAACCTGTTTCCACTTCTTCATTCTTTCTAAGAAAAGACTGAACCCCACGTGGGGCAGTGTGGAACAGGGAAAAGGACATAGCCATAACACAGAGGGCCTAGGTTCCTTCTGCCTCGGAGTCTCTGGGAGACCCTGGCTAGTTCCCTAACCTCTGCTGACCTCCTACCCATGTGGAACAGGATAAACTTCTTTGTTTTTTGCTAAATAAGTTTTGCCCAGTCTTGCCTCTGCACCTTTGCTCAGGCTGTTACCCTTGGGGCATGCTCTTCCATCCGTCAAGACTGAGGGCCACCTCTCCTATAAATAGCAGCAGCAGCCCCCTTCTATAAACACTCACTGCACCCAGGCGTGTGTGGAAACATGGATTGCACATATTGCTGTACACATGCCTGTTATACACACAATCTCAATCCTCACAACGATGTCATGAAATGGGTATTATTATTATTGTCCTAGTTTTAGAGGCAAGGAAACCAAGGCCCAGAAATGTTCAAGCACTTGCCCAAGGTCATGGTGCCTCACTAGCCTTCAAGGTAGTTGGGATTGGACTCTGCCTGACCCTTGGGCTCCTGCACTCACATCCTTGGGTCAGCCCCTGACCCCAGGGCTCACAATCAGCACTCCCGCTCTGAACACCTGTGGCCCTCTGGGCACAGCTGTGATCTGAACTCATAACCCCAAGCCATTGTCTTAAAAATCTATACTAAAATGAAAATTTTGTAACATTGTAGCTACCTCCCTGATATGGTTTGTCTCTGTGTCCCCACCAAATCTCATCTCAAATTATAATCCCCAACTATTAAGGGAAGGACCTGGTGGGAGGTGATTGTATCATGGGGGTAGATTTCCTCCATGCTGATCTTGTGATTGTGAGTCCTCACAAGATCTGATGGTTTAAAAGTGCTTGGCAGTCCCCATCCACCCTGCCTCCTGCCACCATGTAAGACATGCCTTGCTTCCACTTGACCTTCTGCCATGATTGTTTAAGTTTCCTGAGGCCTCCTAAGCCATGTGGAACTGTGAGTCAATTAAACCTTTTTTTTTATAAACTTCCCAGTCTCAGGTAGTTCTTTACAGCAGTATGAAAATGGACTAATACACTCCCTGGCTAAATTGTATGTTTCTGAAAGTAAGTACTATGTCTTTCAGCCATTTGTTTCTTCAGTTCCTTATGCCTAGAAGGTGGTGGTGGTGATGATGGTGATATGGTAATGGTGGTGAGGATGATGATCATGATGGTAGTGATGGTGGTGATGATGGTGATGATGAATCATCCTTCTGCCCACAGCTACTTCCCAGTCTGTCTCCCGGGCCACGAGGTCACGGTGTGACCTAGAAGAGCAGTGATTCTTGTAGAGAATTTCCTGATTTGGGAGGAGAAACTGTGGGCAGCTGTGGCCCTCTGGCCTGGCTATGCCAAAGAAGCTTCTGCACCCTTGAGGACAGAAGTAGAGAGGGCTGCTCCCTCCCTCCTCCTGAAGCCCCAGGTCTTTGCCAGCCCTCCTACTCTGACTCCCCCAGGGCACTAGGCTTTACAGGCCTCGATGGATAGGAAGTAGGTAGGAGGAGGACCTCCTGCTTCTTCTGTGGCTAGAGTATAAAGCTTTGTTGTCCTTGCAGTATGTTCAGAAACCCCATTCCCACAGAGGCCTGGACCAGGTGGAGCTGACCTCCTGAGGGCAGCCTGGTTGGATGGTCCGGGCCTGGGAGTCACCTTAGAGGTGCCTGACAGGTGCCACAGGATCTGGGCTGTGATGCCTCAGCTCACCTGAAATCAGCTGCCCAAGTCCTAGCATCTGAGAGGCTCAGTAATAGCAGCTATGGGATCACAATTCTCTGCAATTTAGCAAATAATCAAGGACATGGCAAGCACCAGACACTGAGTGGGAAGGCTTTGAGATGCATTTCCTGCCCTATGCATAGGTGAGCTAGATACACACAGTCTGCTCACACCGGAAATGGGTGATACATTCAGAAAGCGGTGCTGGGTAGCAGCAGTGCTGTGCTAAGTTCAGGAGGGGAGGGCATGGTGAGCCAGAGGAGTCTGGGAAGGCAACACAGAGGAAGGAGCTGGCGGTTGACAGGGGAGAAGGCTCGGGGGATCTGAAAGGTTATCCTTGGGGTAATGTGCCCACTATTTTGTAACATGATGGTTTCCATCTCCCTCTACAGTGGATAGAGGCTGGGCCCTGGCATGGGCTCCTCATAAACATAGAGGTACCCTCTCAAGATAGACCTGACATCTAATGTTGACACTACTGACTTCTAGGTGTGTGAACCTGGGAATGTTATTTCACATCTCTGAGGCTCAGTTTCCTCATCTGTAAAACAGAGATAATGACTCTTACCTCTGATGCTTGTTTATTTTTGAGTCCATCATTCTCTGGAGTGAGATAGCACTCTCAAGAGAAACTTCTAATCTTTCCCTAATTTGAATGAGGTAGAGAATGGTACTGTTTGGATTCCTTGACTTCTATCAAAAAGTATTTATTTTCTCACCAAAAAAACCCAAATATGTACTATCTCACTAATATGAGGTACTCAGAGTCGTCAAAATCATAGAGACAGAAAGTAGATGGGTGGCTTCCAGGGATTGGGGGAAGTAGGGGATGCAGTTTCATTTAATGGGTACAGGGTTTCTGTTTTATGGAAAAGTTATGGGATAGATATTAGTGATGATTAAACAATATTATGAACATCTTTAATATCACTAACCTGTACACTTAAAAATGGATAAGATAGTAATTTTATGTGTATGTATTTTACCATAATAAAAAAAAATTGGGAAAAAAGGTACTGAAGTCCATAATTTTGCCCTGTGTTCTGTGTCATGAGGGAAGCAGAGGATGGCCTTTGGAATCTTCAAGCCTCTTTTGAGATACAAGGTTGGTCTTGGTTATAAGACTGGCTCTGAAGAGACAAGATTGTGCCTTGCCACAGTCCAGGGCAGTGTAGACAAACTGCACAGGCCAGACAGCAAGGTCTGTAGCGGCTTATAAAAGAGGACAGCAATAAGGGCTGGAGAAACCAGGATATACTGCTGTAGAGGCTGGTACTTGAATGGAACTTTTGACTTTGTTAAAATGGCCCAGCATGTTTTATATGGATGATCTTTCTGCCTATCCTTTGAATAATTTTTATGTTCGCATGTAAGTTATCTATTGCTGCCTAACAAATTATGCCAAAATATAGTGGCTTAAAACAACAAATATTTATTATCTCATAGTTCCTCAGGATTAAGAATTCTGGAATGGCTTAGCTGGGTGATTCTGACTTGGATCTCTCATGGGATTGCAGTCAAGATGTCAGTAGGGGCTGCACTGTAATCTGAAGTCTTGACTGTGCTGGAGAATTCATTTCTAAGTTCATGCCCATGACTGTTGGCAGAAGGACTCCGTTCTGCACTGGCTGTTAGCTGAGACTGCAGTTCCTTACTATATGGGCTATTTGAGTGTCCTCACAACATGGTAGTTGGCTTCTTTCAAAGTGAGTAATTCGAGAAGGGCAGGGCAAGGAGGAAGCTACACTGCCTTTTATGACCTCATCTTTGAATTACACACCATCACTTCCACTCTTTCCTATTCATTAGCAGCTGTCACTAAGTACAGCCCACACTCAAGGGCAGAAGGGAATTAGACTTCACCTGTGCAAGGGAGGCATATCACCAAATTTGTAAACATATTTTCAGACCATCACAATTATGGATTTTTTTTTCTTTTTAACTGAAAAAATGTTAAACAAAGCATACAGAATAGGATAATGAACTCCCATATACCCATCATCCAGCTTCCAATTATGAACACAGGCCAGTATTTACCAGCTTTATGGAGGTATGCCTGGCATACAATAAACTGCAGATAATGAAGAGCACAATCTGTTAGTTTTGACATATGCTTACACCCATGGAATCATCACCACATTCAAGATAATGAGCATACCCAGACCATCAAAATTTCGTTGTGCACCTGTTTGCTTCTCATTCACTTTTCTGCCTACTTTGTTATGCCGTTTTTAATATATAGACTGTAAAACTCCATTTGCAAAAGTCTATTGTGAGGAGAGCACACCAGCAGGAAGGATTCTTAAACTATTCTTTATGAGTTTTTCTGTTGGTTTTGCTAGTTAATGGTGAAATACAGGACCCACCATTTTTGCAGATTCATCTGAAGCTTATGGCCGTATTCACATTTTCACATTGCTTTTTTTTTTTTTGAAATGGAATCTCACTCTGTCACCCAGGCAGGAGTGCAGTGGTGCGATCTTGGCTCACTGCAACCTTCGCCTCCCCAGTTCATGCAATTCTCCCGCCTCAGCCTCCCGAGTAGCTGGGATTACAGGTGCTTGCCACCATGCCCAGCTAATTTTTTTTTTTTTTTTTTTTTTTTGCATTTTTAGTAGAGATGGGGTTTCACCATGTTGGCCAGGCTGGTCTCGAACTCCTGATCCGCCTGCCTTGGCCTCCCAAAGTGCTGGGATTACAGGCATGAGCTACTGTGCCCAGCCCACATTGCTCTTTTGAAGTAGCCCTGCTCCTCTCAAAATTGATCAGAATCTGAGCTTCAGTCGACAGGCAGTGAGATCAACAGCCCATTTGGCTCTGCCTTTCAGAGCATTTGGTACTGCTTTCAGAAAGTACGATTTCTGAAGGGGTGCGCATTTCATGGATTTGCACATGCCGCTCTGTTTGTTAAAGTGCATTCTTCTTTCCAAAAATAAACAAGAGGAATCATCTTTATCCTCTTTAAGCAAGGCACTTAAAAAATGAACTTTTTGGTTTCTCAGCAGATATTCTCAAATTGATTCTATCACTATTAATTTTAGCCTTCTGTTTACAAACATGTATAGGGTTACAGGTGGAGGGAACCTTATAAAATTAAAGATGTGGCTTCTCTTGAAGCAAAAATCAGTTCAACAAATTCATACAGAGATATATACACTTGGTTTACAATGCATAAGCATGTGGATATTTACACAGAGATTGAAGACATCCCCCTCGGAAAAAAACCCCATTTAAAGTAATTTCCGGCCTAAACTCTCATTGTACATCTATATCAGAAAACTGTCTCCTGCTATCAGATTTGGTTTTAATTCATTCAAATTATTTCTGTACATTCTCTCCTGGCAGAACGTCAGTCCCAGCTTTGGAAGGAAGAATCCAGCTTAAGGAAGCCCTTTGTGCCCCTTGGTAATTCATTTTTTGCCTCCCACCCTACCTTCATCTCCAGGTGACCACTGATCTGCTTATAAAATAGTTCACATTCTCTAGAATATTATAGAAACAAAATCATACAGCATGTACTCTTTTTGTTGGATTCTTTCACTCAGCTTAATTATTTTGAGATTCATCTATGGTGTTGTGTCTATCAATAGCGTATTCGTTTTTATTGCTAAGTAGTATTCCACTGTAGGTATATATTACTATTTGTTTATCCATTCATCTGTTGATGGGTATTTGCATTGTTTCTGGTTGTGGCCATTACAAACAAAGCTACTGTGAATATATGTGTACAAGTCTTTGGGTATACATATGATTTCATTGCTCTTGGGCAAGTGTCTAGCAGTGGAATGACTGGTTTATATGGTAGGGTATACTTAACTTTTTAGAAAACTACCAGACTATTTTGTAAAGTGGTTGTGCCATTTTATATTCCCAGCAGCAGTGTGCAGGAGTTAGCTCTTCCACCTCATCACCAACACCTGACATGATCAGTCTTTCTGATTTTAGACATACTAAAATTAGTAGTGGCATTTCATTGTGGTTTTAATTTACATTTCATGGTGGGGCATGGTGGCTCATGTCTGTAATCCCAACATTTTGGGAGGCTGAGGTGGGCAGATCACTTGAGGTCAGGAGTTTGAGACCAGCCTGGCCAACATGGAGAAACCCTGTCTCTACAAAAAACACACAAAAAAATTAGCTGGGCATGGTGGCGCATGCCTGTAATCCCAGCTACTCGGGAGGCTGAGGCACGAGAATCACTTGAACCCAGGAGGTGGAGGTTGCAGTGAGCTAAGATCACACCACTGCACTCCAGCCTGGGCGACAGAGTGAGACTCTGTCTCAAAACAAACAAACAAAAAAAAATCACTACTGACTAATGAAGTTTAACTTCTTTTCATGTGCTTATTTGTCATCCTCTTACTGTCTTTGGTAAAGTGTCTGCTGACAGGTTCTGCTCATTTTTTATTGGGTTGTTTGCTTACTTCCAGTAGAGGTTTTATTTTTCTTTTGAGGTAACACCCAGAACTATTTTTTAAAGCACTTTTTTGAGGTCTGATTGACATATAAAAAGCTGTACATATTTAATGCATGTAACTTGACATAAGTATATGTTTGTGACATTATCACCACAATCTATGGTATAAATATGTCCAGCATCTCCAAATGTTTCCTACCACCCTCTTTACTTATTATTAGGCTATATTATTGTTATTATTATTGTTATTTTTACTGTTTTTATAAAGTTTTGAGAGGTCTTCCTATATTCTGGATAAAAGTCCTGTTTTAGAAATGTGATTTGCAAGTATTTTTTCCCAGTCTATGACTTCTCTTTTCATACTCTTAAATGTCTTTTAAAGAGAGGTTCTATCTTTTTAATTTTAATTTTTATTTTTTGAGATGGAGTTTCGTTCTTGTTGCCCAGGCTGGAGTGCAATGGCACGATCTCAGCTCACTGCAACCTCCACCTCCTGGTTTCATAGGAGTTTCTTTTCTCGTCCTCCCAAATAGCTAGGATTACAGGCATGTGCCACCCTGACCAGCTAATTTTTTTTTTTTTTTTTGTAGAGTCGGGGTTTCACTGTGTTCGTCAGGCTGGTCTCGAACTCCTGACCTCAGGTGATAAACCTACCTTGGCCTCCCAAAGTGCTGGGATTACAGGCGTGAACCACCGTGCCTGGCCTAAAGAGAGGTTTTTAATTTTGATGAAGTCCAATTTATCCTTACTTTTTTGAAAATTTCTTTTTAAATAAAAGGGAACATGTTTTTTGGTGCTGTTCATAAGAATTCTTTGCCCAACCCTAGGTCATAAAGGTTTTCTGGTATGTTTTCCTCTAGCACTTTTATAATTTCAGGTTTTACATTGAGGTCTATGATCCATTTTGAGTTAAGTTTTGTATATGGTTCAAAGTATGTGTCAAAGGGTTTTTTGGGTTTTTTTTTTTTTTTTGCATACATACATCCAGTTTTTCCAGAATTGTTTGTTGAAAATACTATCCTTTCTTTACCTTTGTTGAAAATCAACTGGCCATCTATCTGTGGATCTAATCCTGGACTCTATAATTTTCTCTTCATCTGTTTACTTATCTTTAAATCAAAACACACTTTATTAATTACTGTAGTTTTATAATGAGATTTTTCCTGTTTTTAAAACCTGAGACATAATTCTTGTATCACAATATTCATCTTCCTAAGTACACAATTTAGTGGGGCTTATGTATGAACAAAGTTGTGCAGCCATCACGACCATTTAATTCCAGAACATTTGCGTCACACTCCCAAAAAAACCTGTACCCATTAGCAGTCATTGCTTGTTCCCCACCCCTTTGCCCTTAGTGGCTACGAATCTACTTTGCCTCTATGAGTTTACATGCAATGGTATGGTCGCCTCTCACAACTAATTTTCCCTTCCTTCCCCACTTATTAGGTAATAATAATACTGAATCCTGCATCCTTCATTTCCTTGTACCCCTTTTTTCTTTTTTTAAACTTTCCAACTTTTAGGTTCAAGGGATACATGTGCAGGTTTGTTACATGGGTAAACTGCACGTTGCAGGGGTTTGGTATACAGATAATTTTGTCACCCAAGTACTCAGCGTAACACCCAACAGGTAACTCCCACTCTCCACCCTCAAGTAGGCCCTGGGGTCTGTTGTTCCCTTATTTGTGTCCATGTGTACTCAATGTTCAGCTTCCACTTATGAGAACATGCAGCATTTGGTTTTCTGTTCCTGTGTTAAGTTGCTTAGGATAATAGCCTCCAGCTCCATTCACGTTGTCGCAAAGGACATGATCTCATTCTTTTTATGGCTGCGTAGTATTCCATGATGTATATGTACCGCATTTTCTTTAGCCTGTCCACTGTTGATAGACATCTAGGTTGATTCCGTGTCTTTGCTGTTGTGAATAGCGCTATTGTTGGAAATGCTTGTTCCCCGGTGCCATAGAGAAATAGCACTTGAACATAAATTTAATTTACTCAGCAAGGCCATTTTTACTTCCTGCAGAAAGAGTACACTTGTCAGCAGTTTTGCCACGAGAGTACACCGAACAAAGGAGAAGGGTATTTATAACCTGATGCGTCCACCTTACTGTTGTATCTGGTTTCCATTGGCTGGAACGGGACCTCACATTCTGTATTTGTCCTGATTGGCTAGCAACTTAGAACTTTTTTAAAGAGGCAAAGGCAGAGGAGAACAAAGGAAGGAGGAAGTAACTTGTGGAATGCTGAGAAAGGTAAAAAACACCTTCAAATAAGGAAGAGGAACAGGCTATTATCTAATGCTTGCTTGGACCAGTATAAGCATGCCAGGGCAAATATTTAGGCTAAATTGTGGGAGCTAAGAACATAAAGTACATTGATTTATTTATCATGGCTAGCAGATATTTAGGACTGCTAGCACAGGTCTTTGAATAAATTTTGCTTCTAAGAGAAGTTACTATTTTTTCCTAATTAAATGGGGAGGAAAGTCTTTGAAGAGGAACCTCTGCTTTACTTTTTACACTATGATGAACATACACATTCATGTGTATTTATGGCAGAATGATTTCTATTCCTTTGGGTATACACCCAATAATGAAATTGCTGGGTCAAATGGTAGCTCTATGTTAAGTTCTTTGAGAAATCTCCAAACTGCTTTCCACTGTGGCCAAACTAATTTACATTCCCACCAGCAGTGTATAGATAAGCATTCTCTTTTCTCGACAGCCTCACCAGCATCTGTCATTTTTTAACTTTTTCAGTAATAGCCATTCTGACTGGTGTGAGATGGTATCTCATTATGGTTTTGATTTGCATTTCCCTAATGATTAGTGATTACATTGAGCTTTTTTTGGTATGCTTGTTGGCCACAATGATTGTTGTTATAAGTCTTCTTTTGAGAAGTGTCTGTTCAATGTCTTTTCCCATTTTTAAATGGGATTATTTGTTTGTTGCTTGTTGATTTGTTTAAGTTCCTTACATATTATGGATATTAGACCTTTGTCAGATTCATAGTTTGCAAATATTTTCTCCCACTCTGTAGGCTCTGTTTAATCTGCTGATAGTGTCTTTTGCTGTGCAGAAGCTTGTTAGTTTAATTAGGCTCCATGTGTCAATTTTTGGTTTTGTTGCAATTGCTTTTGAGAACTTAGTCATAAATTCTTTCCCAAGGCTGATGTCCAGAATGGTGTTTCCTAGGAATCTTATAGTTTGAGGTCTTATATTTAAATCTTTGACCCATCTTGAGGTAATTTTTCTATACAGTTAAAGGTAAGGGTACAGTTTCATTCTCCTGCATGTAGCCAGCCAGCTATCCTAGTACCATTTATTGAATAGGGAGTCCTTTTCCCATTCCCTATTTTTGTTGACTTTGTTGAAAATCAGATTGTTGTAGGTGTGTGGCTTTATTTCTGGGTTTTCTATTCTGTTCCATTGGTCTATGTATCTGTTTTTGTACCAGTACCATGCTGTTTTGGTTATTGTAGCCTTGTAGTATAGTTTGAAGTCAGGTAATGTGATACCTCCAGCTTTGTTCTTTTTGCTTAGGATTGCTTTGGCTATTTGGGCTCTTTTTTGCTTCCACATAAATTTTAGAGTAGTTTTTTCTAGTTCTGTGAAACATGTCATTGGTAGCTTGATAAGAATAACATTGAATCTATAGGTTGCTTTGGGCAGTATGGCCATTTTAACAATATTGATTTTTCATATCCATGAGCATGGGATATTTTTCCATTTGTTGGTGTCATCTATGATTTCTTTTGTTTTACCTGTCTGGTTAGCTGTTATTCTTAGGCATTTTATTTATTTTGCAGCTATTGTAAATGGGATTGTATTCTCGATTTGGCTCTCAGCTTGGATCTTATTGGTGTATAGAAATGCTCTTGTACTGCTTTTTAATATTATTATTGTATCCATATAACTTCTTAAATGTAATCTTAAAATTTTTACCTAACTTTGTAAAAGTGATGTTATGCTGCATGTAGTCTGGGGAAAGTTACATTTTTCACTTGATATTATACTGCTTAGGTTTATTCATATTATTGTCTATCACTACAGTTTATTTATTTTAATCCCTATGTGAGAATATGCCAGAGTATGATCTTCCACTCTCTGGAGATAGACATTTGGATTGTTTCCAGACTTTGGCTATTGTAAACAGCTCTGCTATGAACTCTTACATGTGTTTCCTGAGTACATGTGAGTGAGTGAAAATCTGGGGCATAGATTATGTTTATTTTCAACTTTAGAAAATAGTGCAAAGCTGTTTTATAGAAATGGTTTCACCAATTTATGCTCCCACTAGTAATGTACAAGAGACCCTGGAAATGTGGATCCACACACTCTAAAAACTTGATATTGTTTGACTTTTAAAATATTTCCCAATTGAATGGATGCAAAACAGTGTTTCATTATGATCTTGATTTGTGTTTCCTAATCAGCAATGACGTTGAACATCTTTGCATGTTTATTGGCCATATGGTTTCCCTTCTGTGAAATCTCTGGTCATGTCTCTTGTCCATCCTTCTGTCGGGTTGAGTGGGTCTATCCTCTTATTTAAAATGGTTGTTATATATATGAAAATATTCTTGATACTAATCTTTGTCAGTTGCGTATATTGCAAATATCTTCTCCCAATGTATAATTTATCTTTTTTACTTTAAATTGTCTCTTGAAAAACAAAAATTCTTACTTTTAATATAATCAAATCAATTTATCATATATGTATTTTTGTTGTTGTTGTTGTTGTTGTTTTTTGAGACGGAGTCTCGCTCTGTCGCCCAGGCTGGAGTGCAGTGGTGCAATCTCGGCTCACTGCAACCTCTGCCTCCTGGGTTCACGCCATTCTCCTGCCTCAGCCTCCCGAGTAGCTGGGACTACAGGCGCCCACCACCACATCCAGCTAATTTTTTGTATTTCTACTAGAGACGGGGTTTCACCATGTTAGCCAGGATGGTCTCGATCTCCTGACCTCGTGATCTGCCTGCCTCGGCCTCCCAAAGTGCTGGGATTACAGGCGTGAGCCACCGCGCCCGGCCTTATCTTTTATATTTAGCCAATGCTTTTTGTGTTTTAAGAAACCCTTTCCTACCCCCAGGCATAAAAGATATTCACACATATTTTTTCCTAAGAATATTAAAGTTTTGTTCTTGACATTTAAGTCTAATCTATTTGTAGCTGTAAAAGGATCTAATTTAATCTATTTTTCTTTGAGTAACCATTTTCGCCCAGTTTCATTTATTGACTAATCCCTTTTGTCCCCACTGGTTGAATGTATGACATCTATTATTTACCACAGTTTCATGCTATATGAATCTGTTTCTGAATGCTCTGTTTTTTTGTTTGTTTGTTTGTTTGTTTTTGTTTTTGTTTTGAGAGGAGTATTGCTCTGTCACCCAGGCTGTAGCGCAGTGGCGCCATCTCAGCTCACTGCAACCTCCACCTCCTGGTCTGAACTCTTTGTTCTATCACATTGATCAATTTGTCTATACCTACACCTCCCTGGGATACCACATTGTTTTGACCACAAGAGCTTAAAAATAAGTCTTGATATGCAGTAAGGCAATTTCCTGCTCATCTTCAGAAGGGCCCTATTCTTGGCCCTTTGGTTTTTCAATTAAATTTTAGAATTGTTTTCTCATGTTCCATTTTTAAAAGCCTCCTAATGGATTTTCAATGGAATTGCATTTAATTTATAGATCATATTGGGAAGAATTGACATCTTTATGATAATCAGGTTGTCAGTTCATAAATTAAGTATTTTCCATCCATTTATGTATTTTAAGTATCTCTTAATAACATTCCCCTGTTCTTCAACATCACTTGTTAGATTTATGCCTGCATATTTTATATTCTTTAATGGACTACAGGCACCCACCACGACGCCTGGCTAATTTTTTGTATTTTTTTAATAGAGACAGGGTTTCACTGTGTTAGCCAGGATGGTCTCAATCTCCTGAGCTTGTGATCCGACTGCCTCGGCCTCCCAGAGTGCTGGGATTACAGGCGTGAGCCACCGCACCCGACCAACTTTTGAATATTAATTTTATATCCAGGCACCCTGATGAATTCTCTAGGCTTTTAGAATATTTGTCCTTGATTGTCTTAAATTTCACTGCATTATAGATAGGTATGAGTCTTCCCTTTTTTCTCCTCTTTGGTGCTCTTATAGGTCCTTTCAATCTGAGGTTGCTCGGTTTTTCTTTTTTAATTTCAGGAAATACATATCTATTATTTCATAAGGTATTTTATCCCTTTTTCTCTTTCTCATAATTCCTATTAAACAGACATTAGCATTTCCACCTCTCAAATTCATATCCCCTAACTTCCCTTGCATGTGTTCTAATTCTTTCCTTTTTCTCTTTGAGAGCTTTTTTCCATTTCAATTTTGGGCTTAGGAATTCATTTCTAGGTTGTAATCATCCTGCTATTTATCCATCTATTGTGTTCTTTAATCAGAGTACAAGCTCCTAACTAATACTTCTACTTGGTTCTTATATTACAAGCTTTTCAAATTGCCGGCCTATTTGGGCTGGGGGCTCATTTTCTCCTAAGGGTACTGGCTAATGTGTCAGGCAATAACTGTGTGGGGAGGGCCAGATTCTAGTCTGTGAAGATTTCAGAAGACTCAAGAGATGGCAATGAATAAACCTGAGGGTGGAGAGAGCTTCCAGCACCTGAAAACCACAGTCCGCACCCAGGCCCAGCTTATCTACCAGCTGCAGCACACACGGTGCCTAGGGTCCACA